>NC_000007.14:64324960-64627991 GCF_000001405.40 Homo sapiens
TTCTGTTTATGGATTACACCTACTTCTACAGCTGCATTCTTTTGTCAGGTGTTGTCAATGGCCGAAGTGCCCCATGGAAGACCTCTTTCCCCTTCACTATTGACTTTCGTTATAGATTAACCTCCCTCTTACCTATGGCTATTGCATTGTCTTAAGATGAAATGTTAAATACACGCTTAGGTTGAAAAGGAAAGAAAAACCAGTTGTAAAAAAAAAAAAAAGTTGGAAAAATACATTGTAACCAATTAATTTTTTGTAAATCTTAAGCCAGCCTTGTATAGAAACTGTTGTAGTCTTGTTAAATTTGTTTTTCGCCTGTAGAAATAAGAACTTAACTTTCACCTATGAAGCACTCATCTTATTTCACTAGAGCTTTTGTCTCCTGGATGACTATTTCTAGCTTTTCACTTGAATAAACTCTACAATTGGATTTTGAGGCTTTATTGATTATTCAGATTATTTCAGATTAACAGTCCTTCATAGCATCTTTCTTCTGCCTTTACTTCCTGACTAAACCCTCTTTCATGTGAACAAATTGTACCCAATGCCACTCGTCGGGTGCCTGATTAAAATGCCTACTGGAAATCAGATGTCCATGAGTTCAAGGTCATGGCCTTAGACTTGGCTGTTGTAAGGGCAAATACAAATTAGAAATACCAGACTTAAATTATGAAACTTGAAGATAAAAAAAGACATTTTACTCTCCTTTTAAAAAATAATTTAAGAAAACTTTTACATGTAAATTTATTTTGTGTCTCTGTTAAATGTATGTACATCATTTAAACAGGTAAATAGGACTTTGTCAGCCTTTTTAACTTAGAAATGTCTTTCTCTAGGACCTGGAAACCATTGCATTGAAATGTAAATGGATTACCTTTCTGTCCTACAGTAGGTAACTTCATAAAATATTATGAAGCCAAGGAAATCTTATTTTGCTTTTGAATATAGCCAATTTAAATTTTCATTGAATATACCCAATATACATATAGGCTTCTCAATTACCCGGTTAATTTAAGATGAACTATATATGACAAATTATGCTGTTAAGTCTTCTACTTAAAGACTAAATATGGTGATTTTTATCTCTGCTTTTGTAATCTCAGCAGATTGCCTATGATGGGTATCACATTGTGGTTTAATTATGTAAAAAAAAAAATTTTCTTTCTCTTGTACCATTTTAGAGTGTCTCTGAAGTTGGAGATAATTTTGTTTTTAATTATGTTTTCCAAACACTGTACAGAATTACCAGACAGGATATAAACACAGGAGGTACACACAAGGCTTTAGTTCAGAGAGGCTTTTCTCTCTTTGGCTTGCCCCAAAATCTGCAGGCAGAATATTTATCTGCCTATTTTTAATACACAGTCCCTTCCAGAGCACTTCAGCCAGATTTGTAGAAAAATAGCTTCACAGCAGAGCAATCAGCCATTCCAGCCCCATCTTTCAATGCACTTGGCACCTTCAGACCTGAAAGTAATTCAAACACCATGGGACCCTGAATCCCAAATCTTTAGCCAATGGGCTAATGTTTTGTAAATTTTATCTTTTCAAAAAACTAACTTTTCATTATGTTTCTTCTGAATTTTTGTTTTTATATTCATTTATTTCTGCTATAGTTTTTATTTTTTCCTTCTAATTTTGGGTTTGGTTTGCTCTTTTCTAGTTCTGTATGATATATCAATAGTTTATTTGGAGATTTTTTTTTTAACTTTTTTTGATGTAGGCACTTACTGCTATAAACCTTCTTAGTACTTCTTTCATTGTATTCATAGTTTTGTTATGTTTTCATTTTCATTTGTTTCAAGAACATTTTAAATTTTTTTCTTAAATTCCTTATTGGCCTACTAGTCATTCAGGAGCATATTTTAATTTCTCTGTGTTTGTATAGTTTCGAAAGTTTTTTCTGTTAGTGATTACTAGTTTTATTCTATTATCATCAGAGAAATTACTTGATATAATCTTATTTGGGGGGAGATTATTTTAAGAGTTATTTTGTGACCTAGCTTATGGTCCATCCTTGAGAATAATCCAAGGGCTGAAGTGTAGCATTTGTATTCTGTAGCTTTTTGATGAAATGCTTTGTAAATTTCTATTAGGTCTATTTGGTTCATAGTGCAGATTAAGTTCAATGTTTATTTGTTGATTTTACTATCTGGATGATCTGTCTACTGTTTAAAGTCTCTGTTGCACTGGAGTTGATCTCTCTCTCTTTAGCTCTAATATTTGCTTCATATATCTGAGTTCTCCAATGTTAGGTGCATATAAATTTGCAGTTGTTGTATTTTCTTGCTGAATTGGCCACTTTATTATAATAACTTTGGTTGTCTCTTTTTATAGTTTTTGTCTTAAAGTCTGTTTTGTTTACCGTAGCTATTCCTCCTCTTTTTTGTTTCCATTTGCATGAAATATCTTTTTCTATCCCTTTATTTTCAGTCTTTCTGTGTCTTCATAGGTGAAGTGTGTGTCTTGTAAGAAACAAATTGTCGGGTCTTGGGTTTTTTGTTTGTTTGTTTGTTTGTTTTAA
The DNA here is from genome assembly GCF_000001405.40 of Homo sapiens. Lineage (NCBI taxonomy): Eukaryota > Metazoa > Chordata > Mammalia > Primates > Hominidae > Homo > Homo sapiens. The sequence goes on from NC_000007.14 coordinate 64,327,485, forward strand.
CTCATTTGGCCAATTTGTGTCTTTTGATTGGGGAGTTAATTTATATTCAGTGTTGTTATTAATAAATAAAGACTTACACCTGCCATTCTGTTATCTGCTTTCTTGCTGTTTTGTGGTCTTTTCTCTCTCCTTTTCGCTCTCCCATTCATCCTTTCTTTTAGTAAAGATGATTTTTTCTAGTGGTACGTTTTAATTTTTAGATTTTATGTATGTGTGTCTATTACAGGTTTTTTATTTGAGGTTACCATGAGGCTTGCAAATAACATCTTATAACCCATTATTTTAAACGGATGGCAACTTAACACATATTGTAAAAATGAACAAACAAGAAAGCAAAGAGAAAACTAATAAAAGCTACAGTTTATCTCCCAACTTTTTAACATTTTATTGTTTGTATTTATATCTTATACTGTCTATGTCTTAAACTTGTTGTGGTTAGTATTTTTAATAACTATAACTGCCTCAAAAGTAGAAATATGAGTTATGGCCTTAAGGAGGTAGAGAAAGAGTTATTACTTTTCATAATTACAAGTAGTTATAGACTAATCTTTTAGTCTTCTCAAAATATGAATAGTTTACACACCACATTTATAGTACTAAAAATTTTGTCTTTGTGTCCTTCATATTACCAGTGAGTTTTGTACCACATGTTTTCTTATTGCTCATTAATGTCCTATTCATTTAGATTGAAGAACTGCCTTTAGCATTTTTTGTGGGACAGGTCTGGGGGTGTTAATAAAATCTCTCAGCTTGTTTGTCAGTTGTTTTTGTTTTTTTTTTTATGGTAGAAGGATATTTTTGCTGGATGTATTATTCTAGGATAAAAGTTCTGGCCTGTAAGATTTCCATCTCCTGGTCTGTAAGATTTCCACTGATGAGTCCACTGTCAAACATATTGGTGCTTGTTTGAATGTTATTTGTTTCTTTTCTCTGCTGCTTTTAGAATCCTTTATCTTTGACCTTTGAGAGTTTTATTAAAGATCTTCAGGTAGTCGGCCGGGCGCGGTGGCTCACGCCTGTAATCCCAGCACTTTGGGAGTCTGAGGTGGGCGGATCACAAGGTCAGGAGATTGAAACCATCCTGGCTAACACGGTGAAACCCCGTCTCTACTTAAAAAATACAAAAAATTAGCCAGGTGTGGTGGCGGGCTCCTGTAGTCCCAGCTACTTGGGAGGCTGAGGCAGGAGAATGGCGTGAACCCAGGAGGTGGAGCTTGCAGTGAGCTGAGATTGTGCCACTGCACTCCAGCCTGGGCGACAGAGCGAGGCTCTGTCTGAAAAAAAAACTTCAGGTAGTCATATTTAAGTGAATTGTGCTTGGTATTCTATAACCTTCTTGTACTTGAATATTAATACTTTTTTTTTAGGTATGGGAAGTTCTAGTTATCCCTTTGAATAAACTTTCTACCCAGAACTTTTTCTCTACCTCCTCTTTAAGGCCATATTTCTTAGAGTTGCCCTCTTGAGGCTATTTTTTTTTTTTTGGTCTCATCTGACTGTATCTGTTCAAATAACCTGTGTTCAAACTCACTAATTCTTATGCTTGATCAGTTCTGCTGTTGAGAGACTCTAATGAATTCTTCAATGTCTTTTGAATTTTCAGCACCAGAATTTTTGCTAGATTCTTCAAAATTATCAATTTTATTGGATCCAGATTCTGAATTTCTTTTTCTTCTTTTTTTTTTGTTATTTTGAATTTTGCTGAGCTTTTTTGAATTTCCTGTCTGAAAGGTTACATATCTCTGTCTCAGGATTTGCACACTAGTGCCTTATTTAGCTCATTTAATGAGGTTGTGTTTTCCTGAATAGTCTTAATTTTTGTGAATGTTCATTGAAGTCTGGGCATTAATGAGTTAGGTATTTATTTTAGTTTTTGCATTCTGGGCTTTTTAATACCTGTCTTTCTTAGAAAGGCTTTCCAAGTATTCAAAGGGAATTGAGTATTGTAATCTGAGTCTGATCATTGCAGTCATATCTGCATTAGGGGGCACCCCAATTTGAATAACACTGTGATGCTTGCAGACTTGTAGAGGTACCACTTTGGTGGTCATAGGTAAGATCCAAGAGAGTCTCTGGGTTACCAGGCAGACTCTTTTTCTATTTTTTTACATTCTGCCAAATAAATGGAATCTCTCTCTCTCTGCATGCTGAGCTACCTGGAGCTGGAGTGGGTGTAACACTAGCACCCCTGTGGCCACCATCACTAGGACTACACTAAGTCAGACCCAAAGCCAGCACAGGACTGGCTCTCACATAAGGCCCACAGTGACCACTACCTAGCTACTACTGATGTTCACTCAAGACCCAAGTTCTCTTCAGTAGGTGGTGAATCCAGCCAGGCTCATGTCCTTTCCTTCAGGGCAGTGAGCTCTGGGCTGGGGGTAGCAAAATGCCTTTGGTAGCAAGAACATGGAGTCAGAAACCTTAGGAATCTACTTGGTGCTCTATTCTGTTGTGGCTTAGCTGGCACCGAGGCCATGAGACAACATCCTTCCTACTCTTTTTTCTCTTTTATCAAGCATAAGAAACCACTCCCCATGGCCACCACCACCCAGAGTCCACAACAAGTACTGCTAGGCTACTGCTGATATCCACTGAAGACCTAAGTGGTCTTCGGTCAGCTTGTGGTGAACTCTGCCAGGCCTGCTTCTTTTGCTTCAGGGAAGTGGGGTTTTTTTTGTTTTGTTTTTGAGACGGAGTCTCGCTCTGTAGCCCAGGCTGGAGTGCAGTGGAGTGATCTTGGCTCACTGCAAGCTCCGCCTCCCGGGTTCCCGCCATTCTCCTGCCTCAGCCTCCCAAGTAGCTGAGACTACAGGTGCCCACCACCGCGCCGGCTAATTTTTTTGTATTTTTTAGTAGAGACGGGGTTTCACTGTGTTAGCCAGGATGGTCTCCATCTCCTGACCTCGTGATCCGACCGCCTTGGCCTCCCAAAGTGCTGGGATTACAGGCCTGAGCCACCGTGCCCGGCTGGGAAGTGGGTTTTTTTTCTGACCTAGGGTGGTTCCAGAAATGTCATCCAGGAGCCAAGGCCTGAAATCAGAGACCTCAGGAGCTACCTTGTTACGGCTACCCCACTATGGCTGAGCTGCTAATCAAGCTTCGAGACAAAGTCCCTTCTTCCCTCTCTTTTCCTCAAGCAGGAGTCTCTCCACATGGCTGCAGCAGCTTGGATTGCACTGTACTGGGTCTCACCCGCCGAAGGGCTGCAGCAAGTTACTGCTTACTGGTTACTGCTGATGTTTATTCAAGGCCCAAGGGCTCTTTACTCAGCAGGTGATGAATGCTGCCAGAACTGGTACCTTCCCTTCAAGGCAGTGTGTTCTCTTCTGGCCCAGGGTATGTCTAGAACTGTCACTCAGGAACTAAGTCCTAGAATAGGAGCCTCAGGGCTTTTTCTGATGCCATATTCTACTGTGGCTGAGATGATGTCCCAATTGCAGGACAAAGTTTTTATTAACTCTTCTCTCCCCTTTCCTCAAGTAGAAAGAAAGATTTTCTCCTGGAGCTGTGAACTGCACTGCCTGTGCCTAGGGTAAGGGTAATAATGCAGGCACTTTCTTGGCCATCCCAGTAGGCATCTCACAAGGTCACATGCACTTCAAGTTTTCTGGCTCTGAGCCTAGCAAAGCACCAGGATTTGCCCAGGAGTTGCAGTCCCAGTGGCTTAGACTGCCTTTCAAGTTTATTTAGAACCCCAGAGTGCTTTAGCCTATGGTGGTGGGGCTACCTGAAACTCAGGTTTTGATTACTGAAATGGACAATTCCTCTCTGACTAGGGCTAGTCTGAGTGCTCCCTCTGTAGGCTCTGGCTGAATTCTGCCCCATGCTGCTTTCTGCTATGACAGGCAGCACTGAGTTTTACTGCACAGTCTCACAATCACCGCACTCTCCCTTCTGTAAGCACATGGATTTTCTCTCTCTGCTGAGCTGCACTCCCAGGGAATGGAGGAGGGCTGCTGTTGGCAATTAACAGCTTTCTTTTTTACCCTCTTCACTGCCTCTTTGATTTGATGCTAAAACTAGGTCCTGTGATCACTCCCCAGAGTTTTTTGCTCTTATGAAGATGCTTCTTATTTGGATAGTCATTCTATTTGGTGTTTTATCTGGGGGATGATTGCTGGAGGGTGCTATTTAGTCATCTTGCTCCACTTCCCTTGCAGCCATGTTGTTTGAATTAAGTGCCACATATGAGGCTAAGGTGAGCCCGGGGTCAATCACGAGCGCTTTCAGATACATTCACGAGAGGTGAGTTTAGCTTTAGTTCCAAATGAAGATCATAGAGACTGCTCTGCTTGGATTTGGTAGAGGCAGGTCAGTGTGGCCCATATTCCCATTGCTGCAGTAGAAATTTCTGGCATCTGTGGCAGAGAAAGGCAACTGAGTGATGGAAAGGGGAAACTCACATTTTGGTTTTTATGTAGGATTTTACTGGTTCTGAACCTCTCTTGTGATAAAGAACAAAGGCAGTCTTTATCTGCAATTCTAGGTCCTTCTGCCTGTGGGTGTGGTGGTTTCAGGGGAGGGAGTTTTGCTCATGCTTCAAAGGCATATTCTCAAGAAACAGGTGTAATTTGTGCAGATAATCACACCTGGGAAGGGATCACAGAGAAGGAGAAAAAGAAAGAAATGGCTTATTCTGAGGTGAATGTGTCTCAGGTCAGAGACTGTCCAACTTTTTCTTCTGAAATATCATGTGTGTAGAACTTGCAAATGTTTACTTCTCTACTGTCGGGGAACCTGCCCCCAGTCTTTCTATTTTCCATAAGTGTCGGCCGGCTGAGAAATAAAGAGAAAGGGTACAAAAAGAGGAATTTTACTAGGCCACCAGGGGTGACATCACATATTGGTAGGACTGTGATACCCACCTGAGTCTCAGACTAGCAAGTTTTTATTAAGGGTTTCAAAAGGGGAGGGGGTGTAAAACAGGGAGTAGGTACAAAGATCACATGCTTCAAAGGGCAAAAAGCAGAACGAAGATCACATGCTTCTGAGGGAACAGGACAAAAGGCAAAACAGAACTGATAAGGGTCTGGGTTCAGCTGTGCACGTATTGTCTTGATAAACATCTTAAACAACAGAAAACAGGTTTCAAGAGCAGAGAACCCATCTGACCACAAATTTACCCGGGCAGAGTTTTTCCCCACCCTAGTAAGCCTGAGGGTACTGCAGGAGACCAGGGTGTATCTCAGTCCTTATCTCAACCACACAAGACAGACACTCCCAGAGCTGCCGTTTATAGACCTCCCCCCAGGAGTGCATTCCTTTCCCAGGGTATTAATATTAATATTCCTTGCTAGGAAAAGAATTTAGCAATATCTCTCCTACTTGCATGCCTGTTTATAGGCTCTCTGCAAGAAGAAAAATATGGCTCTTTTTGCCCGACCCCGCAGGTACTCAGACCTTATGGTTGTCTTCCCTTGTTCCCTAAAAATCACTGTTATTCTGTTCTTCTTCAAGGTGCAATGATTTCATATTGTTTAAACACATGTTTTACAATCAGTTTGTACAGTTAACACAATTATTACAGTGGTCCTGAGGTGACATACATCCTCAGCTTACGAAGATAACAGATTAAGAGATTAAAGTAAAGACAGGCATAAGAAATTACAAAAGTATTATTTGGGAACTGATAAATGTCCAAGAAGTTTTCACAATTCATGTTCCTCTGCCGTGGCTCCAGCTGCTCCCTCCATTCAGGGTCCCTGACTTCCCGCAACACGCTACTTGTGATGTTTTGCCTTATCAGTTTAACTCCTTTTTCACTTTTTATTCTCATGATAGTCAAGGGGCTCTGAGAAATACTTTTTCCTTATATACCAGAGCCTTCTCCTTATTCCCTACGTCCCAGCTTTTAATAAGCCGTGAAAAAATTGTCACCATGAATTTATACCTGCAACATTACAAATGTTTCTTCTGTGGCTGTCGAACATGGAAGGGTGTGGAGACCCAAGATTCCTGTTTGAGATGGGATCAGGTCTTTGGTTATCAGTGAAGAAGGAGACCATGTACTGTTTAGCTTCCATTAAATCTATGCAAAACTGCTTATAAAAATGCACATTTAATGAGAATGGTCTTTATTGCCCAGGATAACTCAGAAAGTTCTGAATAAAAAATAGAAGAGACTTCCTCTCTAGGATGCTAAAGCAAGGAAGTAAAAGAGGACACAAATGGAAAAAAAAAATCCGTGCTCATGGATAGGAAGAATCAATATCATGAAAATGGCAATACTACCCAAAGTAATTTATAGATTCGATGCTATTCCCATCAGGCTACCATTGATTTTCTTCGCAGAATTAGAAAAAATACTTTAAATTTTATATGGAACCAAAAAAGAGCCCATATAGTCAACACAGTCCTAAGCAAAAAGAGCAAAGCTGGAGGCATCACGCTACCTGACTTGAAACTATACTACAAGGCTACAGTAACCAAAACAGCATGGTACTGGTACCAAAACCGGTATATAGACCAATGTAACAGAACAGAGGCCTCAGAAATAACACCACACATATACAACCATCTTATCTTTGACAAACCTGACAAAAATAAGCAATGGGGAATGGATTCCCTATTTAATAAATGGTGCTTGGAAAACTGGCTGGCCATATGCAGAAAACAGAAACTGGACCACCCTCCCTTACACCTTATACAAAAATTAACTCAAGATGGATTAAAGACTTAAATGTAAAACCTAAAACCATGAAAACTCTAGAAGAAAACCTAGGTAATACCATTTAGGACATAGGCATGGGCAAAGACTTCATGACTAAAACACCAAAGGCAATGGCAACAAAAGCCAAAATTGACAAATGGGATCTAATTAAACTAAAGAGCTTCTGCATAGCAAAAGAAACTGTCATCAGTGAACAGGCAGCCTACAGAATGGGAGAAAATTTTTGCAATATATGCATCCGACAAAGGGCAAATACCCAGAATCTACAAGGAACTTAAATAAATTTACAAGAAAAAAGCAATCCCATCAAAAAGTGGGTGAAGGATGTAAACAGACACTTCTCAAAAGAAGATATTTATGCAGCCAACAAACATAAAAAAAAGTTCATCATCACTGGTCATTAGAGGAATGCAAATCAAAACCACAATGAGATACTATCTCACACCAGTTAGAATGGCGAGCATTAAAAAGTCAGGAAACAGATACTGGCAAGGATGTGGAGAAATAGGAATGCTTTTACACTGTTGGTGGGAGTGTAAATTAGTTCAACCATTGTGGAAGACAGTGTGGTGATTCCTCAAGGATCTAGAACCAGAAATACCATTTGACCCAGCAATCTCATTACTAGGTATATGCCCAAAGGATTTTAAATCATTCTACTATAAAGACACATGCACACATATGTTTATTGCAGCACTATTTACAATAGCAAAGACTTGCAGCCAACCCAAATGCCCATCAATGATAGACTGGATAAAGAAAATGTGGCACATATACACCATGGAATACTATGCAGCCATAAAAAAGAATGAGTTCACGTCCTTTGCTGGGACATGGATGAAGCTGGAACCATCATTCTCAGCAAACTAACAAACTAACACAGGAACAGAAAACCAAACACCGCATGTTCTCACTCATAAGTAGGATTCAAACAATGAGAACACATGGACACAGGGAGGGAAACATCACACACCAGGGCCTGTCAGCAGATGGGGGCAAGGGGAAGGAGAGCAATAGGACAAATACCTAATGCATGTGGGGCTTAAAACCTAGATGACGGGTTGATAGGTGCAGCAATCCACCATGACACATGTATACCTATGTAACAAACCTGCACATGTATCCCAGAACTTAAAGTTTAAAAAAAAAAAAGTTTAGCCAAAAATTAGAGATTACAGAACATGGGAGATATTTGTAGCTTACATTTTGCCTAAAACTGATGTTTCTTCATGACTAGACTCAGATTGTTGACCCTTTTTTGTGTTAATGTTAATAATAGCACAGTAGTCTTGTATCCTTCTTTGTTAATCAGCACCTGATACAAATTTCTTTTAATATAGTTGATCTTAATTTATTTACTTGGTAAATACGCTTTCTGACAGATATTTTTCACTCTACAGTTCATTATTTTTCTCTATTAATAGATACCTTGGGGAGTTTATCAAGTGATGTGCAAAAACAAGATTTAGCCATGTTTAATCTGACAGCTCTTCTTTCTTCCTACCTTCTCTTTGCATATCGCTTGCTATGGAAAATGAAGGCTCTCGTCTTTCTTTACTGGTCAAATAAACTAAAAACCTAGGCTGTGCCACTTACTGAATTTTTGACAAAATATTCTCCTTGGGCCAGAAGCAACGATACCACTGGCAAACTTCTTACAAATTTGGAAACTCAAGCTTTACGCTAGATCTTCAGAGTCAAAATCTAGGTTTTAACAAGATCTCCTGTTCATTGCTATACACAATAAGATTTGAGAAGTATGCTTTTAACTCACCATGAAGTTTCCATATGGGAACTATAGACAGCTTTTCTTGTATTATGTAAATGTAGCATTAAGAAATGTACATGCCTGTGTTAATGTCCTTTATTTTATACTGTATCATCAAGAAAAGTATTGCACATACACTGGTTTCATGATCTTATGCCATCTTTTCTCAGAGTTAAAAATACACTAGAGAATATTTCTGTGCTAGAAAGTATCCTACTGGATAACTCCAGTAACTCATATAAGTCAGAACCAGCTATCTTTATTCTCATTTTACCTGATGTCAAATCAAGAATTCTTTCTATGGTCACTTGGTAAATATGTTTTGTTTTCCAGGGAGTGTTGACATTCAGGGATGTGGCTGTAGAATTCTCCCCAGAAGAGTGGGAATGCCTGGACTCTGCTCAGCAGCGTTTGTATAGGGATGTGATGTTAGAGAACTATGGAAACCTGGTCTCCTTGGGTGAGAATAACTTCAATATACAACTCATATTCTACATTAAATATTTTATTTTCTTCTGATTTTTTTGGAGGTTCTGCTTTGCATAAATGAGTTTCAGAATCCTGCTTCAAAAAGAAAAAATTGGGTATCTGTTGAGGTAGAAAATATAATCTTCAAGATGTTTCATCTTAACATTAATCTTTCCCTTTTTTGAGCTCATCTGTATACTTCAGTCTAAATTAGTGGTAATATCAGAAATTTAGTAGCATAAAATATTGTTACCCACACCTAAAAATGCAATTTTCACAGCTGATTTTTGATTCAGTATTACTGGGTAATAGAGCTAAGAACCACAAATTTAAAATACTTTCTAAATATTCTAAAGTTTCTGTTAGGAAACAGTATATTAAAATTAATTTTCTAGAGTCTTCTATAATGTTCTCTCTTCTCTACTGAGCATAGTACTAGATTAGTAATCAGATTATCCTAGCAAGAGTCATGTTTTTTTTTCTAATAAAACAGGTCTTGCTATCTTTAAGCCAGACTTGATGACCTGTCTGGAGCAAAGAAAAGAGCCTTGGAAAGTGAAGAGACAGGAGGCAGTAGCCAAACACCCAGGTAGGTGGGAGTGAATGAAGCAGATGACACAAATGACGGATCCCAATGTCAAGGAGGAAGCCAAACCTTTAAACATGCTTCCAGAAGCTCTGCTCCAGTGGAAATGGTTTCTGAGAAACCTTCATTTCTTTCTCTTGCTTTAACATAGGGACATTTTTTGTCCCATTCTTGTGAATTTTCCAAGCACTGTACTTCCCCTTCAGTAATGTGTGTGTGTGTGTTGTGTGTGTGTTTTGTTTTGTTTTTTGTTTTTAGTTTACAGCAATAATGAAAGTCTTTCATGGCTTGACAGAAAATGTGTGATTTGACTGCTTTTCCATTGCTTTGGGGAAACAGCAATATCTGTATTTTTGAGAAACTATATTAAACCATTTTTTTAAGTTCTGTTTTTGGATAATGTCTAAATATTTAAGTTTTGGTGATATTACAGTTTGGATCAGAAATCCCAGGAATACCACAAAAAGATGTGTGCTTCCTGCTTTATAATTTTCTATTCTATGGAACCTTCAAACGTGATTTTACAGAAATTTATACTCAGTAATTATATCAAAACACTAAGCATCTCCCTAAATGAAACAAACTCTAAAATTGTGTTACTTCAAATGTTATTCTTTTCATATAAACAAATGTTGGTAAATATGGCCAAATTCCTCAACTGTATGTATTATAGTTCATTGTATCTACTTCATACGTTTATTAAATATACTATGTCATTGGGGAGCTTAAAACATTGCTGAGTATTTTTTTTGTTTTGTTTTGTTTTGTTTTTTTTGGTTTTTTTTTTTTTTTGAGACAGAGTTTTGCTCTTGTTGCCCAAGCTGGAGTGCAATGGCACGATCTCGGCTCCCTGCAACCTCCGCCTCCCAGGTTCAAGCGATTCTTCTGCCTCAGCCTCCCTAGTAGCTGGGATTACAGGCATGTGCCACCACACCCGGCTAATTTTGTATTTTTTAGTAGAGACAGGGTTTCTCCATATTGGTCAGGCTGGTCTCGAACTCCCAACCTCAGGTGATCTGCCTGCCTTGGCCTCCCAAAATGCTAGGATTATAGGTATGAGCCACTGTGCCCAGTCTGCTGAGTACATATTAAACTCTCAATTTTAACTTTATTTTAAACGACATCGTTTTGTGGTTTTATTTAGTATGAAGCTCACTGTGATTGTGTCATTCATATGTATATATATAAACACATTTATATACGCATGTGTATGACACACATATAATCCCAGTAAGGCGAATTTTTTCACAAATAATAATTGAATACCTATGTATTGTATACAGTGTATTGATTTTGTATGTGTATACATAAAGAAATGATTAATACAATCAAATTAATGAACAAACACATTTATGACCTTACAAGTTACCTTTTTTGTAGTGAAAACAATTAAGATCTCTCAGCAAATTTTCAGCATACATAACAGTATTACTTTCAGTAGTCATAAAGCTGTACCTTAGGTTACCATAACTTGTTTGTCTTTTAACTGAAAATTTGTACCATTTGAACAACATACTCCACTTTCTCCACCTCCAGGGCCTAGCACTCACCTCTATACTCTCTTCTTCTAGGAGTCCAACCTTATTATATTCTCCATAGAAGTGAGATCATACAGTATTTGTCTGTTTCTGTGATGTTTCACTCGGCATAACATCATCTAGGTCCATCCATGTTGTAGAATGTCAGGGTTTTATTATTTTTTATGGCTGAATAATATTCTATTTTGTATACATGCCATGTTTTTTTTTTGTGCAGTCAGTTTCCACAAACACTTTAGATTGCTTTTGTATCTTGACAATTGTGAAAAATGTTTCAATGAACATGGAGGTGCAGGTATTTCTTTGAGATAGTAAATTTATTGTATATGCAGAAATGAGATAGCTGAATTGTATAGCAGTACTATTAAAAAATTTTTAAAAGAACCTACATACTAGATTTCATAATGTCTCTAAAAAATTGTACGTCACTAAAATTGTACAGCATCTTTTCTTTAATATATTGTCAACACTTGTTATAAATCTTCTTGATATTAGCAGTCCTAACAGGTATAAAGTAATATCTCACAATGAATTTAATTTGCATCTGCCAGATTGGTGACATTGAGCACCTTTCTATATACCTGTTGCCCAACTGTATGTTTTCATTTGTAAACATTTATTTAGTCCTTGGCTTATTTTTAAATTTTGTTATTACTATTATAGTTGTTGCCTTTTATTTGCATGAGTTTCTTATATATTTTTGATACTAACCACTTATCAGATATGGTTTTCTTATTCTATTTTTTCTTGGTTCTACAGAAGTGTTTTAGTTTGATGCAGTTTAATTTGTTTATATTTGCTTTTATTGCTGTACTTTTGCTGTCGTATCCAAAAATTCACTTCAAGACCAATATTAAGGTTTCTTCATATGTTTTCTTTTAAGATTATTAAGAATTTATGTCATTCATTAGAGTCCTTATTTTATATTTAGTTAATTTTTAAATATTGTAAGAAAAGTGGTCTAATTTTATTCTTTTACTTGTGGATATTCAGTTTTCCCAGCCCCAAGTGTGGAAGAGACTATATTTTCTGCATTATGCATTCTCAGTGGCTCAGTGTCAAAGATGAGTTGATCTTACAAGGATGGATTTGTTTCCGGGCTCTCCATCCTGCTCCACTGATATCGGTGTGCATTTTTATGCACACATCATCCTGTTTTTATTACAGTAGCCTTCATATGTAGTTTAAAATCAGAAAGTATAATGCCCCTAGCTTTGTTTTTAATCCTCAAAACTGCTTTGGATATTCAGTGTTTCTTGTAATTCCATATAAATTTTAAGATTGAATTTTCTATTACTTCGAAAAATTGTACTAAAATTTTAATAGGGCATTTATTGAATCTAAATTTTCCAATTTTATAAACTGCTCTCAGTAGGTACAAATCTTCTCTTGGGTCAATTAGCTGATAGAATCTTCTTGGGTATGCAGTGGAGAGGGGTTATATGTGGGTCACATGGCTGTTTCTTGGTCTGTTGTGGAGTTTGCTTTTAGTGGGTTTGTTACCAGGAGCCTGGGTAGTTGTTAATCCTGTCTTATTTCTTGGCAGACGGAATTGCCTTTAGGACTTGGATCTGTAGGGCCAGCACTAGGGCAGTGTTCTGCAGTACGGCTGGTATATGGTGTGCCTGATGTGTGTTTCTTACTGAGTATGTGGCAAGATTTCCCCAAGTAACTCTTTGAGTACTTAAGTTGGCAGAACTTGCCACAAACTGTGACTATCAGTGCTGAAACTGAGTCACTGAACTGTTTCAGAGAGCACAGTAAAGGCCAAGGTCTGCAGACCTACTGCTGTAACCACAAACAGGCATCTTTCTCTGGGTCTCTGGATATGCAGAACCACTCCTAGGCTATGGCTGGAAGGAGCTGGAGATGGTTATGGAGTCACTACAGAATTTTAAGTCAAGTCAAAATAGTTGAACCATTTCTTGACCTGTAGCCAAAGAGCAAGGGTTTTCAAGTTTGCCACCTATATGAGGACCTGCCTTTTCAAAATGACTTCAATCAATCTTTAGTTCTAGCAGGTTTTAAAACCCTCTCCTTGAAAAACAAAATTATTATAAAGGTCTCTTCTTTGAGAAGGAGTCTCACTATATCACCCAGGCTGGTCTCAAACTCCCGGCCTAAAATGATTCTTTTTCTGCCTCAGCCTACAAAGTTGCTAGGATTACAGGTGTGAACCACCATGTCTGTCAACATAATGGACTCCATGTAGTAGTTCTTATAAGACTTTTCTAGGGGTAATGAACACCCTTACCTTTGGTTCATGTTAGAAAGTCTTTATTGTTGTCTTATTTTTAAAGTAAATTTCTCCCAGATTAAGTATCCTTGGTTGGTAGCATTTTTTTTCATCACTTCGAAATTTAGGAAGTTCTTAGTGAGTCCCTTTTTTCTTCAAATAACCTCTCTGTGACTTTTCTCCTGCATTCTTCTTCAAAGACTCCTTTCATGAATACATTGGTCTCCTTAATCATATCTAATAAATTAGTTACATATTCCGTGTTGATGTTTTTCAACTTTTTTTGTTTTATTTTTTCATGACTCAATGTTTATAAATGTCTTTAGTTTTCTGATTTTTGTTTTCTGATCATTAATTCTGTTGTGACTCTACAAAATTTTTCAACAATTATTTTTCTGCCACAATTTCTACTGGTTTCTTTTTTTAAAATCTTTGTTCTATTTTTGTTATTGAGCATACTTAGTATCATTATTTTGACATCTTTGTCAGATAATGCAAAGATCTTCTTAAGGATTGAGTTTTGGAAATTTATTTCTTCAAGTGGGGTATGTTTTCTGTCTTTTTTTTTTATGTTACGTGATCCTTTTATGAAATTTGAAAACTTAAAAACAGCCATCTAATCTAATATTTAAAGACTTGCTTAAAGAATGGCTGTAGCAATGAGCCACGCTATAGATTTTTTAGTGCTTCACAAACATGTTCTCAGTTATGTCTTTGAACTTTTGTGTGTAATTTCTAAGTTAAAGAGATTTTTTCCTCATTTTCTTGTCAGATTCTATAATCTTTTGCTTCCTTAGATGACTGTGGCATGGCAGTTCCTCTAGTATTATAACAACATTCACCTTCTAGCAGATACAAACTGTAATTCTCATTACTCCATCATTTTCATGTTAAGGGAGACAGACTCTATTAATCAGAACTTTAAACAGACCTGTTGTTTTAGATTTCTCTTGAGGATAATACTGGGAGTTGATTGTGTTTTACTTAGACCAATTGCTGTTGAAGGAAAGAAAGGTTGTGTTGGAAAGTCTTTAAGCTAGACCTGGTTACCTTCTGCAGCATAGAAAGTATTACTGGAATGTGAAACGAGTGGAAAGAATAGCCATACACTCAGATAGGTATGAATGATTTAGCAGATAACACATGTGAAAGGTCCAAAGGTGAAGGAGAAAACAAGAGTTTAAAATGTGGATTGGGAGGCTGTTCTCCAATGGAATTGATTCTTGAAAAGCCTCTTAATGTCATGGAGGACAATTTTTTGATGTATGCTTATTAAGCTTTTGAATTCTTTAAGTCTTCTATCCATTTAATCTGCTGGTGCATTCACAGTGAGAGACAACTCCTTTTTATGCTGTAAGGATCTAAATAATCTAACTGCTCTTCTATTGCTTTGAGGGATCTGGAAAATTTGTCCAAATTTTTGGAGGTGTTTTTAAAAATCTGTGCATTATGTTAGAGAGGAGTAGGGAGATTTGGTTAAGAGATTTGAGAGAGGCCCGGAACAGATGTCATATGTTTCTGCTTTATAATTTCCAATCAGTTGATCATACAGAAAATGAAAGTGAGAACTTTTATCAGAGCACAAAGCATCTGATTAAGTACAAGAAAATCTAAACATCTATTTCACTTCAAAAGTATATTTTTCTTAGTAGGAACTAAACTTAGAAATTTAAATTCTATATGACAATTGCCTCTACTGTGGAATAGTTGATTTTATCTACTCACCTCACAGAATTCCTAAAAACACTAATACCATAGGTTACTTAGAACACTGTCCAGCACATAATAAACATAATAAATTCCAAATTGTTACCTATTTCTTAATAACTATTATTTTATAATTTTATCTTCTTTACTATGAAGACTACTAGGGCTGTGTCTTATATATATGTTTTTCTTTCTGATTTGTGTGTAACAACTATGCCTGTAATTTCACAAGTTCTGAAGTAATGTGCTCAAATGTATATGTTGTATAAAAGGTAAACTAGATAATTAATAGGCACACCATATATTATAATCTTTGATTTATGTTTAAGTTTACTGCATACAAAAAGATACTAGCATTTTCATCAACTTTTCTCAAACTTTGTCTATGTGATTGTATAAATTTATTTCTAATTATTTTATTTTATTCCATATTGTACTGTATTTATATTGTTTATATTATTTTAGTAATGTAATGTTTTGCTTCCAAAGGTTGCCTTGCCTTTACATTTTGTGCAAAAATAGCAGCTATACATTAATGACATAATAAGTATGTCTAGTATTATTTAAGTGCCTATTCATATTTTCTCATCAAAGCTTTTTATGAATGATTATAATGCATTTTCTATAAAATGTTATTGCTTTCACTGTATACCAGTGATTCAAACTTTATTGTCTTCAACAGCAATGACATGAAATCACTCTAGTTGCCCATCAGAGGTGGATTGGATAAAGAATATGTGGTACCTATATACACATTGAAATACTACACAGCCAAAAAAAATTGTGTTCTTTGTAGCAACACTGATGCAGCTGAAAGCCCTTATCTTAAGTAAATTAATGGAAAAAAACCAGAAAGGCAAATACTGCATGTTCTTACTTACAAGTGAGAGCTAAATATTGAGTATACAAGGATATAAAAATGAAAACAATAGACACTGGGGACCACTAGAGGAGGAAAGGAAGAAAGAGACAAGGCCTGAAAAGCTACCTATGGGGTACTGTGCTATCTATCTGAGTAGTAGTAGCAGTTATCCCAAACCTTAGCAATACATAATATACCCATGTAACAAACCTAGACATGTGGCCTCTGAACCTATAGGAAAAGTTGAAATTAAACAAAAATACCAAAATATGTGCTCTTTATAAATGTGCAGTCACAGTTAAAATGCATGGCTATCTAGAATAATTATTGTTTGGTAGTACACTATGTTGATTCAATATTTTTTGGTTAATTTTTTTTGTTAAATTTTGTTCCACCATTTTATATTTTAGTGGCTTATGTTTTACAGTAGCCTATGTCACATTAATTAATTGTGTTTTTAGTTTTTATGTATCATAATTTTATATGACAATAATTCAACTCTGTACACATTAAAACAATGTTTGGACAAAAGTCAGATATTGATCAGTCATACATATTTTGCCAATATAATTATTTCTGTGTTTGTTTGCCTGTGTAAATATTACCCCTATTTTATGACTTGTATATTTGCTTTTTTTTTTTTTATTTTTTTGTTAGTAGTCAATGATTGTTTTATTCTTAAGTGTAAGAAATACAAGGGCCGAGCATGGTGGCTCACACCTGTAATCCCTGCACTTTGGGAGGCGAAGGTGGGCAGGTCACCTGAGGTCAGAAGTTCAAGACCAGCCTGGCCAACATGGCAAAACCCCGTCTCTAGTAAAAATATAAAATTAGCCAAGTGTGGTGGTGCGCGCCTATAATCCCAGCTCCTGCAGAGGCTGAGGCAGAAGAATCACTTGAACCTGGGAGGCAGAGGTTGCAGTGAGCCAAGACGGCACCACTGCACTCCAGCCTGGGCTTCAAGAGCAAAACTCTGTCTAAAAAATAAAAATTAAAAAATGTATACTCTTTAATATTTTCAGTTATATAGTTCAGCTTTGTTAAGTATATTGACATTTTTAGCAACATATCTTTAGAACTTTTATTTTTGTAAAAGAAATATGCTATACACATGAATCCACTACTCATTTTTCCCATTGTCTGGCCCTTTACAAACATCATTCTATTTTCTGTTTTTAAGGATGTAACTATTTTACATATTCCATGTAAGTAGATTCATACAGTATTTTTGTGTGTGTGGCTGGCTTACTAATTTAGCATGTTGTCTTCAAAATTTGTCTTTATAATAGATATTAGAAGATTTCCTGCTTTTAAAAAGCTGATTAATATTCCCTTTTTTATATTTTAAATTATATTTATCGATTAATTTGGTAAGGAAAGTTTAAATTGCTTTTACCTATTGGCTTTTGTGGATAATGCTTCAATATGGTGTACAAATAACTCACTTGACCATATATTCAAGAGTTTATATCTGTGCTGCATTGTGTTTCATTACTTTGGTGTTCTACATTTATACCAGTACCAAAGTGCTTTGATTGATGTAGTTTTGTTTTGTGTTTGGAAATTGTTAAGCATAATGCTTCCAATATTTTTCTTCTTTTTAAAGATTGTCAGGCTTTTCATGTTACCTTGAGATCTTATGTAATTTTGTGGGTTTTTTTTTTCTTTTTGGAAAAGTAAAATTTATTTTATTATTTATTTATTTATTTATTTATTTTTGAGATGGAGTCTCGCTCTGTCACCCAGGCTGGAGTGCAGTGGCGCGATCTCGGCTCACTGCAAGCTCTGCCTCCCTGGTTCACACCATTCTTCTGCCGACGCCTCCAGAGTAGCTGGGGCTATAGTTGCTCGCCACCGCGCCTGGCTAATTTTTTTTTTTCTAGTAGAGACGGGGTTTCACCATGTTAGCCAGGATGGTCTCGATCTCCTGATCTCATGATCTGCCCGCCTCGGCCTCCCAAAGTGCTGGGATTACAGGCGTGAACCACTGTGCCCGGCCAGGAAAAGTAAAATTGAAAATTGAAAAGGGTGTGTTGAATGTGTGGGTCACTTTAAGCAGCATGGACATCTTCACAATGTTATGTCTTCCAACCCTTGAAAAAGAGCATGCTCAAAAGTGTGTTGTTGGTTGGGTGCGGTGGCTCATGCCTGTCATCCCAGCACTTTGGGAGGCCGAGGTGGGCACATCATAAGGTAAGGAGATCGAGACCATCCTGGCCAACATGGTGAAACCTTGTCTCTACTAAAATACAAAAAATTAGCTGGGCGTGGTGGTGCATGTCTGTAGTCCCAGCTACTCAGGAGAGGAGGCTGAGGCAGGGGAATCACATGAACCCAGGAGGTGGAGGTTGCAGTGAGCCGAGATCGTGCCACTGCACTCCAGCCTGGTGACAGAGCAATACTCCATCTTAAAAAAAAAAAAAAAAAAAAGGTGTGTTGTTTAATTTTTATGTTTTTTGAATTTTTCAGCTTTTCTTCTGTTACTGATTTCTAGTTTCATTCCATTTGGACCATAAATAATTGTCCGTAAAATTTCAATTAAAAAAATTGTTAAGACTTGTTTTGTGGTGTCACAGGTCATCCATCTAGGAAAATGTTTCATGAGCTATTGAAAAGAATGTGTATTCTGCTGTCTGTATACATTTGTTAGGTGTAATTATTTTATAGTACATTCAAGTTTTTTGTTCCCTCATTGATATTCTGTCTTGCTTTATGTATTAGTGAAAGTGGGATGTTGATGTTTCCTTCCATTATTATATTGCTGTCTATTTTTGCTTCAGTTCCGTCAATGTTTGCTTTATGTGTTTGGGAAAACTGTCTTGTATTTATAGGTTCTCAGTGAATGAACCCTCTTATTATAATTGAATGTCCTACTTTGTCTCTTGTGAATTTTGACTTAAAGTAAATTATATGAAATATGACCATTTTCAACTTAATAAATTGTTGCCTCTTCTCTCATTTGGTTAACACTTGCATAAAATGTATTTTTCATCCTGCCATTTTGTCTTTTTTTTTTATTAGATCTAAAGTGAATCTCTTGAAGACATGATATAGTTAGATCTTGATGTAGATCTTGATATATGTCATGATATAGTTAGATTTTTTTTTTCATTTTGGAAGATACTTTTGCTGGATATAGTATTCTTGCTTAGACTTTTTTTTTTTCCAGTGCTTTAACTATGTCATCCTGTTCCCTTCTTGCCTGAAAGATTTATGTTCTTAAATTTACTCGTAATCTTGCAGAAGCATGCATATAAATAACACGTCTCTTTCTTCTTCCTGAATTCCAGATTCTCTTCTTGTCTGCGACTTTTAAAACATTGCTTGTGTTATGTCTTGTTAGAAATCTCTTTGTGTTATCTTAGTTGAAGTTTGCTGAGCTTCTTGATTTTCTTATATTTTTTACTAATGTTGAAGTGCATATTAGTCTTTTTTTGTAGTTCTACTACACAATTTTTATTTCTTTCTGTGCTTTTTATCTTTTTGTTGGTTTCATTTTTGTTATTTCATTTTGTTTTTTTAATTTCCATTTTACTCATTGAGCATCATTGAGATGTAATTTTGATTTTCTAGGGTAATTTATTTTTTTCTTTTAAAAAATAGATCAAGACTTTAATTCAAATTGTCTCACATAATTTTTACATCTCCTTTTTTTAATAATTGATTTCTGGATATTCTTTTTTTTCTTTGAGCCATATTATCTTGATGTTTTGTTTATGTTGTAATGTTGCAATTTGTATAATAAAAAGCCACATGTCAAAATCTGTATTAAGTGACTTTTGTCTGAGGGAATATGATACCAATTTTTTAGGCTAGGGAGTCTTGGAGTCTCTCAAGCCTGTTCTATGGATGTTTTCTCTGAGCTTGTGTGTTTTTTAGTTAAAAAATGTTCGCCTTTTTTTTTTTTTTTTTTTTTTTTGAGTGTTACTCTTGTTGCCCAGACTGGAGTGCAATGTTACAAGCTTGGCTCATTGCAACCTCCACCTCCTGAGTTCAAGCGATTCTCCTTTCTTCTGCCTCAGCCTCCCAAGTAGCTGGGATTACAGGCACCTGCCACCACGCCCTGCTAATTTTTGTATTTTTAGTTGAGACAAGGTTTCACCATGTTGGCCTGTCTGGTCTTGAACATCTGACCTCAGGTGGTCCGCCTGCCTCAGCCTCCCAAAGTGCTGGGATTACAGGTGTGAGCCACCACTCCTGGCCATTCCCTATGTTTCTTATTGAGATCCCTTAGTCACTTGCTATACCCATTGTCTGTCTATGATACTGAAGTCTTTCTTCTCTTGTAACAGTCATTTACCTTTGGTCTCAGCTGTCCGAAACTGTCAGTGCATACCACCTTTCCTTTCAACACTGTCATGGAATATAGAAATTAGTCTTTGGTAAGGTCTCAATAAGCCAGAAGCATGGACACATGTGCCACTATTTTATTTATTTTTGGAGGGGGTAGACAGGAGTTTGGAGTCTATAGTTAGAGTCATCATAGGATGAAGAATGGCTGTGGTGGGTAAATATGAAATACTTTTATTACACTTCTATGTGGTTCTTGGCGTTTTGCTCACTTGGTGTGCCGCAAATGCTTAACTGGTTCTTAGACTTCTCACAAAGGCATTTTGGTCAGTATATTTCTGTTAGGTTTATATGTCTATAAGAATATAGAGCCTGTGGTATTTTATTATCGTTTTATTAATTGCTTTGTATAATTATATATTTGTGAAGTATATTCACCTGAGTCTAATGAGGGAGAATTTTATTTTTTTTCTCCAGCTGGTTCTTTTCATTTTACTGCAGAGATATTGCCGGATCATGACATAAAAGATTCATTTCAAAAAGTGATTCTGAGAAAATATGGAAGCTGTGACCTTAATAATTTACATTTAAAGAAAGACTACCAAAGTGTGGGTAATTGCAAGGGGCAGAAAAGCAGTTATAATGGCCTTCATCAATGTTTGTCAGCTACCCATAGCAAAACCTGTCAATGTAATAAATGTGGCAGAGGTTTTCAGTTGTGCTCAATCTTCACTGAACATAAAGACATTTTTAGCAGAGAGAAATGCCACAAATGTGAAGAATGTGGCAAAGACTGTAGGTTGTTCTCAGATTTTACTAGACATAAGAAAATTCATACTGTAGAGAGATGCTACAAATGTGAAGAATGTGGCAAAGCGTTTAAAAAGTTTTCAAACCTTACTGAACATAAGAGAGTTCATACTGGAGAGAAACCTTACAAATGTGAAGGATGTGGCAAAACTTTTACCTGCTCCTCAACCCTTGTTAAACACAAGAGAAATCATACTGGAGACAGACCCTACAAATGTGAAGAATGTGGCAAAGCCTTTAAGTGCTTCTCAGACCTTACTAATCATAAGAGAATTCATACTGGAGAGAAACCCTACAAATGTGAAGAATGTAACAAAGCCTATAGGTGGTTCTCAGACCTTGCTAAACATAAGATAATTCATACTGGAGACAAACCCTACACATGTAATGAATGTGGAAAAGCTTTTAAGTGGTTCTCGGCCCTTAGTAAACATAAGAGAATTCATACTGGAGAGAAACCCTACATCTGTGAAGAATGTGGCAAAGCCTTTACCCGCTCCTCAACCCTTTTTAACCACAAGAGAATTCATATGGAAGAGAGACCTTACAAATGTGAAGAATGCAGCAAAACCTTTAAGTGCTTCTCAGACCTGACTAATCATAAGAGAATTCACACTGGAGAGAAACCCTACAAATGTGAAGAATGTGGCAAAGCATCGAGCTGGTTCTCACACCTCATCAGACATAAGAGAATTCATACTAGAGAGAAGCTCCACAAGTGTTAAAAATGTGGAAAAGCCTTTACCAAGTCCTCATACTGTGTTCAACATCTGAAATTTAATACTGAACAAATGCAGTATAAATGTAATGACAGTGGAAGAACATTTATCATCTTAGAGGGTCTCTAAGAACTTACTTTATAATCTGGTTGCTTATATGTTGGGTACATATATAGCCCTTTGCTATTATGTAATGCCCTTTTTTTTTAAATCTATGTTAATTTCAAGTCTGTTTTGTCAGAAACTAGGATTGCAACCCCTGCTTCTTTTCCTGTTTTCTATTTGCTTGGTAGGCTTTTCTTTTTCCCTTTATTTTGAGCTTATTTGAGATGGGTGTCTTGATTAAAGCATACCATTAGATCTTGATTCTTTTTTCAGCTTGCCATCTGTGCTTTAATTTGGGTATTTAGCCCATTTACATTTAAGGTTAGTATTCATATGTGTGGATTGGATTCTGTTATTAGGATCTTAGCTGGCTATTTTGCACATTTGTTTCTGTGGTTGCTTTATAGTGTCCACAGTTTGTATACTTTAGTGTGCTTTTGTAGTGACTGGTAATAGTCTTTTTCTTATTTAATGCTTTCTTCAGAAGCTCTTTTAAGACAGATCCTGTGGTAACATTTTCTCAGCATTTGCTTGTCTGAATAGGATCATATATATTTTTTACTTCTGAAGCTTACCTTGGTCAGATATGAAATTCTGTGTTGGAATTCTTTTTTTAAGAATGTTGAATATTGGCCCCTATAATCTCTTTTGACTTGTAGGATTTCAGCTGAAAGATTTGTTGTTTTCCTGATGAGCTTCTTTTTAGAGGTGACCTGGCCTTTCTCTCTAGCTGCCTTTAACATATTTTTTCTTTCATTTTGACCCTGGAGAATCTCATGATTATGTGTCTTGAGGATGACCTTCTCCTGGGGTATCTTACTGGGGTTCTCCACATTTCCTGCATTTGAATGTTGGCCTCTCTAGGTTGGGGAAGTTCTCATGGATGTTATCCTGAAATACGTATTTCAAGTTGTTTTCATTCTCCCCATCACTTTCAGGCAATCTCTTGCATCATAGATTTGGTTTCTTTACATAATCCCATATTTCTTAGAGGTTTTGTTCATTCCTCTTTATTCTTTTTTCACTGTTCTTGTCTGTCTGATTTCAGAAAGCCAGTCTTGAGGCCCTGAGATTCTTTCCTCTGCTTGGCCTATTCTGCTGTTAATATATGTGATTACATTATAAAGGTTTTGTATTGTGTTTTTCAGTTCTATCAGGTTGGCCACATTTTTTCTCCAGACTGGCTGTTTTTTCCGTCAGTTCCTGCAATTTTTTTTCCTCCCTTGCATTGGGTTGCAAATTACTTTTGTAACTCAGTGAAGTTTGTTTCTACCCATATTCTGAATTCTACTTCTGTCATCTTAGGCCTTGCTGGAAATGTAATTTGGTCATTTGGATGAAAGAAGTCACTCTGGCTTTTTGTGTTTTTATCTTTGCACTGATTGTGTCTTATCTTTGTGGGCATATCTTTGAGGTTGCTGACCTTTGGGCTTTTTTTTTTTTAATCCTATTTGATGGTCTTGAGTATTTGATTGTGGTATAAGATGGATGCAGCCAACAGGCTTTGTTCCTGGGAGGTTTTTTTTGTTTTGTTTTGTTTTGTTTTGTTTTGTTTGGTGGTGGTGGTGGGTGGGCAATGCTCAGCTCACAACTCAGAGGCTGCATACTCTAACTCCGGGGGACTTGTTTTGAGCCCCAACTGTGTTCTCTGGCTCCTTGAGATTTGGAGTTTGCGAGTTTGTGGGATGAAGGTGCCATAGCTGGAGCAGAGTGCTAGTGGATATGGGATTTCTGCCTGTCTTTGGGTACTCACCTCAGTGGCAGGAGCAAAGCAGCTGGGAAGGGAGTGGGGGATACCTGCTGGAGGCTGTGTGCTGTTGCACTAAAGGTGGTGTTGGCTTGGGGCAGGATACTGGCCAGTAAAGGTTTTGATGCCTTCTCTGTGCCCCCCAAGAAAGAGTGATTGTTCAGAGTGTGGGAGGTTACCCTGTTCTCTGCACAGTGTTAGCACAAAGGCAGGGGTGGAGTTTTCTGGCTCTCTGCCCACCAAAGTTTCATCTACAATGGCAGTTGCTGGGGGTGGCGGGGCATATTGCATTCCCATTTGCTGGTGGGGCAAGCAAAGCCAAACCTGCCTTTGCAGACATGTGCCAGCAAAGAAATATCAGGAGTTGCCATGGTGTCACGGGAAGCTGCAGTATGGGGAAGAAATGTGGGCTGGTGCAGTCATAGGGGCTGCTTTGCTGGAGCTCTTCATGAGTCAGGCATGTCCCTCCAGTGCAGATGCTCTGGTATGAGCTTCCAGGGTACCTGAGACTGCCCTGTAAGCAGCTGTGGCCAGACTGGGTCCCTGGGAGAGGCCAGCAGACCAAGGAGTGCTCAGTTGGACCAGCTTCTTCTGATTTGCAAGACCATCCTGCAGAAATTAGGCCCAACAGTTCCCGTAGGGCTAAAGTCTCTTATGGGAGACAGTTGAGCCTAGAGAAATGGCCATCACTGGCCACACTTTACTACAGATGCTCTTGCACCAAACCCTCTGGCCACCACATGAGCTGGCTTGCTGCATTATCTCTTTGCTTGTCTTCTGGGGGCTGCATCTCAGAGAGATGTAGGTCAGCAATTACTCAGTGCAGCCAGCCCAGGATGGAAGATCTTTACTTTTGGCCAAGTTAGGGGTTTACTGTCTGCTGAGGAGCAGTGGGTAGTTTGTGGGACCCATGGAGGATGGGCTGGCTTCCTCTCCTTGGGTAAACTGCAGTTTGAGGTGTGAATAAGGCACTTAGGGTTTGGGATTTTTTATTAGTCTGAGGGTAGCAAGGACAGTTGTACTGCAGAGGCCCCTGGAGGCTCTGTCCAGGGAGTTGCTAAGCTGCTACTGGCTCAATAGCTCTGGCAATGATTGGCTAGTGGCCCGGGCCTGGAGAACCTGCCTCGTGAGAATATATGAGAACAGGCACTCACGTAACAGTCCGACCACTTCTGAAGGGCTGCTGCAGTATGCTGGGTGTCCACTACAGTTTCTAGTCACCTCAGATTTTCCAGTACTGGAAGTTATCACCACTGAATGCTGCAAAACAGCAACAATGGCAGCATGCCCTTTTCTCTGGGAGCGCCATCCCAGGGAGGTATAGACCTGTTGCCAGCCCAAAAGCACCTGTAGGAGGTAGCTGGAAGCCCCTGTTGAAGGTCCTACCCAGTGAGGAAAACATGATTGGGGACCCACTTAAGAAAGCAGTCTAGCCATATTTTTGCAGGACAGCTCTGCTATTCAGAGGTACCACTTCCACCCCCAGTTTATTTGGATTCTCCAAAGCCAGAAGGCTGGAACAGCTAACTCACACAAACAGCAAAAATGGCAGCTCACTCCTCCCTCTAGGAACTGTATCCCAAAGAGGTTTCAAAACTCCATCAACCAAAGAGCGCTGGTGGTGGTAGCTGGAGACCCTCATTGGGAAGTACTTTCCAGTGAGAAGGAATGAAACGGGGGACCTGCTTTAACAGGCAGTCTGGCCATGTCTTTTTAGAGCACCTGTACTGTGCTAGGAGATCCTTTCCGCCCCCCGGTCAGCTTGGGCTCTTCAAAGCCTGAAGGCTGGAATGGCTAAGTTGCTCAAGCAGCAAAGATGGTGGCCCACTCCTCTTTCTGGTAGCTCCATCCCAGGGAGGTGCAGTGCTGCTACCAATGGTTGGCTGGAATCTAAGCCAGTAGGTCTTACCACGTGAGGCATTGTTGAAGTGGGTCCTACAGACCATCACTATCAGCCCCCTGGATTCTGCCTCTTTCCTATGGGTATGTTCAGGGGTGTAACCTGCTTTGCTCGAGTTGCAGCTACTTTTTCTGGGAAGCCTGGAAAGCCAGTATCTAAGGCTCTTGAATCTGCGCAGGCCTAAGTGGCTTATCTGCTGAGACTCCATGTAGCTCTGTGTGTTAAACTGAAGGCCTTGGTGAAGTGGGTTCATGAGGGTATCTCCTCACCTGAAGGTTGCAGAGATCTGTGGGAGAATCATGGGTTTCTAGGGTCACACATGCACTCACTGCTTTACTGGGTGGGGAGGTTCCCTTGGCTCCATGTTGTTCCCAGGTGGCCCATTGTCCTGCCTTGCTTTACTCCATTCTCCATAGATTGTTTCTTTGATTATTCCCAATGCAAGTACCTGGATGTTTCAGTTGCAGGTGCTGTATTTATGTATACCTTGCATTCCTGTCTATGAGAACTGCACAGTCTAGCTGCTTCTAGTCAGCAATCTCGATCACTTTTCTCTAAAGGGAACCTACTTTTTTATATTAAAAGGATTCAATATTTTTCAAAAGCAAATTTCAATATAATTTAACTCTTACATTTGATGCTGTGTCTTCATTTCTAGAATTTATGTGAAAGAACATGGTCAGTGGTTGCACCAGAGTTGTGAGAGGTTCTTCTATATTAGATGGACAGATTTATATACTTTTCCATGGAGGATTAAGTAAACTGAAACCTAAGACACACGAAGAAATTCTAAGTGGAAAGGCCACTTATTAGTTTACAGCAGTATCGTAAGTGACAGGATGATAGGAGTGTGGTAAGTGATCAGGATAATAATCTGCTTAGTAAGAGAAACAATTTGAATTTTAGAAGGAAATTGCCTTACCATTTGCAAATTAAGGTAATTAAAATACAGTGAATTTCAAAATGCCTTTTTAATGACAATGTGTGAACTTAATTTGTTTTAATAAACCAAAATTATTGTTATTGTGTTAAGGCTATTTTACATTGAATGTGTATCTTGCCACTGATGTTAACTTATCCCATCTTACCCAAGGTTGTAGGTAACAATATACTATTGGGTGACAGTGGACTAACATCTCTAGTGATCCCTTTGTCAGTGGTCTTTAACTTAAAATAATTTAGAGAATATGGTTTCTACAACTTACATTTTTGTTTACTTGTAACTACAGATTATTATGATGGTTGTAATGAAGATTATGAGTATAATTGGAGCTATATGTTTCTGAATTCTGAACAACTATTTATAAAATTTTATCCTACTTTTTTCTGTTGAACATATGACTTCTCTGGTCTGCTAAACACATACAGACCTTTAGTTTTGGTTTACATGGATTTAAATATATAGATATATCACTGTAAAATAAACTTCAGGTGTAACAGATTTATAGAGAAAGTAATCATATTTGTTTATGGTTGTGTACCTACTTTGAGAAGAAAAGAAAAATATTAGAATGAACAGATAATTTTACAAGTGTTGATCACTTACCAGCAAACCAGAAACTTCAGAGATTTTGAAAGCAAATCTATTTTCTCTGCTGTGTATTAAATTCATTTATCTAAAATGTTATTGCTCCTGGCTTAGAATCATCTTGTGCAAATTCTTTTTTTGTTGTTTGTCTGTTTGCCTGTTGCTCACCATAGACATAATTTTCTTTTCATAAAACATTCTTTGTATAATCACCTCAGAGATTATGAAAGTGACTTTGATAAAATTTAATGGTGTTCACAAAATAATTTTCACGTGAGTAATTTCACAGTGCGTGTATTGTATGTTATTTAGTGTATTTTATATTTTGTTTCAATTAGAGAATGCTATTGAATCCAGTTTTTGTTTAGTTACTGTTCATTTTACTTTATAAAATTGACATAATTGAGTTTATTAAATTTATTGGGCCAATTTAAGTAAACAGTTGAACGTTTCATAAGTCATGAGGTCTTTTTGGCATATACATGAAGTAAACAAAGACAATACTAGCTATGTAATAGAAGCTACATAATTAGAAGTAAATATTCTTTTTGAAATTGGCCTGTGGTCTCAGGTGAAAAATGGAAAATATCTATAGTAAAAAAAATGACATTAATTCTGCATATGAAGAGAGCATAATTGTACCCATGCCACACAATTGACTCACAATTGAAACAAGATGAAGAGATGGACATTTTAGCAAAACTAAGTGAAAACCTTGTAAAATTTTCAGATTATGTTTCTACATTTAAACATCTACTGGGGGAGGCAGAGGCCAATTCTATGCAGTCAAACCTGGAATTGCTGACACAGGTTAAGAGTATGCACCACAGGTATCGAAACCTAAAATGCCCTGAACTCTTTTCATATAGATTAATAAAATATGGTTTTAGTCTTCCTTCTCTATATTCTGGCTTAGACAGAACTATCAAGCCATTTCAAGTAGATTTAATTCTAGATCTTTTTTTTTTTTTCTTTTTTTGAGATGGACTCTTGCTCTGTCACCCAAGCTGGTGTGCAGTGGTGTGATCTTGGCTCGCTGCAGCCTCCACCTCCCAGGTTCAAGCAATTCTCCTGCCTCACCCTCCCAAATAGCTGAGACTACAGGCACCTGCCACCAGGCCCAGCTAATTTTTTGTATTTTTAGTAGGGATGGGGTTTCACCATGTTAGCTAGGATGGTCTTGATCTCCTGACCTCATGATCCACCCACCTCAGCCTTCCAAAGTGCTGGGAATGCACATGTGAGCCACCGCGCCTGTCCTTGATTTTAGATCTTGACACAGCACATCCTCAACTTATTGTCTCCGAGGATAGAAAAGCTGTGTGATGGAAGAACAAAACCAAACATATGTTATAACCCAAGGAGATTTTATTTCTGCCCTGCTTTCCTGGGCTCTCAGAAGTGTAGTTCTGACAGACATTACTGGAAGGTAGAGGTGGGAAACAAGCCTAAATGAAAATTAGGTGTGTGTCAAGATTGTCTTCTTAGGACCTGGCAGGATCAGCCTTCAGTTCTGGGTTGATTTGGGGGCAATTGGATGATATATAGAGTGGTTATGCTGCATCAGGTCCTAAGAAAACCCACCTTCTGCCAGTAGTAAAATCCAGTAAGATTGGTATTCTTTTGGACTATGAATTGGGTGATTTTTTAAAGTAATATAAATAATAGGTTTGTTCTGTATATTTTAATGATCTTTCACAAGAGCTGTTTGGCCTTATTTCTATGCTGAAGCAGATTCTGAACGTCTTAAAATCTGTTCATTATCAGATGCTGAAAGATAAAGAGCAAGTAAATGAATCTATTTCAGTTTTTGTGGGTAATTTAGCCAGTAAATTTAATCTTATTTCTTTAATCTTTAAGTTTTACTACTGAAGGCCAGAATAGATTTTTTTCTCTTAAATTTTTGGCAAGTATAAAAGCACATTCAGAATGTCACTTTCATAGATACTATGAATATCAATTGTCAAGTGTGTTGATTTCTAAGATAAAATATTTGAGAATTAATATTACCCAACTTGTCCAATAAAATGTTTTTAAGTTGCCTATTTTTAAAAAAATCTATCAATTTTGAATTGCATACCTAGCTAAATTTTTTTAAGATTGAGGATAATATGTAAAATAATTTATACAAGTAATATAAACTAAGTTTACTTAAATTATTTACTTATTTAAGAAATCTAATTACATTTTAAATAAATTGCTGTTACCTGTTAGTATTTGTGTAGCATTTTTTTTTTAAGTTTTTGCCTCTAAAGCAGGTAACAATTTGAACAAAGAAGAAAACAAAAATTCAATGATTGGGAGGAAAATAAAAGGTTTGTATGATGACCTAATTAAGGTAATGTAAAGGATAAAAATCTTAATATTTGTTTTTACACATTTTTGGGCAAAAGTAACCCTGAGATAGTAATGTGCAGAAAATACTATTAATTATATTCTTGAGACTCTTACTGACTTTGGCACTTAGAGAACCTCCAGCACAGGCCCAGGATTCCCTAGGCATTTCTTATGGAAATGAAGCAGAAGGCCATGTCCACAAAGAGAAATGAATGCTCATCTTCCAGAGACCAGTAGGTACAGGTTGCAGAAAGAGTAGGCCCTTCTTGAAGGTCCAGGAAGGGGCTGTGGGCACCATCCTAGAAAAGGGGTCTGGGGCTCCATGGAGTCCTCCTGCCTGCAGGAGCCTCAGAGGGCCCTGGGTGAGGCCAGCCAAGGTGCTCTGTCCTGTCCCTGGCCCTTGAGTCCTGCCTCACCTGCTAGCTTTTTCCACCAAGAAATCAGGATGGCAACCGCCAATGCAGCCCCACTAGAGGAAGGAGATCAAGAGTGTCAAGGCCCACACCCATCTTGGCACATTAAGTGACCCATTGATTAACTAGTCAATAAGTTAGAGCGGAATGTGCTACTGCAATCCCCTGAGATCACATTCTAGGAGAAAACCTGGGTGGCACCTGCCTGAGGCTGTACACTGAAGGAAAGATGGTCAGGCCACCTGGGCTTGGAAAGAGCATGCAATAAGGGTAGCATACAGCATACATGGTGAGCTGTCAGGTGGGCACAGCGGGGTAGACAGGAGGAGTCCCTGAGGGGGAGAACCCTCTCAGGGCCCTGAACTCAGCCCAGAGATCCCCCAGCTTTTTGAAGCACAGGCTGTACCTGGAGCTGCAGAGTGAGCACTGTGCAGTGGCCTGGTAAAAGGGATGAGCAGCCAGTCACTGAGAGGCTTTCATTGCCCATTTTTTCTGATGAGCAATGTGAGCCCCCAAAGCCACAAGCCAGGAGGGGCAAAACACTGAGCTAAGGCATCACCTTTTTTCTTCACTTTCTCCCATGAGCCTCAGATCTCCCTGGGCTTGCCTTTAGAGAAGAAGATCTCTCTTGTGAGTGTAGGCATAGAAGCAACCAGTCGTGTGGTAAGCCTACCCAAAGTGTTCAGCACCCAGGCCAGAGCCGAAGTGGGCCTGTTAATCCCACTGCACAAGGCCCAAATCAGAGAACTGGCTTGACTGTTCAGCTGCACCCAGGCAGTGTGTGTACTGTCCCAAGCAGGTCCCATTCTCTTCCTGACTCCAATTATTTCACCTGCAACTTGTCATTTGTACCAGCTCTTTCTCTGCCCCCCACATCCTATGGTTTTTGAAATTCCTCTGAAGACTGTATGAACCAAGCTTTAAGGGTCACAGTGCTCTAGCCTACTCAGGCTGTGCCAGGAAGAGAGATCTCTCAACCTACCTTGACACTTAAGAGTCATGTATAAATAGTACCAACCCTAGCAGGAGGGCTGTCGCAGACTCTACTCTGGTCTCCATACCAAAAGATACATTAGAATGACGAGGAAAATAAGACACAGACCTGGCAGTTCTGCCTTTTAAAGAGCAGCCTCAGCCTGGTCACCTTGAACCACAATTCCAGGGTCTGGCTCAGCATGTCCCACCTTGGAAAATGGTGGAACTGGGGCCCCAGAATGTTATGGTCCAGTGAAAGTCTAGAGAAGAGGCACGTCAGCAGCCTGTACACACCCAGTCACACCTGTAACAGGAACAGGCCCTACCAACTGTGAAGCCATCTCATTAACTTAGACAACTGTACCAGCAATGTGCACACACATCAGGCCTTTTAGTAAACTGTCAACCCCATGATTGAAGAAAAAGCAAAAACTTTTTGAATCTAGAGTCTCAGGAAGAAGAACCTCTAGTGCCTGAACCAGCCTGTAATGATGGATGCAACTGACAGTATTAACTTGACTTGGGCATACCTGGAGACTGACCATGTATAAAAAAATGCTTCTGAATGTTCAGTTTTAAGCTAAAAAGTCTAGTAGGGGCCAATCTGGTGATTATTTTTTATTTATGAGGAACATCTTAGCCCTGGTCTGTCCCATCCTGTGGCGTGGAACACAGGCCACACAGGGGATTGAGGCCATTCCTTTTTTGTTAAATGAAGTCTGACAGGTGAAAGGTTGTTCAGAAAAAAAGTGCTAAATAAAAATGCTATACAAACTGCATAATTTTTGCAAGTGGGCATTGTTATCCTGCTAATCCCACTGATACTGGACCTTCTCCTCTCTATGTAAGTCCCCAGTAAAACCTCATCTCATTCACTGGCTCTGAGTCTCTTTGACACCTTGAACCTGGTGCCATTTCCATGGGAGTCGAATTTGACACAGCTTACCCCATAGTGAGGAAGAGTTTCAGACTCTGCTCAGTGTGCTTCAAAGCTCACCAAGGCATCAGCTATGGAAGGATGCAGTTGTTCTCTTACCACTCTCATCCAGGCCTCTTTTCCTTAGATGCACAATCAGTGGAATACCGAGAAAGATGAGTAAGAAACACATCATGGTCAGAAGCATGATTAATGCCAGAATAAGCAGTGACCACTTGGAAAGCAAAAGGGAGCATTTTTCTTTCTCCTGTGGGTAGTCCCTGACTTCTGTCATTACTTTCTGGATTCAGGAATGATTTTTAAGTTCATCCTGCCTCTGGAGGAACCGTAGGCCCTGAGTGGTAAACACCTTCACTTAATCCTGCAACAAAGCTTTCTCTTGACAATCATGACCTCTGTGATCATGAGCTTCTAAGCAATCTGGACAATACACAACCTGAAAACCTATGGAAGGGAGATGAGTAGGTCTGAGGGAAACAATTTCCCACTTTTTCCCTTGGCAAGTTGAAAAAATTATGATGGCAGACAAATGTGCAGAAGAGGACAGCATACTATAATTCCTCATCATGTGAGTTTGCAACTAAGAGTTTTTAATCCTAGCTGTGAGAGCTCCGAATGAAAACCAGAAGTTACGTCACTGCATCTATCAGTGATTAGATTGCACAACATTTTGTCTGTCATACTGAGGAGTCTTCACTGAGGATTTTCCCATTGAACATATAAAGACAGGAAAGGGTAAAATAGCAACCCTATGAAATCATTAAATACAATGTAGAAATGTTCATCTTCTCACATGATTAGCATTTTTGCACATATTTGCATGTGTATCTACCCATAAAGCTGACATTTTCATAATTCAGTTATATGTCAAGTTAAAATTTTTTTTTTTTCTCAACTGGGCACAGTGGCTCACATGTGTAATCCCAGCACTTTTGGAGGCTGAGGCGGGTGGATCACCTGAGGTCAGGAGTTCGAAACCAGCCTGGCCAACATGGTGAAACCCTGTCTCGACTAAAAATACAAAAAAAAAAAAAAGTTAGCTGGGTGTGGTGGCACACACCTGTAATACCAGCTGCTTGGGAGGCTGAGGCAGGAAAATCACTCGAACCTGGGAGGTGCAGGTTGCAGGTTGCAGTGAGCTGAAATCACGTCACTGCACTCCCCCCTGGGTGACAGAGCAAGACTCCATCTCAAAAAACAAAAAAATTCTTTTATAACAAAGACACACATATTGTCCAGACATGCCCTGGTGCAGTGGAGTGGGTGTGGCCCTCTCCTGGGAAAGAAGTCAGTGCCCTGGATTATGTGTGGGGGATCCATTGGGACACAAAGAGGCAGTCAGGGTCTTGGCCTGGCAACACTAAGACTTCCAGGGGGCTTCAGAAAGCAGCAGAAATGGCCCATGACACTGAGTGCCAGATGGGCCTGTAACAATGAAAGATCTGCCGAGGGATCTTAGCAATCTTCCTAGGAGGCCCTGACTATACCCTGGGTTGGAGACTCCTGGGGTAGAGTGGCTGCCAGAGAGCCTCAGCAAATGAGTCTTGACCACTATGGCTAGGCCAATGTAAAATAGCTCATCCCTTCTGTTTTACAAAGCAAAATACAGAAAAATAAAGTGAAACAAATGAAATCAAGAGAAAGAAAATAAAATTTAAAAATAAATTTAAAGTAATTGAAAAACAGGACAAACTGAAATAAAGAAAAACAAACGTAATTAAGATCAGTGAAAATAAAATGAAGATGAAGATACTAATTACAATAAAAACAGAAGTAAACAAATGCAATAATTTGCAATAAAATAAAATTTTAAGAAATGAGAAATGGAAAAAGAAACATGGAGAAAAATAATAGGGGATATGAATGGAAATAAACAAGAAATTAAAACATGACAAAAATTCTAGAAAATTTGAAATTAAGAGAATGTAATGAGAAAAAAGAAAAAGAAATAAAATTAATAGAAAGAAAGTAAAAAAAGAAAATAAAGATAAAGGCAAATGCAGAGAGAAATAAAAGGTTAAAAAGAAAAATAAGACCTGGGAATAATCTACAAAACATTTCACTTGACAATAGCATAATACGTAATATTTCTAATTGCATATGGCACATATTCTAAGATAGGCAAACTTCTAAGCTGGAATGCAAGTTTTAGTGTAAACAAATGGTAATCATAAAAATATTATTTCTGACTACAATGAAATATAACTGGAAGTTAAAAGCCAAAAGAAAACTAGCATACCTGCATATATATGAAAACTCGACAAATTCTTTAGCATACTATTTTTCAAGAGTTAGAACATGCAAGTTTCTTTAGATGTTAATGGTATTCGAAATGATCTACAAATCAATGAGATCTCTTTCAAAAAAACCAATGGTACTTTTTGCAGAAGTACTAAAATATTCTAAAATGTTTGAGTCAATATTTAGCTGTGTCACCCAGGCTGCAGTGCAGTGTCATAATCATGGCTCAGTGTAGCCTTGACCTCTCAAGCTCAATTGATTTTCTCACCTCAGCCTTACAAGTAACTGGGACTGCAGGTGTATGCCACCAGGCTCAGCAAGTTTTTGTATTTTTTGTAGAGACAGAGTTTCACCATATTGCCCAAGCTGCTCTCAAACTCCTGGGCTCAAGCAATCCACCTGCCTTGGCTTCCCAAAGTTCTGAGATCACAGGACTAAGCCACCAAAATATTGCCCTATAATTTCTATAAACACTCAAAAAAAACCACAAGTAGCCAAACAACCTGGAAATAAATGATAAACTCAGAGGCATAATTCTTTTTTTGTTTAAAAATATATTGCAAATTTACAGTAATCAAAATACTGTGGTGTTGGCATAAAGACAGAAAAATGTTGAAACATAGAAGCCAGAAAGAGACCCACATGTGTATACTAAGCTTATCTTAAATGAGGGTTCCAAATCTTCATGTTGCAGAACTTTCCTTCAGCAAAATTGGGTTCTTGTCACATGACTAGGAAAGATTAGGCTCAGAGACACTCTGAAGGGTGAGGAGTAGAGTTGATTGGGTTAAAAACCAGAAAAAAAAAAAAGTGAGTCGGAGTCCTGTTTAAAGGCCCCCACCTCCTAGATTGGTGAACACCAGACCATCACACAGAAACTGAAGAGGCCAGGCTCCTCCTCCCTGCACAAGGGGTAAACTTTCCATGGCTCCACTCCCTTCCCCCCAGTGTGCAGGTGGACATTATTCAGTTAGAAAATTATTCATAATCAGTTAGAAAAAGGCAGGCTTCATCTGGGACCAGCAGTCTGATTTTTTAGTCTTCAGGCTGTTTTAGGCTTGAAGATGGGGTTTCACCCAGGACCCTTGGCTGTTTAACTCTGTTATTTCCCCCTCTAAAGAAGCACATCTAACTGCTGTTAGAATCAAAATAAAGATAAGGACAAAAAACCATTTTTAACTGCTTCCTGATGACAGGGGACACTGTTTTGGAAAAATGGCAGTCAGATCTCCCTAAGAGGCCTATCTAAGAGTTCCCTGTGAAAGGGGCCATTGTCCAAGGCTCTGGTTGTGTGACTCTTTGAAGTTTGGTAGCCTGAAGGTGGGAAGAATCAAACTGGGTTATTTAAAAACATGTATTAAAACGAAACAAGGGGAAGGTGGCAAGGAAAGCTAAGAAATCCCAAGGTCTTTTACCAGTTTGCATAGGGAAAGGGAGACCAAAAGCCCAACGGGGGAAAGAAAGAAAGAAAAAAAAAAACACCTTTTACCCTTTTGCCAGCATGTCAGGCTTCTGGGTTCTTTTGTCTTGAGTCCAATCCTAAGCCACCCAGTCTAAGGTTTGGAAAATTAATTCTTCCAAGCTTGGAGGATGCATCTGAGGGGACCGTCCCATAGTATGAAGACATGATTACCTATCTGTAAAGAGAAGACAGAGGGGATAAAAGGAAAAAAGCATGTTTTCAAAGGAGTCCCAAGGGTTCAGGATGCATTCGAAAAGGATATAGACTGAAGATGAATGAATGGTTACTCATCTAGAAAGAGAGGAGCAGGTGTCCCTGGTTCCTTTTTCATCCTAGCAAATACCCAGGTATGTTGACAGAAGAAAGAATGTTCTCTTTTCCCCTTCCATCCTTGTATCCCCAAGTCCCAGTGATTGTGACAGGGTGCCACCCATTGGTGTCCAAGCAGCTTCCACCCTGGTTAACAGGGAGGCCTAGGGGGGTGGAAATATTTGCTCTTATCCTATTTCCCCTTCTGTCAGTGGTTCTGGAGTTCACTAGACCTCACTTATTCCACAGATCCTAGCATGATATTTATCTATGAAATGGGAGGCTTGGTTTAATCGGCTGGAATTAGTCATGCTCACCTGCACTGTGCCTTTTAACCTCCATTATCTGCCTGTAGATTTCTCAGATCCAGTATTCTTTCCTAAGGCTTCAACTTGAAGCTTGGAATTGAGGTTGGGACAAAAATATGTCTCAGGGGATTGCATAGACTCCTTACCATGAGCTGAATGCTAAGATGAAGCTGTGGAATTAAGTCCTCTTTCCACAAGGGAGAGAAAAGAATGTCTTTTGACACACCCAGATAACTAGTGGCTATAGTTATGCTTGCTGAGATTGCGATGGGCACCCTATTTATTCCCATTCCTCTGCAGGATTTGCAGAATAATTGCCCAGAAGTAGAATATTAATCCAGATTTTTACATTACCCATCCCTTTTTGTTTCTTCTGAGCTGCAGTTGAAGATCGCCAGGTGGTTCACCGGAATAAGCAGGATTGGTCTAAAATGTAGGCAAAAACTCAAAACTAATGAGTTTAGAATTTAATGACAATTGTATAATAAGTTTTGAAACATAATCTTTATCCAGTCCTCTTTTCTGTTAAAAACGAATCATGACAGGACTGAGTTATTTGTGAAATAAACATTAGTCTTATACTTGGCCTGATTATTTGCATAAAGTGCAGCAAGAATAATTATTTTTACATAGGTCTTTTACACTGGCTTCGATGGAACTCTGTTCCACAAGAAATTTTACATAGGACTTTCTGAAGTCAAGCCCAGCCATGGGTTCGTACTATCAAATACTTATGAGTTGGGTGATCCTCTCCTCTTGTGGTCCCAAGATAAACTTGGGGCTCCTGGGCCTATCAGAAAGTGTCATTCTTTACTTACCATAGATCAGGAACGGAACCCTGCACAAGGACTGTGTAGATGAGTTATGAGGCCAGTTTTTCCAAGGGGCTTTTATTGGCTCTGCAAGTTGAGCTTGACTCCATAAAGGGAAGCATACCCAATGCAAACAGCCATATTGCCATAGGTTAAGAATACTCACACTATTTTTCAAATTCTGGAGAAGCCAGGCAGAGAGAGACAAACATGCTCCAAATTTTGTTCACAGGAGTACACCTTAGTCAAATATTAAAGGCTGTAAATAGCTCAACATAAGTTTCTTTGATGCTGGTAAACAATACAAGGATCAATAATGTTACAAGCAAAAGTCGGAACGATTACTTCAGTTTTCTGTTAGTCCAGTCCATTCAGTTAACTCTTGTTGTGTTTGATATTCATGAACATTTTAGCTCTTCATGAGTCCTGTATGTTTTTCCTATATGCCAATGTCACAAGCTCCAAAGTTATCAGAAGCATGCATTTGAGAGCACCTGTCAAAGTTCTATAGCTGATTAAAAACGATTTTTTTTGAAAAAAATCAAAACAAGACAACAGTTGTCTGTGTATAACAAAATGTCCAGGGTAGTTACAGTCGGAAACATGATTGACAAAAAATTTTGGTTATTTCTGTGGTTTACAAGATAGCATATACTTCAGACATTAGAATTTTAGAAATCCCATACAATTTTGGAACACGTATTAGTATTATTCACCACAGTATCATCTAAAGAATATTGAACACCATTTTGGCGATTGTATGTAACTAAACCTGTCATATAATCCTGTTTACCTCTCTTGTGGATACTCCAGGAGCCCTCTTTAGCACCAAAAAGCCAGGAATTAGGAAAGACAATTTTGTAACTAGAGTTTGATTTTGAGAAGGATGTTACATGTTAGGGGTTTAAAACACTTGATGTTATGAAATAAAATTTCAGATTACCATAAATTACTTATTTAACCAAAATGATGACTTAGAAATGTAAAAAGCAAAAACTTTTAATTTTAAATTCTTTACAAATGTTGCTAAAGAGCAGATTAGTGCCTTAAGTGTACCTTGTTGTGCTTTTATGTCAATGCTCAATTTATAAAAAACCCATATAATACCTTTTTGAATTTAATTAATATTCACACAGAATTTTTTTGGCAAGATTTATTTTTACAATCCTTCTACAACTTGTTTGAACTTTTAGCTTTATCTTGTGTAATTCAAAACAATTGTTTGACTCTAGGCAATAATTTATATTTCCATGCCTTCTTACAATCTTTTATTTAAAACACATTTGACTGTTCTTACACACCTTGTATGTAAATCTACTTCCAGTGGTTTCAATTACATGTTACAATGGTAACTTCTAGCAATTTCTACTTTAATGTAAAACCAGGTAAATTGTTTTCATTATGTGCTAGGTGCAGCCAAGGGTTTGGCTGCTTTCAGCATAATTAAGGGTGTGGTTAATTCCATTTGTCTTCCGGTCTTACAATTGTGAAGCAAAGTTGAACTGTTCCAAAAAACCAAAAAAGCAGTTTATAACCTTAAAACATATAGCAAACTTAGTATCTGACCTGCATAATTTAGTTCACCTACTCATATATTGATGACATTTGTGTTTTGTCAATAATCTTTAAGGCTGTTTTCATTTCTCAAAGAGTAACAGTCATGTGAACTAAAAGGTACACAGCTTTTTTCTTCCCTTCAAAAAATATTTGATCCAAGTGCTTATCATTCTTTAAGTAAATTTATTAGAGCTCTTTTTTATAGACATCACACACACAACACATACATAACTACACAGACAGGCAGAAGAAAACCCAGTAGCCATAAGGTTTTTTTATTTGCCAATTTCCTTATTGAATTACTGGCCTCTCATGCATGCATTACAGTGGCAAGACAAAATAAAAAATTCAATTGGCTGAGAAAAAAACCTTTCCCCAGCAAAACAAGATCCCAGAAGAGAAAAACATAAAGGTTTTTTAAATATACCTATAATTTGGATATCCACTTTTAATTAAGTTGAGCACTCTTTAAGAAAATCCTTTTAAATTCCTTATTACCTGACTCTAGCAGTGCCAAGTAGCCAGTATTTCTGGCTTTCAAACTTTATCAAAGGTAACTTACCAGGTGCTCAGTGGAAAAACAAAAAATTAAGGCAGTTTGTGAAGGGGAAGAGAATCTGCAAATGGCAAAATTTACATGCTGATAGGAAACCAGAAGGGACTTATTCCCTAAGCCAGGATTAAACCTGGGCTACCATTGTAAAATGGCAGAGACCAAAACAGAACATTGCCACGTGGTTACAGGTCATGCTCCTGAAAACATAAAACAAGATAGAGGCCTACAGCAAAATTTCCTGACAACCATAGAGAATGACATACAAAGCACACCAGATTGGCCACAGCTCAAGACCAACTTCACAAATACCCTTTCACTATTAAAACTCTATAAAAAATATAAGCAGTGACCATTGAGGTCCTAGACCAGCAAAACAGTTTCTAAGAAGAAGAAGAAGAAAGAAGAGGAAGAAGAAGAAGGAGGAGGAGGAGGAGGAGAAGAAGAGGAGGAGGAGGAGAAGAAGAAGAGGAGAAGGAGAAGGAGAAGAAGAAGAAGAAGAAGAGGAAGAAGAAGAAGAAGAAAGAAGGAAGAAGAAGAAGAAAAGAAGAAGAAGAAAGAAGAAGAAGAAAGCCTGTTGCTTAAAAGTACACTGCTGACAGGGTGAATAAAAGGGGGGGAAAGGCTTAAGTGTAGGGCAGGGAAGAACATTTTCATTCTTATGCAAATGATTCCTTCAACAGAGGGAAAAACTTAATTGTTATTGGATGAGGCTGGATCGCTTGGCCGGTGAAGGGGAAGACACCGTGAATGCCTGGCATTTTCCAGCCCAGAGGAGATGGGGGTGAGGAGCCGCCATTCACCTGTCCATCCCGCATATGCCTGGGGCTGTTGGGGTGGTGCACAGTTTCCTCTACCCTCGGAGAAGTCCAAGGATAAAAAGGCTTACAAGCAAAGTAGAAAAAGATATTTTGGTTTACATCTTACCCTTCCTCAAGCCCCACATCTAGACACCGAAATGTAGAACTTTTTCCGTAGTTCGTCTAAAACTAGGATCTTATCACATGAACAGGAACGAATAGGCTAACAGACATACTGAAGGGTGAGGAGTAAAGTTTATTGGGCAAAAAGGAAAAAGAAAAAAAACTGTCAGCAAAGTGAGAGGGACTCCTGTTAACGGGCCCCCACCTCACATATTGATGAACACCAGGTCACCACATAGCAACTGAAGAGTCCAGTCTCCTCCTCTGCCAAAAGGTGTGAATTTCTATGGCTCCAACTTCTTTTCCCAGTGCACAGGTGGGCATTATTCAGAGAGAAACAGTCAGGAAAGGGCGGGCTTCATCTGAAACCAGCAGTCCAGTTTTTCAGCCTTCAGGCTGTTTTTTAGGCTTGAAGGCGGAGTTTCGCCCAGGACCTTTGACTGTCTCCTGTCTCTGACTCAAAATAGGAAAAGGTCCCTTGGCTATCTACTGTCTCTATCACTCAAAATGAGAAAGGAACAGTCTTTTTAACAAATGGGTTGGAGAATACTGAATATCCAAATGACAAAAAATAAAGGTGAACCTTACCACAAGCATGAACTTAGAATGAAGTAGGACTTATTTTTTATAGCTGTAGTAAGTGATTTTTTTCTTGAATTTTTTTTCAGATGGCTTATTCTTGTCATGTAAAAATGTTCCTACTAATTTTTGTATGTTAATTTGGTATTCTGCCACTTTACTGAATTTCTTTATTAATTCTAACGATTTTTAGTGTAGTATTTAACTTTTGCTATATAGACAATTATGTGATCTGCAAACAGAGGCAATTTGACTTTCACCTTTTTTATTTGGATGTCTTTTATTTATTTCTCTTGCATAAATGATCTGACTGGGACTTCCAGTACTCTGTTGAATAAAAGTGGTAAAAGTAGACATCATTGTCTTGTGGTTTGGTGATGCATGATTTAGCACACCTGTGAGGCTGGGACTCCCCTACTGGAACACAATCTTCAGGTGGGATTGGGCATCTTATACATGGATCTTGCCCATTGTTGAGATTGTGAGTCCTCTGCTTTGACCAAAATCACAGGAGGTGTTGACTCACACACACAGAGCCAGGACTTGAGTGGGACTGTGAAACTTATTTCTGAATATTTCGAAGTGTGTAATTAGACCATAAAAGCCCAGCTCCTGAATAACGACTCTTCTTTTCAGGTCATGACCACAGATGAAACTGTGACATATGTGGACCATACACCTAAGCAAAGGTGCCTGGGCCTGCCTACCAAGGGCAATTTTATGAATCACTGGGACCAGCACCCAAGTGATGAGAATTCTTTACCTGATCCCTGCCTATAAAAAGCATTGTGGCTGGCCGGGCGCAGTGGCTTATGCCTGTAAT
Organism: Homo sapiens; assembly: GCF_000001405.40. Classification (NCBI taxonomy): domain Eukaryota; kingdom Metazoa; phylum Chordata; class Mammalia; order Primates; family Hominidae; genus Homo; species Homo sapiens. Next base: position 64,368,651 of record NC_000007.14, read on the forward strand.
CCAAGCACTTTGGGAGGCAAGGCGGGTGGATCACCTGAGGTCAGGAGTTCAGGACCATCCTGGCCAACATGGTGAAACCCCGTCTCTACTAAAAACACAAAAAATTAGCCAGGCATGGTGGTGGGCACCTGTAATCCCAGCTACTCCAGAGGTGATGCAGGAGAATCATTTGAACCCAGGAGGCGGAGGTTTGCAGTGAGCCGAGATTGCACCATTGCACTCCAGCCTGGCAACAAGAGTGAAACTCCATCTCGGGGAAAAAAAAAAAAAAAAGCATTGTGGCTTATATCTAGGTCCATCATGTAAGTGAAGTGACTCCCTTCTACTGCCTTGGCCCTGCACTTATGATGCATTGTGACACATAACTGGGTACTGCACCCAGGTGATATGACTCTGCGCTTTGGGTTGTGCCAACAGGAAGCTTTGTTAAGCACCAAGGTGATTTTTCTCCTCTCTTGCCTTGCCCTGACCACAGAGGAGATTGTGACATATTGCTAAACCCAGTGCCAAGGTGAGGTCACTTTCATATCTTGGTTTTGCACATAGCGGCCATTGTGACACAGATCTAGGCCAATTGCCTAGGTGAAGTCAGTGTCCTCACCTTACTAACACCTGCCCACAGGGGGAATTTTGATATATCACTAAAACCAGCATCCAGATGATGTGACTCTTCTTCCAGGGTCCTGCTCACAGAAAGATTGTGACATCTCACTGGACCAGCACCCGCGCAGATGATGTGACCTTCCTGCTTGTTCTCTGTTCACAGGTGATATTGTGCCATATACCTGAGGCCAGATAAGAGAACTAATCCTGACTCTTAAATGTGGAGCCAGGTCATATGCAAAATGGTGACTCCCATTCCTGGAACTTTCCACCAGTGTTATTGTGACATATACCTTTGCCTAGCTCCTGAGTGATTTAATAATCCTGCCTAAGTGTAACCCACAAATGAGATTTGGAAAATTACCTCAGCTGAGCATCTTGGTGATTTGACTCTCCTGTGTTAACAATATCCTCAGGAAGAATTGTAACATGTCTCTGGACTTAACCATCTAGGTTACCTGACTCTCCTCTCCTGCCTGGACCCTGCTTGCACTAGGGATTGTAGCATTTCTAAGCACTGCGTCCAAATAATATGATTCTCTTGCCTGGTCCTTTCAACAGGAGACATTGTGACATATCTCTGGGCCTATCATTTAGGTGATATGAGTCTCCTTTCTGGACACTGCCCACAAGGGGCATTGTGCCATACATCTGGAGGTAACCCCCAAGTTATGCAACTTTTCTGCCAGGAACAGGCCTATATGGAGAATATTGGAAAATTTCAGGCTCAGCATTTATGTTATTTAGCTGTCGTGCCTGTTTCATTACTGTAGAGTAAATTGTGACATACACCTAGGCACAGTTCACAGGCATGATAATGACTCTCATATGTGGATCCCACAAATAGGATTAATTTTGACTCTCATAACTTTCTTTAGAAACACAAGTGATTAAATCTCTTTCTGTTAAAAAAAAAAAAAAGGAAAAGAACAAAGAAGATTATAACAGCCTCAGATATTTTATAAAGCCCTTGGCTTGTACAGAGCGTGTCATAACAACCCAGCAGAAAGGTGAAATAGTGAGTCTCTTTTTTTTTTTTTTTTGAGACGGAGTATTGCTCTGTCGCCCAGGCTGGAGTGCAGTGGCGCGACCTCGGCTCACTGCAAGTTCTGCCTCCTGGGTTCACGCCATTCTCCTGCCTCAGCCTCCCAAGTAGCTGGGACTACAGGTGCTCGCCACCATGCCCGGCTAATTTTTTGTATTTTTTAGTAGAGATGGGGTTTCAGCGTGTTAGCCAGGATGGTCTCAATCTCCTGACCTCGTGATCCGCCCGCCTCGGCCTCCTGTAGTGCTGGGATTATAGGCATGAGCCACCACACCCGGCCAATTGTGAGTCTCATATGCACACCCAGCTGACAGTAAGGACTGTCACCGTCTCACATATATGAAGCCAACTGTCAGTCATGAAAACAGGACATGTGGTATTGTAAATCTTATCCTGGAAATGTTCTGCCATTGTGATTGTCGTATAAATCTTTGCCGAGCACTTGTGTGATTTGACTCTCCAGACTGGGTCCAGCCCACATATGTTATTGTGATCTCTACCTGGGCCAACCTCTAGGTGATGTGACTCTCTTGCCTGGGCCCTGCTTTCAGTAAGAATTGTGACATATCACTAGATCCAGCACCCAGGTCATGTTACATTTTCTCCTGAGCCATGCCCACAGAAATCATTGTGACATATCACTGTGTCAACCACTTAGGTGATGTAATTCTCCTCATTAGAATGGGCCCTGCACCCAGTGGGGGATAGTAACATATGGCTGGGTCAGGCGCACAGGTACACTTTTGCTAGGGTCATGTCCTAAAGAGGGCATTGTGACAAATCTCTGAACCTATCACCTAGGTGATGTTGCTCTCCTGCTTGGGTCCTGCTTACCTGGATAGTGACATATTGCTAGGCCAGGCACACAGATGTTGGTACTCTTTTGCCAGGGCCATGCCTCAAGGAGGACATTGTGACATATCTCTGGGCCTGTCACCTAGGTGATGTGACTCCCTGCTCAAGCCCTGCCCACTTGGAGCATTGTGACATAAGGGTAGAACCTGCACCTTTTTGTTATAATTCTCTTGCCTGGGGCCTGTCCTAAGGGAGCCTTGTGACACATCTCAGGACCCAGCATCAAGATGATGTGGCTCTTCTGCTTGCTTTCACCTCTCATGTTAGATTGTGTTATATACCTAGGGAAGCACCTAGGCGATATGACTCTTCTCTTCTGCCCGAGCCCTGCCTAGTTGGGACATTGGGCCATATATCTGAGCCCGTGTCCTAAGTGACGTGACTCTTTTCTTCTGCCTGAGCCTTTACAATGGGGTGATATGACATATTGCTAAGCCCAATACTTAGGTAATATGACTCTTCTTTTTGTCTCAAACCATGCCCGTGAAAAGGAATTTTGATGTATTGCAGGGCCCAGCACCCAGATGCTGTTCCTCTTCTGCCTGGGTCCTGCATAAGAGAGAATTATAGCATATTGCTGGGCCCCCACCTGATGATATAACTCTCCTGCCTGTGCCAGAGAAGCAGAAGGTGTTTTTACATATCTTGGGCTCATTCTGTAGGTGTTTTTGCTCTCATCATTTGTCTGGGTTTTTTTCCACATTTGGGATTGTGTCATATTGCTGGGTCCAGCACCCAGTTAATGTAACCCTCATTTTTAGACCCTGCTTAGAGAGGGCATTGTGACATATTGCTTGCCACAGCACCTAAGTTGTGCTACCCTCCTGCCACTTTTTTTTTTCTACAAATGGGATTTTGAAATTTACATTGCTTCAGTTCACAGGCATGATGATCAAAGTTAAATTGGAATTCCACCAAGAGTAGATATTTTGCCTCTCATCGCTATGCTTAGGGCAATAGGTAAGGTTATGAGTTGCATATTGTAGAAAGCTCACAGAAGGTTACAACACTAACTCATATTCTGAAAACTCCTTGGGTGGTACACAGAGTTTCATAAGAGGGTCCAGCAAAAGGTTAAGGTCATGACTTTTGATTACACATGCAGGTGAGAGCAAAAGTCACCATCCCACTTTTACAAAGCCCACTGTTGAAGTCCTGAATCTAACAAGTAAATAAAGTACAAAGATAAAATTGTGACTTTCATATGTGGATCTTACTACAGGTGAGATGGTGACTTATTTCTGGACCCAGATCACAGGCATGATAATGGGTCTCCTGTCTGAACCCAGCCTATAAGAGAGATGTTGACTATCATAACGGGGTTTAGGGCAATATGTAAGTTTGCGAGTCAATATGACCATGTAGGCCTCAGAGTGGTTTGCAACTCTTATGCATGTTGTATAAAGCTTTCAGATGTTGTAGAGTGTGTCATACAATGACCCAGAAAACATGTGAGATTGTAACTCTTATATACACACCAAGTTAACAGTTAAAGATGTCACCCTAAGAGATGAGGAGATTGTGTCATATCACTAGGCCTAGTACCCCTGTGTTGAGACTTTTTGGCTTAAACTCTTTCCCACAGGTGCGTTGGGAAATATTGCTGGGTCAGAATCATAATGTTACTCTTCTGCTTGGACCCAGCCAACAGGGGATACTATCACATATCTCTGGGCCTATCAGCTGGGCAATGTCTCTCTCTTGCCAGTGCCCTGCTCACAGGGGACACATATCACTAGATATGGCATGTAGCTAATGTGACTATCCTCCTCTGCCTGGATCCTGCCCACTGAAGAAATTGTGACATACCTCTGAGTGCAAAACCTAGGTGATGTGACTCTCCTCTTTATCCTGGACTCTGCCAGGAGAGGGAATTATAACATTGCTGAGCCTAGCATCTAGGGAATGTGACTATCCACTATTTTTTCAATCCTGCATACAGTGGGCATGATGACATGTTATTTGAGACTGTACCCAACTGATATGACTCTTCTGACTGGGTCCTGTCTATAAAGGAGATTATACTGTATCCCTGGCTCAGCACCCAGATGGTGTAACTCTTCTGTGTTGTCTCTGTCCAAAGGTGAAATTGTGACATATACTTGGATTCAGCTCATATGCACAATCATAACTCCCATACCTAGACCCAGCCAGGGGTGATATTTCGACTCTCATAGCCAGTCTTACGGCCATGGGTAAAGTCCTAGATCTCCCACCTGTAAGAATTTGCAGGAAAGTATGCTGCCCAGGCATGTCATATAAAGCCTGAGTGGTACAAAGAGTGTCATAACAGGCACCAGCAACCAGGTGCTATTGTGACTCTTGGATGCATACCCAGCTGACACGATTATCATTCTCACATATGAAGACAGCCTACAAATGAGGTACTAAATCTCACACACATAAGCAGTCGAAGCTTAAAATTGTTACTCTCATACATGAATCTGATCCACGGGGGGTTTGGTGATGTTTGAACAATGATTTAGCAGACCTGTGGTGCTTTGACTCTCCTACTGGAACACAGTCTTCAAGTGGGATTGGGACTCTTATGCATGGATCTTGCCCATTGTTGAGACTGTGACTCCTGTGCTTCGACCCAACTCATAGGAGGTGTTGACTCTCATACCCGAAGCCAGGACTTGTGTGGCACTAGGAAACTTTTTTCTGAACATTTTCAAGTGTGTGATTGGGAAGTATGACTTTGCCCAGCATCTGAGTGTTTGGACTCTCCTTTCTAGGCCTAGAGCACAGTTGAAATTGTGACATACGGGGACCAAGCACCTAAGCAATGTATAACACCTTCTTTGGCAGTGCGACAAAGGGCACTTTTACATATCACTGGGACCAGCACCCAGCTGATGTGAAATCTTGGCCTGAACTCTGCCTACAGAGCATTGCGGCTTTTATCTAGATTCATCATGTAAGTGATGTGACTTCCTTCTATTGCCTTGGCCCTGCACTTATGGTGCATTGTGACACATAACTGGGTACTGCACCCAGGTGATGTGAGTCTTTTTTGGTGGGGGGGGGGGGGTTCTGTCAATAGGAAGCTTTGTAACATATCACTAGGCTCAGCACCTAGGTGAAGTTTCTTCTCTCTTGCCTTGGCCCTGACCACCAGAGAGATTGTGACATATTGCTGAACCCAGCACCAAGGTGAGGTCACTCTCCTGCCTTTGTTCTGCAGGTAAGGGCCATTGTGACATATATCCAGGCCAATTGCCAAGGTGAAGTTTGACTCCTCTCCTGCCTAAGCCCTGCCCACAGGGGGGGATTTAGATATATCAGTGAAACCAGCATACAGGTGATGTGACTCTTCTTCCAGAGTCCTGCCTACAAGGAGGAATGTGGCATTTCACTGGAACAGCACCCACTCAGCTGATGTGACTTTCCTTTCTTCTCTCTGCCTACAGGTAATATTGTGCCATATACCAGAGACCAGATCAAAGGCCTAATAAGGACTCTTGTACCTGGAGCCAGGACTTGTGCAGGATGGTGACTCTCATCCCTGAACATTTCCACAGGTGTTATTGTGACATATACCTGTGCCCACCTCCTGAGTGATTTAATAATCCTGCCTGTTATAGCCCACAGATGACATATTGACGTATACCTGGGCCAAGAACCTTGGTGATTTGACTCTCATATCTTAACAGTGTCCTCAGAAGGGACCGTCACATATCTCTGGACCCATCATCTAGGTTATGTGACTCTCCTCTCCTACCTGAACCCTGCTTCCAGTGAAGAGTGTAGCATTTCTAAGCACTGCATCCAAATGACATGACTCTCTTGCCTGGGCCCTTTTAACAGGAGTTGTGACATATCTCTAGGCCCATCACTTAGGTGATGCGACTCTCCTTTCCTGCCTGGATGTTCTCCACAAGAGGCATTATGCCATAGAGCTGAGCCTAGCACCCAAGTTTTGTGACTTTTCTGTTAGGGCCCTGCCTACAAAGAGAATATTGGAATATTTCTGGCTTAGGATTTAGGTGATGTGGTTGTCCTGCCTGTTTAATAACTACAGAGGGGATGGTGACACATACCTAGGCACAGCTAACGGGCATGATAATGACTCATATGTGGACCCAGCCAATAGGAGAAATTTTGACTCATAACTAGGTTTAGGGACATGAGTGATGTAAAGGGTCTCCTTCTGGTAAAAAGGTCACAGAAGATTATAACACACACATATTTTATAACACCCTTGGGTTGTATAGAGAGTGTCAGAACAGGGCCTAGCACATGGAGAAAATTGTGAGTCTCATATGCACACCCACCTGACAGTAAGGACTTTCACCATCACAGATGGATGAAGGCAACTGTCCTACATGAAAACAGAACATGTGTGGTATTGTAAATCTAATCCCTAAAATTTTATTTCATCGTGATAGTCATGTGATATAAATTTCATGTGATATAAATCTTTGCCAAGCACCTGTGAGATTTCACTCTTCAGACTGGTTCCAGCCTACATATGGGATTTTGATATCTACCTGGGCCAACCTTGAAGTGTTAAAGAACTCTTCTGCCTGGGCCCTACTCTCAGTAAGAATTGTGACATCACTGGATCCAGCACGCAGCTGCACCATGCCCACAGACATCATCGTGACATATCTCTGTGTCCATCACTTAGAAGATGTAACTCTCCTCTCTGGAAAAGACCCTACACACAGGGCAGAATAGTGACATATTCCTAGGCCAGGCACACAGGTGATGATACTTTTTTGCCAGGCCATGCCCAAAAGAGAACATTTTGACATATCAGAGGGCCTATCATGTAGGTGATATGGCTCTTCTTGGGACCTACCACTTGAATAGTGACATATTGCTAGGCTATGCAAAAAGGTGATGGTACTCTTTTGCCAGGGCCATGCTTTAAGGAAGGCTTTGTGACATATCTCTGGGCCTATCACCTAGGTGATGTGACTTCCTGCTTGGCCCTGCCCACATCGAGCATTGTGACATAAGGGTGGAACCTGCACCTAGGTGATGGAACTCTCTTGCTTGGATCCTTTTCTAAGGGGGACTGGTGAATATCTCTGGACCCAGGACCAGGTGATGTGGCTCTGCAGCCTGGGTTCTGCCCACATATTAAATTGTGACATATACTTAAAGAAGCACCTATATGATATGACTGTCTTCTTCTGCCTGAGCCCTGCCTACTGGTGACATTGGACCATATCTCTGAGCCCCTGACCTAAGTGATGGGACTCTCTTCTGTCTGGGCCTTTACAATGGGAAGATTGTGACATGTTGATGAGCCCAGCACTTCGGTATTGTGACTCTCGTCTTGTTGCTGAACAATGCCCGTGAACAGGACTTTTGCCGTATTTCAGAGCCCAGCACCCAGTTGATGTTACTCTTCTGCATAAACAGGTCATGCATAAAGAGGGAATTATGGCATATTGCTTGGCCCAGCCCCCTAATGATGTGACTCTCCTGCCTGTGCCAGAGCCACAGAAGGTATTTTGGCATATCTTTGGCCCATTTTGTAGGTGTTTTGGCTCTCATCAGTTTGCTGGGTTTCTTCCACGTGTGGTTGTATCATATTGCTGGCTCAAGCCATCAGTTAATGTGAGCCTCTTTCCTAGGCCCTGCCTAGAGAGAGCATTGTGACATATTCCTTGGCAAAGCACCTAAGTGATGTTAACATTCTGCCTAGATTTTTTGCCCACAGATGGGATTATGACATATACCTTGCTTGAGTTCAAAAGCATGATTATCAAGCTTATATTGGGATTCAGCCAATAGGAGATACTTTGCCCCCTACCACTAGGTTTATGTCAATAGGTAAGGTCCTTCATTGCATATTTGTACAAAGCTCACAGAAATTTACAACATTAACTCATATCATAAAAACTTTTTGGGTGGTACAGAGAGTTTCATAACAGGGCCCAGCAAAAAGTTAAGATTGTGACTCTCAACTACACACTCAGGTGAAAGTAAAAGTTGTTACCATCCTACATTTACAAAGCCCATTGTTGAGGTCCTGAATCTAACAAGTGAAGACAGCACAAAGTTGGAATTGTGACTTTCTTAAGTGATTCTGGTCACAGTTGGGATGGTGACTCATTTCTGGACCCAGCTCATAGGCATAATAATGTTCTCATCCCTGAAGCCAACCCAAAGGAGAGATGTTGACTGTCATACCTGGGTTTAGGGTATGTGTCCACCTCATAGGTTATGTAACTCTCCTCTCTGGAATGGGCCCTGCACAAAGGAAGGATAGTGACATATTGCAAGGCCAGGCACAGAGATGAGAGTACTCTTTTGCCAGAGCCATGCCCAAAGCAGGGCATTGTGACATATTTCTGGGCATATCACCTAGGTTATACGACTCTCCTGCTTGGGCCCTGCCAATCTGGAGAGTGACATATTTCTAGGCCAGGCACACAGGTGATGGTACTCTTTTACCAGGGCTATGCTTCATGGAGGACACTGTGACATATCTCTGGGCCTATCACCTAGGTGAAGTGATTCCCTCCTTGGACCCTACCCACATGGAGCATTGTAGCATGAGCAGAGAACCTGTACCCAGGTGATGTAACTCTCTTGGCTGGGTGCTGTCCTAAGAGAGCCTTGTGACCTGTCTCAGGACCCAGCACCCAAATGATGTGGCTCTTCTGCCTGGTCTCTGCCCACATGTTACATTGTGACATATTCCTAGGGAAGCACCTATGTGATATAACTCTCCTTGTCTGCCTGAGTCCTGCCTGCTGGGGACATTGGGACATACCTCTGACCCCATGACCTAGATGATGTGACCCTCTTTTTCTGCCTCAGCCTTCACAATAGGAGGATTTTGACACAATGCTGAGCCCAGCACTCAGAATATGTTACTCTCCTCTTTTTGCTGAACCATGCCCACAAAAAAGGAATTTGGACCTATTGCAGGGCCCAGCATCGAGATGATGTTACTCTTCTGCCTGGGTTCTGCAAAAGAGGAAATTGTGGCATATTGCATATTTCTTGGCCCAGCATTCTTATGATGTGACTCTCCTGCCTGTGCTGGAGCCACCGAATGTATTTTGACATATCTTGGACCCATTATGTAGGTGTTTTGGCTCTTATAACTTGGCTGGGTTTTTCCACGTGAGATGGTGTCATATTGCTGGGTCCAGCACCCAGTTATTGTGGCCCAATTTCCTATACCCTGCCTAGAGAAAGCATTGTGTCATGTTGCTTGGCCCAGCACCTAAGTGATGTTACCCTCCTGCCTAGTTTTTGCCCACAAATGGGATTATGGCATATACCTTACTTCAGTTCACAGGCATGATGATTAAACTTATATTGGGATTCAGCAAATGGGAGATATTTTGCCTCTCATCATTACGCTTAGGGCAATAGGTAAGGTCCTGAGTTGCATATTTGTACCAAGGTCACAGAAGCTTACAATACTAACTTATATTGTATAAAGTCTTTGGTGGTAGAGAGTTTCTTAACAGGGTCCAGCAAAAAGTTCAGATTGGGACTGTCAATTACACACCCAGTTGAAATTAAAAGTTGTCACCATCCCACGTTTACAGTGCCCACTCTTGAGGTCCTGAGTCTAACAAGGGAATACAGCACAAAGTTGGAATTGTGACTCTTATACGTGGATCTGGCCACAGGTGGGATGGTGACGCATTTCTGGACCCGGCCCACAGGCATAATAATAGGTCTTCTCCCTTAACCCTGCCTAAAGGAGAGATGTTGACTATCAAACCTGGGTTTAGGGCAATATGTAAGATTGTGAGTCCATACGAGCATGTGGGCCTCAGAGAGGTCTGCAACTCTCATGCAGGTTTTATAAAGCCCTCAGATGTCATAGAGAGGGTTATACGTTGGCCCAGCACACATGTGAGATTGTGACTCTAATATACACACTCAGCTAAAAGTTAAAGGTGTCACCCTCAAAGATGATGAGATTGTGTCATATCACTGGGCCTAGTACCCAGGTGTTGAGACTTTATTCCTTAAATTCCTTTCCATGGGTGCATTGTTACATATCACTGCGTCAGAATCATATGAATGTGACTCTTCTGCCTGGGCCCTGTCAACAGGGGATATTATCACATATCTCTGGGCCTATGAGCTAGATGATGTGTCTCTCCAGCTTGTGCCCTGGGTTGTATGTATCTCCTTTCTATTCTGGACTCTGCCAAGAGAGGGGATTATTACATATTTATGAGCCCAGCAACTAGGTAGTGTGACTCTTCTCTTTTTCTTAAACCCTTTCTATAATAGGATTGGTGACATACTACTTGAGACTTTACCCAGGTGATGTGACTCTTCTGCCTTGTCCCTGCCCACAGGAGAAATTGTGCCATATACCTGGGTTCAGCTCACATGCACAATAATAACTCTTATACCTGGACCCAGCCAGTAGAGATATTTTGACTCTCATAGCCAATCTTACAGCCAAGGGTAAAATCCTGGTTCTTCCACTTGTATAAAGTTCACAGAGGATTATGACACAGGCATATTATATAAAGCCTGAGTGGTACAAAGAGTGTCATAACAGGGACCAGCAACCAGGTGAGATTGTGACTCTCGGATGCACATCCAGCTGACACGGTTGTCATTCTCACACATAAACAGAGCCTATGTGTGAGGTACTAAATCTCACACACCAAAAGCAGTTGAAGGTTGAAATTGTTACTCTCATACATGGATCTGATCCACAGTAGGTTTCGTGACGTTTGAACTATGATTCAGCACACCTGTGAGGCTGTGACTCTTCTACTGGAACACAATCTTCAACTAGGATTGAGGCTCTTACACATGGATCTTTCCCATTGTTGAAACTGTGACTCCTGTACTTCTACCAAACTCACAGGAGGTGTTGACTCTCATACCCGAAGCCAAGACCTGTGTGGGAGTGTGAAACTTATTTCTTAACCTTTCCAAGTGTGTGACTGGGACATATAACCTTGCCCAGCACCTGAGTGATTTGACTCTCCTTCCTAAACCCAGACCACAGGTGAAATTGTGTGATACGTGGAACAAGCACCTAAGCAATATAAAACTCCTTCTTAGGTTCTACCTACAAAGAGAAATTTTACAAATCACTGGGACCAGCACCCAGGTGATGTGAATTTTGTGCCTGAACCCTGCCTTCAAAGAGCATTGTGGCTTATATATAGATCCATCACGTAAGTGATGTGACTCCCTTCTACTGCCTTGTCCCTGCACTTGTGGTGCATTATGACACATAACTGGGTACTGCACCCAGGTGACATGACTCTCCTTTTTGAGCTCTGCCAACAGGAAGCTTTGTAGCATATCACTTGGCTCAGCACCTAGGTGATGTTTCTCCTCTCTTGCCTGGGCCTTGACCACAGGGGAGATTTTGACATATTGCTCAGCCCAGCACCAATGAGAGGGCACTCTTCTGCCTTGGTACTGCACATAAGAGCCATTGTGTCATATATCTAGGCCAATTGCCTAGGTGAAGTGAGTCCCCCTTCTTGCCTAAGCCCTGTGCAAAGGGGGGACTTAGATATATCACTGAAACCAGCATCCAGGTGATGTGACTCTTCATGGGCAGGAACTTACTTCTTAACCTTTCCAAGTGTGTGACTGGGACATATAACTTTGCCCAGCCCCTGAGTGATTTGACTCTCCTTCCTAAACCCAGACCACAGATGAAATTGTGTGATACGTGGAACAAGCATCTAAGCAATTTAAAACTATGGGCAGGTTCCTGCCCATAAAGAGGTGTTGAGGGAAGTCAGGGACCCCAAACAGAGGGACCGGCTGAAGCCATGGCAGAAGAACATGGATTGTGAAGATTTCATGGACATTTATTAGTTCCCCAAATTAATACTTTTATAATTTCTTATGCCTGTCTTTACTGCAATCTCTAAATTGTAAAGATTTCATGGACACTTATCACTTCCCAATCAATACCCTTGTGATTTCCTATGCCTGTCTTTACTTTAATCTCTTAATCCTGTCAGCTGAGGAGGATATATGTTGCCTCAGGACCCTGTGATAATTGCATTAACTGCACAAATTATAGAGCATGTGTGTTTGAACAATATGAAATCTGGGCACCTTGAAAAAAGGACAGGATAACAAGCAATTGTTCAGGGAATAAGAGAGACAACCTTAAACTCTGACCACCGGTGAGCTGGGTGGAACAGAGCCATATTTCTCTTCTTTCAAAAGCTAATGGGAGAAATATCGCTGAATTCTTTTTCTCAGCAAGGAATATCCCTGGGAAAGAGAATACACGCCTGGGGGTAGGTCTATAGATGGCCCCCAGGGCGTGGCCGTCTTTTATGGTCTGTAGACTGTAGGGGTGAAATAGACCCCAGTCTCCCATAGTGCTCCCAGGCTTACTAGGAATAGGAAATTCCTGCCTAATAAATTTTGGTCAGACCAGTTGCTCTCAAAACCCTGTCTCCTGATAAGATGTTATCAATGACAATGGTACCCAAAACTTCATTAGCAATTTTAATTTTGCCCCAGGTCCTGTGGTCCAGTGATCTCGCCCTGCCTCCATTTGCCTTGTGATATTCTATTACCTTGTGAAGTACTTGATGTCTGTGACCCACACCCTATTCGTATACTCCCTCCCCTTTTGAAAGTCCCTAATAAAAACTTGCTGGTTTTGCGGCTTGTGGGGCATCATGGAACCTACCGACATGTGATGTCTCCCCCGGATGCCCAGCTTTAAAATTTCTCTCTTTCGTACGCTGTCCCTTTATTTCTCAAACTGGCCGACACGTAGGGAAAATAGAAAAGAACCTATGTGACTATCGGGACAGGTTCCCCGATAAAGAGGATTGTGACATCTCACTGGACCCACACCCACCCAGGCAATGTGGTTTTTCTACCTTCTCCCTGCCCACAGGTGATATTGTGCCATATACCTGAGACCAGTCCTCTTATACCTGAAGCCAGGACATGTGCAGAATGGTGACTCTCATCTCTGGACCTTTCCACAGGTGTTTTTGTGACATATACCTTTGCCCAGCTCCTGAGTGATTTAATAACCCTTCCTAGGTCTAGCTCACACATGAGATTTTGATATATACCAGGGCCACACTCCGTAATGATTTGACTCTCCTGTCTTAACAGTGTCCTCAGGGGGGGGATTATAGCATACCTTTATACCCAGCATCTAGGTTACATGATTCTCCTCTCCTGCCTGAACCCTGCTTCCTGTGGAGATTGTAGCATTTTCAAGCACTGCTTTCAAATGATATGACTCTTGCCTGAACCCTGTCCACACAAAGCATTGTGACATACCTCTGGGCCCATCATTTAGGTGATATGAATCCCCTCCCTTGCCTAGACACTGCCCACAAGAGGCATTGTGCCACAGAGCTGGGCCTAGCACTCAAGTTATGTGAATTTTCTGCCAGGGCCTTGCCTACAAGGGTAATAGTGGAATTTTTCTGGCCCAGCATTTAGGTGATGTGGCTGTTCTGTCTGTCTCAAAACCACAGAGGGGATTGTGACATGTACCTAGGCACAGCTCACAGGCATGATAACGACTCTCATATGTGAACCCAGCCAAGTAGGGAAATTTTGACGCTTGTAACTAGGTTTAGGGACAGGAGTGATGTCCTGGATCTTTTTCTGCTAAAAAGTTCACAGAAGCCTACAACACCCACACATATTTTACAAACCTTTTGGATTATACAGACAGTGTCATAACAAAGCCCAACACACAGGTGAAATTTTGAGTCTCATATGCACACCCAGCTGACAGTAAAGACTGTCACTGTCTCACATGAATGAAGCCAACTGTCATACATAAAAACAGGACATGTATGGTATAGTAAATCTCATTCCTGAAATTTTCTGCCAGTGTGATTGTCATATAAGTTTTTGCCAAGTGCTTGTGTAATTTGACTCTCCAGACTAGTTCCAGCCCACATATGGGATTGTGATATTATTTACCTGGGCCAACCTCTACGTGATGTAACTTTTTTTGCTGGCCCCTTCTCTCAGTAAAGATTGTGACATATCACTGCATCTAGCACCCAGGTGATGTTACATTTTTGCCTGCACCATCGTGACAGAAATCATTGTGACATATCACTGTGTCCACCACTTAGGTGATGTAACTCTCCTCTCTTGAATAAGCCCTGCACACAGGGAGAATAATGACATATGTGTAGTCCAGGCAGAGAGATGATGGTACTCTTTTGCCTGGGCCATTCCCCAAGGAGGGTATTGTGACATATCTCTGAGCATATTACCTAGGTGATGTGACACCCTGCTTGGGCCCTGTCCACATGGAGCATTGTGACATAAGGGTGGAACCTGCACTTAGGTGATGTAACTCTCTTGCCTGGGTCTTGTCCTAAGGTAGCTTGTGACATATCGAAGACCCAGCACCCAGGTGATGTGGCTCTTCTGCCTGGTTTCTGCCCACATGTTACATTGTGATATACACCTCGAGAAGCACCTAGGTGATATGATTTTCCTTTTCTGCCTGAGCCCTGCCTATTGGGGACATTGGGACATATCTCTGAGCCCATGACCTAAGTGATGTGACTTTCTTCTTCTGCCTGGGCCTTTACAATGGGGGAATTGTGACATATTGCTGAGTCCAGCACTTAGGTAATGTGACTCTCCTCTTTTCTGAACCATGCCCACAAAAAGGGAATTTTAACATATTGCTGGGCCCAGCACCCAGATGATGTCACTCTTCTGCCTGGGTCCTGCATAAAGAGGGAATTATGACACACTGCTGGCCCCAGCACCCTGATGATGTGACTCTCCTGCATGTGCTGGAGCCACAGAAGGTATTTTGACATATCTTGGGCCCGTTCTGTAGGTGTTTTGTCTTTTATCTCTTGGCTGGGTTTTTTCCACATGTGGAATTGTGTCCTATTGCTAGGTCCAGCACGAAATTAATGTTACCCTCCTTCCTAGGGCCTGCCTAGAGAGGGCATTGTAACATGTTGCTTGGCACAGCACCTAAAGGATATTACCCCCCTGCCTAGTTTTTTGCCCACAAATGGGATTATGACATATACCGCGCTTCCATTCTCAGACTTGACAATTAAGCTTATACTGAGATTCAAACAATAAGAGATATTTGCCTCTCATAGCTAGGCTTAGGGCAATAGGTAAGGTTCTGAGTTGCATATTTGTACAAAGCTCACATAGTTTAAAACATGAATGTGTATTGTATGAACTTTTGGGGTGGTACAGAGAGTTTCATAACAGGGCCCAGCTAAACGTTAAGATTGTGACTTTCACCACCTCTTATGATGGCGCTTGTCTTTCATGTGCATCTGATTCACATCTTTAACAATTGTGTTCAGAGCCCCTGCTTCCTTTCAGACAGAGGGTACAGAAAGTGCATTTCTCCCAGGAGCCCAGGCTTTACTCACCTCCTCTGTGAAGCTAAAGACAAAAGTGCTACAGAGCTCAGAGGCTGCTTTATACAGAGGTTTTATATGCACAAAACTGAGTCTTGGTGTGTGGATTGGTCTAAATTACATTTTGAATTTATTTTCTCTCCCAATACCTGTAAATCTGGTGTTTGTAAAATAATATCTGTGCCTTTTTTGGTGCTGGCCATTCATTCCAGAAAGTTTGTATTGCTTTCCATATGGATTTTCAAGTTGCTACTGATTGCTTTGGGTGCAATGCTCTAACATATGAAGGTGAACTTTTGTGATTGGTGACCTGGTATTGTGTTTTTAACTAACTTCAATTCTCACAGTATTAATCATAATTCCAAGAAGACTATTTTATGATAATATTTATGGACTTTGAAAATCTGACATAAAGTCCCCTGTTTCAGCAGCAAGTAAACATTAATTTTTAAAGGTTAGTGTTTTTAGAAACTTCTGCTAAACAACAATCTGATTATTGTTGTTGGAATATAACCCAGGTATTATTACAGCAGCTGCCCACTGTCAGTTTTGTGATATATAAACATATCTTTATGTAATAATTTTATCTATAACTTTAAGATTTTTTTCTTATATTTTTCTTATTTTTCCAAACAGTGCTGGCATATTTTTGGATATATTACACAAAATGTATGACAAAATTCTAAATATTTAAAAGACCTTGGCTTCCTGACCAGTGTAAATTTGTATTTTTTATCTCCATTTTAAACTGAATTATAAATTTCTGTGTAAAGTTCTGTAATTATTTTTTCAAAAATATTTGCAATGTTTTTGTCAGATAAATAAAAACTAATAGTTTGGGTATCAGATTTCCTTCCTACAGTTTAAGTTTTGTAATGTCCTGTGTAGTAAATAGCATCTTTCTAAAGAATACAATTTGCTGACTTTTACACAAGGATACAGCAATGAAAGCATCACCACATTCCAGATTCAAGATAATAAACACATTCCTCCCTCTCCAAAGTTTTCTCCTCCCTCTTTCTAATTCAGCTGTCCTTCTCCCTCCATTCTATTATTCTTCCCCTGAGCTGCCACTTCATGTAATGGAATCGTACAGGACAGGTATTTTTGTTGTTCTGGATTCTGTAAAGTCAGAAGAATCATTTTCACATTGATCCATATCATTTTAAATGTTAATGGTTTGTTCTTTTTCGTTACTAAGTAAAATTCCTTTGTATAGTCATGTGACAGTGTGTCTATCCTCTACCTTAGAAAGAGACATGAGGCTTAATTTTTCCATTTGGTCTTTGTCCTGAAAACCAAAACCCAGAAAGCAGCCCCTTTGCAAGATTTCTCTGTGTATCCTTGCATTTTGCAATTCCATGATCAATTGACAGGGAAAACGTCCAATTGATATTGTGTTTAAAATTGTTCAAA
The DNA here is from genome assembly GCF_000001405.40 of Homo sapiens. Taxonomy (NCBI): domain Eukaryota; kingdom Metazoa; phylum Chordata; class Mammalia; order Primates; family Hominidae; genus Homo; species Homo sapiens. Next base: position 64,385,898 of record NC_000007.14, read on the forward strand.
CATATAGAACATAAATAATAATTATTTTGGAACTCTTCTTGAAAGGAAAAATCACTGACATGAGACAAGTGATTTTTGCAATTACCATCAACATTTTATTATAAAAATGTTCATACATAGAGCATTGATTTGTTAACATTTTAATGAACATGACTTAATGCATATCTACCCATCTTTCCATTCCTCCATCCACTCATCACCTCATCTTGTTTTAGATGTATTTCCAACTAAATTGGAGATATCAACATACTTCACACTGAATGGTTTAGCAAGACTAACGTTAACTGAAATTCAGTATTTTTTAATAAAATTTTCTTCTAAGGAACAGTGATATAGAAGAAAATATACAAATCCTAAGTGTGAGTTTACTAACTTTGAAACCAGCACACTCCCACCCCCTTTCAAGATCTACAATATTATGTCACCCCAGAAAGGAAACTGTCTCTCTTCCCAGCCAATCCCTTTCTCATCATAGGTTAATTTTGCTTAATCTAGAATTTCATGTATATAGATGCAGGCCATGCCATAGGTACTCTTTTGTGTCTGCCTTATTCTGCTCAACACAATGTTTCTGAAATTATTCCCATTGTTGCATGGATTTCTAATTCAATTCTTTCCATTTAGGACTCAGCATATGTGTAGTCCTACCTGTTGAATGCCTGTCTCTGTTTAATTCATCATCTTGAAAGAAATATTTAAAATTAAGATGTTTTCAAGAACATACAGCTAAATCCTGAACAATCTGTGTAAGAATCTTATCAGAAGCCATTATCATTGTGGATATTGTGTTTTACAAAAAAAATTCAGGGAAAAGATTTATTAGCATAATAATTATAAAAAATCTGCCATTAACATTATGAAAATTAAATAGTTTGATGTTCATTTAATAGAATGTCAACAGAGCTTTCAGTCAAAAATAAGTTTTTTTTTACCATTGTGTTCTTTATCAGAAATAAAGTATGAAGTTTCACCACTTAAATAGAAAATTATTTCTACACTTTTCTGCCTTATAGTTCTATGGTATGGGTGGAAGGAAAGCTTCTACTTTCCTCTCTAAATGTTCACTGCAGAAATAATCTGACAACAGACAGCTTAACAGAAGAAGAAAAACATACAACCTTATTAACAGACATAAACATGGGAGCCAGCCAAAAAATGAGACTACAACAAGAGCCAGATTCTTGATGATTAAAGAGCACCCTCTTCCCAGGGGAGAGGGAGATGGAGATGTAGGTAATTTAGAGGGGCACCACATGATTTTTAGGGGAAATGAAAGAGCTCAAGGAACAAACAATTGTCCTGACACAAAATTCCTCTGAGATTGTAGGGAAGAGGCGACAAACTGCAGGAAGGTGAAAAAAAGAACAGCACTGCATCTCATGAGGAAGAGAAAACCCTCCAAATAACAAATAAGAAGTGTGTCTGGATAGGGTAATAAGTTGTCATTTCAAATGACATCATTCAAAGTGCATGTTCCCGGTTGCAATTGGAGAGAGATCAGTATGTCAAAAGTCTGTACTTGATAAGAATTTGGCAGCTAAGTTGTGCCGTAATTTAGCTTTTAAGCCTTTTTATTTATTGGGTAAACTGAGCTCTACATTTTCACTTGCTATTCATTGTAGTAAAAGTGTCTGGGTGTCTAGGGTCTGAACCTTCTTCTGAACAATGATCTATAAAAAATGCTAATACCACAATAATTGTTTATATTCAAGGAAAGAGAAAGTATGTTTTATTTTTACAACCCAGATAATTACACATCATTCAGCACTGCCCTTCAAGATATGTAGAAAACAGAAAATATATAAGTTATGAAGATATCTAGGCACATTAAACAGTCCCTACCCCGCTTAGTCTTGAACAGAGAATTTTCAATGTAAATTGGAGAAAGTTTTTTATTGAACCACTTTTTAAATATTCCATTAAGAAAAGTTCAGTCGAGCTGTTTGACTTGGACATCTTTGCACCTTCTCATGCATCTCATGATGCACACTTCTGCATCATCTCCTAAGCAGGGAGGTTGCGGGTGGCTCACAGTGTTTCTTCACTTCTCATTTCTTCATGTGTTTGACATTTCTCCTAGCTCTGAACTGTGCCAGCTACTTTTCCCATGAAACCAAGCAGTGGCTGTGGGATAAATGTGGTTGCTCTTTCATCTTTTTAGATCACCTATTGTTTCTATCAAAATCCTACTACAGTTTTTGTTTCTATTCTAGGTGCAAAAATCAGAAAAAAAATTTCTACAAAGAACTTGAAAGATGCTATTTCAATAAATAGCTCAGGAATTTCAGAAGCATATAACCCATATCTGTCATAGGATTTACATTGCATCTTGGCTATGATGAAAACAAATATTTCATGTCTTAGGAGATTAAGATCATACAATCTCTATATGGAATTCTTTGTGATAATTCATTAGTTGGTGAGAACGTTTTGTTAGGTTTAAACCAGCCTCAGTGAAGCTGGTGTCAGGGAAGGGAAAGTGGACTTTGAACAGAGCAGAAACAGAAGAAAGATGCTCTGCTGCAGGTCAGGAAAAAGCAGGGGGTGAAATGTTACAAATTCTAGAACTCAGAGAACTGAAGGTAATTACTTCCTTTTCAAATTGTGAAACATTTTAACCTGTGGTAAAATATTCATAACATGATAATTACCATCTAACCACGTTGAAGTCTACAGTTCAGTTATTTGAAGTATATTCGTGTCATTGCTCAATTATTATTTGCTAAATGTCTTCTCTCAAGTCCTTCTTAAAGTCATAAAATGTAAACGATGAATCCATGGATTAACAGTGGAAAGCCTGGAGGTCCAATAGCCTTAGCCAGGAACATATGCTATCTGTCAGAGTCCCCATAGCATGAAAGTGAGTTCGCCCTGGAAAGGGAAAAAACAGCTTTTTGCCCTCAGCTTTCTCACCTTCTTCTTTTCCCACCTGAACCAACGATTCAGGTCCACCTGTATGCATACAAAGAAAAGGGGTTTATCTTTTCCAGGAATTAAAATTGACCTGCAAGACGTCTTTACTTCATGGAGATCTGTAGAAGCTGAAGTCCAAAATGTGACGATGAAGCTCGGCAATTACAAAATCTATAGATAAAGAAAGACTGCCAAGGAAGAGTAAGATATTCATTGACACAAATGCTGTTGTATGAACCATGTCCCAATGAAAGTAGACAACTGTAATGTCCTTGAGAATATTTTCTGCAATATTTGTGGCAAATTCAGTGGGCATAAAATTGAGTTTTTTCTTCATGCTTTATTAGTTCAATCTTCATATTTTCTTTTCCTTCCTACATTCTTGTTTGTAATTTTTTAGGGGGAAGAGGAGGTACTGGTACTGGCATCATTCAATTTAATGCTTGGGTCACCTCTGGATTCATTATCACAGTCTTAGCTTTTGGTCATATTACATTGTATTTTTCTGCCATATGAATACTCTATTTAAATTAATTGTGAGATGCTGATTAATAATCTTTAGCAATGAAACGAAGCCTACTAGCATTTTATCTTGCTGCAGAAAAGATGGGAGTCTACTTCTGGGTTATGGTCAGGGTTCCTAGCACACCTGGATGCCCTTTAGATAGTCAGCCCTCTATATACTCAGCAACTGAGGTCATCAGTGCAGGCTCAGCCCCTACAAAGGCCAGGGTATTTCCTGTCCACCTCTATTGCTGGTGTGTGATTCTTCTGGGTTCCAACCAAAGCCAGTGGACTTCAGTAGGGGTCACCTTCATTGGCAGACCCTCAATCCACTTCTTTTCCATCTAATCCCATGCATGTGTGCAAAAGCTGCTCTGCTTCTTTGCATCTCAGTAGTCCCTTTCAGAATCCAAAGATGAAACTCAGGGAAATGGGCTCCAAATGTGAGACTGACCTTCTTTCTGAGTTTTCTTCTTCTCCATCTCAGCCTCATGTCCGTTTACTTCTGTGTTAGCAATTTGATGAATTAAATTATGGGTTTTATATACTGTCTGGTGTTTCCCATTGTTCTCATAGGAGATCAGAAACCTCAGATGCACTCGTGTCTACTCAAGAGCAGAATCCTTCCTTAGATTCCTTCCAGACTCAGGTTTTGTGTTTTTTAGTTTCCAAGGGCACAGCAGGAGTAGTGATGTCCTCACTAGCTTTTCACTTGCACTAAACTGTGACCTCATTTAGGGTGAGGACAGGAACCTGCTCCCATTTCAGCTTTAGCACCTCACAACACACTCCTTGCTTGAGGTCACTCCAGGCAGCATGTGTTGAAGGATGGCCTGGGTGGTCAGAAACAAGTGCATTAACTTTCTCTTTGAAGAGTTTTTGTTCCTGTTTCCTAGAGTTATTGGAATTTTACATGTCCTCCATATGAAATCAAGTATTAAGTGAGATCCTTGGAGTCAGAACCATGAATCAAGTAGTGTGAAGGCAACACAGCAAACCTACCTTTTTAGGCCATTTTCTTTTTCTGCACTCACTCTCTATGAACTGAACCTTGTTAAAGTTGCTCAACAGCAGGGTGGATGATATGCAGTTGTCACCAATTTTCAGGACATAACACCCTGACTAAGGAGCCATTTAGATCATTTCTAATTCAGTATATATGCCCAGCACTCAAATTAGCCTTATCTCTCAATAAGGAGCTTTAAAGTCGATGATGAGAGTTCCATTCCTCAATTATGGAAATGTACAGTGGTGAACTGCAGGGTTAATGACACCATGTTCTGGAAGGATCTCTCTAAGACTGATTGTCAGGATTCTGACATTAGCCTCTGATAGAGAATCAGATCTGCCACGGGAGGAGAAAGATGAGTAGTGATTCCTACTCCATCCTGATAGAGTTAGTTTTGATGATTTGGTGAGGTCTGGTTTTCCACACTAAACTAAAATGAGCTTTTGCCGTGTCAAGCACAAGGCTGACCCCAGAAGCAGACATAGTGCATCTCACAGAAGCTTGTAATAGTCTTTACTTACTAAAGAATAGGACTATAGACCTATTAAGATGAGCTGGAAATAACAGGTTACTTGCTAGCAGGCCAGAGTGATTTTTCTTTGTCCCTCAATGGGAGGTGTCAATTCTTCCTCCAGTTGTAAGGATCAGTTGCTTCACTTATGGGAAGGTTGGCAGAGGACCTTCGAATCATGGCCTTCAGACGTCAGAAGGGAAGAGAGAATCCCACATGGGCTAGTGAATCGTGTGCATGTATTTCCCTTCTCACCTCAGGAAGCTGGGAATGAAAGAACGTGAGTGAGCAGAAAAGAAGAGACAGCTGTCAGAGGCAGAGGAAAATGTAAAATTGATTATGGAAAAAATAGACATCTACATGTGAGTTCAGAAATTGAACACCAGCCTCTTGGGAAACTTCCATTGGAGTGTTTTGTTTTCAACTTTTTTACAATGTTTAGACCCAGTTAACACAGAAATAGAAACAAATGGTCAGAAGACATATCTAAAGAGAGAATTCACACAAGGGAGAACAAAGTACCTTAAGATTTAACAGTGACCAAAACATGTGAAGTAGCAAAACATCTCCTGACCCCAATGCAGGTCAGGCTGTGAGGAATCTAGGTTCATACCAGCCTTTCTAGGGATTGTGTGAGTTTTTGTCATCCTTAGAAAAGCATGTTGTTGTAGGATCAGCCGCATTCTTCAAACTGACTGTGCCTGTTGAGAAGCCCAGCTTTTTCTGCCCTGTGAAATATGGCAAAGACATTAATACAAGGAGAATGGAGCTTTATGATAAAAGATGACAAGTGAAGGATGAATTAGGGACATACCAAGAATAGGTAAGAAAATTGTCAACTCAGAAACCATCAGGCATTAAGTAAAGCAGGAGGAATCATTATAGCAACACTTTTGATCATACTGTACTTTTATAACCATGTGAAAAACGTTTTCTATGTATAGATTTACATAGGATACAGTTATGGGGATAACAGGAACATTACAGATTATTTAAAATCATACTGAAAATGGTGCTTTATCTGATGAAAGTGATTCTAAATCATAGGAAAATGATTTAAGACATGCAAGAGCTGTGGCAGCAGGTAGAGGACTACTATAGATGCGAGTTAAGAAGCCTTCCTCCCCACAGTTACGGAAGCTTTCAGTGCTGATGCAGATGATTCCACGACACTTGGACTCTCTCAACATGTAATTTTTCATGTGTTGGCTTTTTCATATCATGCCTTCTGCAAGAAAGGCTCTCGAAGAATCCTGTCTCCCAAGGGAGGAGTCAGACAGGGATCAAGAAGAGTCAGACAAGAGCGATCTCCTGCCTCCCAGATGCTCCATTTTGACTGAGTTAGTTGTGAACTTGTTAAATACTACAAAAAAGTGTTCTGAACTTGTTGAATCAAAACATGGGTTTTTTCTTTGATATAAGGTAGCACATCACAAAGCATTTACTCAGATAGTTGTTTCTAGCTTTTAGGACTGGATATTTGTATGTACCCATGAAAGCTCAATGGGCTCAGACATGCCACTTCTTAAATTCTACAAAAAGAGTATTTGGAACTTGTTTTATCAAAAGGCATGTTTAATTCTGTGATATAAACAATACATCACAAAGTGTTTTCACAAATAGCTTATTTCTAGTTTTTAGGGCTGGATATTTCTATTTTCATGCAAAAGCTCAATAGGTTCAGAAACATCACTTCTTAGATTCTACAAGAAGCCTGTTACAAACTTGCTGAATCAAAACAGGTTCCATTCTGTAATATAAAATAGCATACCCCAGAGCATTTTCACAAATAGATTATTACTCACTCTTAGAACTGGATATTCATATGTCTCTGTAAATGTTCAATAGGCTTTGAAATGTCACTTAGATTCTACAAAAGAAGTATTTGAAACTTGTTTCATCAAAATGAAGGTTTAATTCTGTGATATAAAACAGCACATCACAAAACGTTTTTACAGATAGATTGGGCTTTAGGGCTAGATATTCATATTTTTTATAAGGGCTCAATAGGTTCAGAAACATAACTTTTTAGAATCTATAAAAAGAGTGTTTTGAACTTGTTGAATCAAAACAGGTACAATTGTGTTATATAAAATAGGAAATAACAAAGTGTTTTCACACATAGCTTGTTTCTAGTTTTCAGGGCTGGATTTTTGTATGTTGCTATAAGGACTCAATACACTTAAATATGTCACTTTTTAGATTCTACAAAAAAAGCATTTGGAACCTGTTTTGTCAAAATGCAGGTTCAGTCCTGTGACGTAATACAACATATCACAAAACACTTTAACAGATAGCTTGTTACTAGTTTTTAGGCCTGGATATTCATATTTTCTTATCAGGGCTCAATAGGTCAGAAATGTCACTTCTTAGATTCTACAAAAATCATATTTTGACCTTATTGAATCAAAACACAGGTTCTATTCTGTGATATAAAATGGAACATTACAAAGCATTTTCACAGATAGCTTGTTTCTAGTTTTTAGGACTGGATATTCATAAGTTCCTATAACAAATTAATAGGAAATGTTCCTTCTTAGATTCTACAAGAAGAGTGTTTGGGACCTGTTTTATCAAAATTCAGGTTCAATTCTGTCATATAAAACAGCACATCACAAAGAGTTTTCACAGATAGCTTGTTTCTAGTTTTTAGGACTGTATATTTGTATTTTCTTATAAGGGCTCAATAGGTTTAGAAATGTCACTTTTTAGATTCTATAAAAAGAGTGTTTCAATCTTGTTGAATCAAAACACAGGTTCCATTCTGTGATAAAAAAGAAAAAACAGCAAAACATAAAGCATTTTCACAGATAGCTATTTTCTAGTTTTTAGGGCTGGATATTTGTATTTTCTTGTAAGGGCTCAATAGATTCAGAAATGTCACATCCTAGATTCTACAAAAAACTGTTTCAGACTTATTTAATCAAAACATAGTTTCCATTCTGTGATATAAAATAGCACATCACAAAGCATTCTCACAGCTTGTTTCTAGTTTTTTGGACTGGATATTTGCATGTTCGTATAAAAGCTCAATAAGCTCATCTATGTCTCTTCTTAGATTCTACAAAAAGAGTGTTTTGAACTTGTGGAATCAAATTACAGGTTCCATTCTGTAGTACAAAACAGCACATCACAATGTGTTTTCATACAGAGCTTGTTTCTCATTTTAAGGGCAGGATATTCATATGTTACTATAAGGGCTAAATTAGCTTAAAAAAGTCACTTCTCAGTTTCTACAAAAAGAATGTTTGGAACATGTTTCATCAAAATACACATTTAATTTAGTAATAAAAAACAGCACATCCCAAAGTATTTTCACAGATAACTTGTTTCTAGTTTTTACTGCTAGATATTAGTATTTTCTTATAAGGGTTCAATAGGTTCAGAAATGTCACTTTTTAGATTCTACAAGAAGAGAGTTCTGAACTTGTTGAATCAAAACATAGATTCCATTCTGTGATATAAAACAGCACACCACAAAGCGTCTTCACAGATAGCTTGTTTCTAGTTTTTAGGATTGGATATTCATTCATATGTTCCTATAAAGGCTCAATAGGCTCAAAATTGTTACTTTTTGAATTTTACAAAAAGAACGTTTGGAACCTGTTTCATCAAAATGCAGGTTCAATTCTGTGGTGTAAAATACCAAATAACAAAACATTTTTACAGATAGCTTGTCTCTAATATTTAGTGCTGGATATTCCTACTTTCTTATAAAACCTGAATAGGCTCAGAAAATTAATTCTTAGGTTCTACAAATATAGTGTTTCTAACTTGTATCAAAACACAGGTCCCATTCTGTGAAAAAAAAAATAGCACATCACAAAAATATTTCACAGATAGATTGTTTCTGGTTTATATTGCTAGATACTTGTATTTTCTTATAAAAGCTCAATAGGCTCAGAACTGTCAGTTTTTAGATTCTACAAAAAAGGGTTTAAAATCTGTTTTATCAAAATGTGGATTGAATTCTGTGATATAAAACAGCACATCGCAAAGCATATTCAGGGATAGCTTGATTCCAGTTTTTAGGGCTGGATATTTGTATTTTATTATATGAGCTCAATACGTTCCTAATCATCACTTCATAGATTCTACAAAAAAGTATTTTAAACTTGTTGAATAAAAAAAGGTTACATTCGTTGAAACAAAACAGCAGAACACAAGCGTTTTCACAGATAGCTTGTTTCTACTTTTTAGGACTGGATATTTGTATTTTCTTATAAGGGCTCAATAGATTTAGTAACATCACATATTAGATTCTACAAAAAGACTTTCAAACTTGTTGAATCAAAACACGGGTTCCATTCTGTGACATAATACAGCACATCACACAGTGTTCTCACAGATAGCTTGTTTCTAGTTTTTAAAGCTGGATATACCTATTTTCTTCCAAACACTCAATAGGTTTGGAACCGTCACTTCTTAGATTTCACAAAAAGAGTGTTTTGAACTTGTTGAATCAAAACACAGGTTCCATTCTGTGACATAAATACCACATCACGAAGCATTTTTACATATAGCTTGTTTCTAGTTTATAGAACTGGATATTAATATATTACTACAGGGGCTCAATAGGCTCAGTAATGTCACTTCTAAGATTCTACAGAAAGGCTGTTTGGAACCTGATTTGTCAAAACACAAGTTAGATGCTGTGCTATAAAATAGCACATCAGAAATTGTTTTCACAGATAGATTGTTTCTAGTTTTTAGGACTGGATATTTTTATGTTCCTATAAGGGCTCAATAGGCTCAGAAATGCCATTTTTAATTTCTACCAAAAGAGTGTTTGGAACCTGTTTCATCAAAATGCAGGTTCGCTTCTGAAATATAAAACAGCACATCACAAAGCATTTTCACAAATAGCTTTTTTCTAGTTTTTAGGACTGAATATTCACTTGTTCCTATAAGGGCTTAATAGGCTTGGAAATGTCACTTCTTTGATCGTGCAAAGAGAGTGTTTGGAACATATTTTATCAAAATGGAGGATCCATTTGGTGATATAAAGCAGCAAATCACAAAAGGTTTTCACAAATAGGTTGTTTCTAGATTTTAGGACTGAATATTCATGTGTTCCTATAAGGGCTCATTGGGCTTGGAAATGTCACTTTTTAGCATCTACGAAAAGAGTGTTTGGAACCTGTTTCATCAAAATGCACGTTCAATGCTGTGTTTAAAAAGAGCACATCACAAAATGTTTTCATAGAGGGCTTGTTTCTAGTTTGTAGAGCTGGATATTCGTATGTTCTCATAAAAACTCAATAGGCAAGGAAATGTCACTTTTAGATTCTATGTAATTTTTGCTTGGAACCTGTTTCATTAAAACACAGGTTCAATTCTGTGATATAAAACAGCACATCACAAAGAGTTTTCACAGATAGCCTGTTTCTAATTTTTAAGACGATATTTGTATATTTTTATAAGGGCTCACTAGGCAGGGAAACGTCACTTCTTAGATTCTACAAAAAGATTATTTGGAACCTGTTTCATCAAAATGCAGGTTGAATTCTTGGATATAAAATAGCACATCCCAAAGCATTTTCACAGATGTCTTGTTTCTAATTTATAAAACTGGATATTTGTATGGTCCTAGAAGTGCTCATTAGTCTTGGAAATGTCACTGCTTAGATTCCACAAAAAGAGTGTTTGAAACCTATTTAATCAAGATGCAGTTTCAATTTCATGATATAAAACAGCACATCACAAAGTATTTTCACAAGTAGGTTGTTTCAAGTTTTTAGGGCTGCGTATTCATATGTTTCTATAAGGGCTCAATAGGCTTGGAAATGTCACTCGTTGGCATCTACACAAAGAGTGTTTGTAATCTGTTTCACGAAAATGCAGGTTCAATTCTGTGATGCAGAACAGCACATTACAAAGTATTTTTACAGATAGATTGTTTCTAGTTTTTAGGACTGGAAATTCATATTTTCTTATAAGGACTCAATAGTTTGGAAACATCACTTTTAGATTCTATAAAAAGGGTGTTTCATCCTTGTTGAATAAAAACAAAGATTTCATTTTGTGATATAGAACAGCACATTATAAAGTGTTTTCACAGATAGCTTGTTTCTAGTTTTCAGGGTTGGGTATTTTTATGTTCCTATAAGTGCTCAATAGATTCAGATACGTCAATTCCTAGAATCCCCAAAAAGAGTGTTTCAAACATGTTTCATCAAAATGCATGTTCAATCTGTGAGACAGAACCGCAGATCACAAAACGTTTTCACATATAGCTTGTTTCTAGTTTTTCATGTGTATATATGTACTTTTTAATAAGGTCTTATTAAGTTTGGAAATGGTACCACTTAGATTCTACAAAAAGAGTGTTTCAAACTTGTTGAACCAAAATACAGGCTCCATTCTGTCATATAAAACAGCACATCACAAAGCATTTTTACAGATAGCTTGTTCCCATTTTTTAGGACTGGATCTTCTTATGTTCCTATAAGAGCTAAGTAGGCTCAGTAATGTCACTCTTTCAATTCTAAAAAAAAGAGTGTTTGGAACCTATTTCATTAAAACACTGATTCAACTTGGGGATATAAAACAGTGCATCAAAAGCATTTTTACAAATAGCTTGTTTCTAGGTTTTAGGGCTTGATATTCTAATTTTCTTATAGGGGTTCAATAGGTTTGGAAATGTCACCTCTTAGATTCTACAGAAGAGTATTTTGAACTCGTTGAATAAAAACACAGGTTCTTTTCTGTGATGTAAAACAGCACATTACAAGGCGTTTTTATGTACAGCTTGTTTCTGGTTTTTAGAACTGGATATTTGTATTTTTTCATAATGCTCAATAGGTTCAGAAACACAACATTTTAGATCCTACAAATAGACTGAAAGTTGCTGAATCAAAACACAGGTTCAATGCTGTAATATAAAACAGCACAACACAAAGTGTTTTCACAAATAACTTGTTTCTAGGATTTTGGGTGGATATTTGTACTTTCTTGTTAGGTCTTAATAGATTCACAAATAGCACTACTTAGATTCCACACAGAGTGTTTTGAACTTGTTGAATCAAAACAAAGCTTCCATTCTGTGACATAAAACAGCTCATCACAAAGCGTTTTTACAGAAGCTTGTTTCTAGTTTTAGTTTTTAGGACTGGGTACTCTTATGTTCCTATAAGAGTTCAATAGGTTCAGTAATGTCACTTCTTACATTTTAAAAAAAGATCATTTGAAACCTATTCATAGAAACACTGATTCAATTCAATGATATAAAACAGCATATCACAAATCATTTTCACAGATAGTTTTTTTTTTTTTTTTTTGAGATGGAGTCTCACTCTGTCACCCAGGCTGGAGTGCAGTGGCGTGACCTCAGCTCACTGCAAGCTCCGCCTCCTGGGTTCATGCCATTCTCTTGCCTCAGCCTCCCAAGTAGCTGGCATTACAGGTGCCCGCCACCATGTCCAGCTAATTTTTTGTATTTTTTAGTTTCACCACGTTAGCCAGTATGGTCTCGATCTCCTGACCTTGTGATCCACCCGCCTCAGCCTCCCAAAGTGCTGGGATTACAGGCGTGAGCCACTGCGCCCGGCCTGTTTCTAGTTTTTAAGGCATGATTTTTGTATTTTCTTATAGGGGCTCAATGGCTTCAGAAATAACACTTCCTAGAGTCTACAAAAGAGTGTTTTGAACTTGTTGAATCAAAACACAGGTTGTATTCTGTAATATAAAACAGCACATCACAAAGCATTTTCACAGATAGCTTGTTTCTAGTTTTTATGGCTAGATATTCATATTTTCCCATAAGGGCTCAATGGGGTAAGAAATGTCACTTCTCAGATTTTACAAGAAGAATGTTTGTAACTTGTTGAATCAGAACGCATGTACCATATTGTGATATAAAACAGCACACGACAAAGCATTTTCACAGATGGCTTTTTTGTAGTTCTTGGGACTGAATATTTGCATATTCTTATAAGGGCCCAGTAGGCTCAGAAATGTAACTTTTTAGACTCTACAAAAACAATGTTTTGAACACTGTTTTATAAAAATGCAGGATCAGTTCTGTGATATACAACAGCAAATCCCTAAGCATTTTCACAGATACGTTGTTCATAGTTTTTAGGGCTGAATATTTGAATTTTCTCATAAAGCCTAAATAAGTTTGGAAATGTCACTACTAAGATTCTACAAAAAGATTGTTTTGCACTTGTTTCATCAAAATGCGGGTTTAATCATGTGAAATAAAACAGCACATCACAAAGCATTTTTACAGATAGCTTGTTTCTAAGTTTTAGGACTGGATATTCATATTTTCTTTTAAGGACTCAAATTTGGAATGCCACTTTTTAGATTCTACAAAAAGAGTGTTTGGAACCTTTTTCATCAAAACACAGTTTAAATTCTGTGATAGAAAACCACACATCAGAAAGCGTTTTTACAGATAGTTTTTTTTGTTGTTTTTAGGGCTGAATATTTATATTTTCTAATAAAGGCTCAATAGCTTTGGAAACTTTACTTTTTAGATTCCAGGAAAAGTGTGTTTAGAACTTGTTGAATCAAAACAGAGTTTCCCTTTTGTGATGTAAAACTGCACATTACAAAGCATTTTCACAGATAGTTTGTTTCTATTATTAAGGGCTAGATATTGATATATTCCTATAAAAGCTCAATAAGTTCAGAAAGGTCGCATCATAGTTTCTGCAGAAAGAGCATTTGGAACATGTTTCATTAAAATGAAGTTCAATTCTGTGATGTAAAACAGGACATCACAAAGTGTTTTCACAATACGTAACTTCATAATTTCTACAAAAAAAAAGTGTTTCGAATTTGCTGAATCAAAGCATAAGTTTGACAGATTTTTACATATACCTGGGCCAAGCACTTTGATAGTTTGACTCTCCTTTCTTAACAATGTCCTCAGAAGGGATTGTGACACATCTCTGGACCCATTATCTAGGTTACATGTCCCCCCCTTTTGCCTGGACCCTGCCTTCAGTCAGCATTGTAGCATTTCTCAGCACTGCAACCAAACAATACGACTCTTTTGCTTGGGTGGTGTTTACAGGAGACATTGTGAAATATCTCTAGGCCCATCGTTTATGTGATATGACTCTACTCTCCTGCCTGGGCGTGCCCAAAAGGGGCATTGTGCCATAGAGCTGGGCCTAGTCCCCAAGTTTTGTGACTTTTCTCTCAGGACACTGCCTACAAGGAGAATATTGGAATATTTCTGGAAAAGCATTTAGGTGATGTGGCTGGGCTCCCTGTCAAAACCACAGAGGGGATTGTGACATATAGCTAGGTACAGCTCACAGGCATGATAATAACTCTCATATGTGGACCCAGCCAATAAGAGAAATTTTTACTCTCATGACTAGGTTTAGGGACACTAGTAATGTCCTCAATCTCCTTCTAGTATAAAGGTCACAGAAGATTACAATACTCACACATGTTATATAAAGACCTGTGTTGTACAGAGAGTGTCATAACATGGCCCAGCACACAAGTGAAATTCTGAGTCTCATATGCACACCCAGCTGACAGTAAGAACTGTCACTGTCTCACATGTATGAAGCCAACTCTCACACATGAAAACAGGACATATGTGGCATTGCAAATCTCATCCCTGGAATTCTCTGCCAGTGTGATTGTGATATATATCTTTGCCAAGGACCTGTGTGATTTGACTCTCCAGATTGTTTCCAGCCCATATATGGGACTGTGATGTCTATCTGGGCTAACCTCTTGTGATGTGACTACTCTGCCTGGGGCCTGCTCTCACTAAGGATTGTGACATATATCTGGATCAAGCACCCAGGTGATGTTACATTCTTGCATGCACCATGACCACAGAAATTACTGTGATATGTCACTGTGTCCACCACTTAGTTGACATGACTCTCCTCTCTGGAATGGGCCCTGCATATGGGTGGGGATACTGACATATTGCTAGGCCATGCTCACAGGTGATGGTACTTTTTTGCCAGGGCCATGCTTCACATAGGACATTGTGACACATCTCTGGGCCTATCACCTAGGTGATGTGACTTTCTTCTTGGGTCCTGACCACATGGAGCATTGTGACATACGGGTGGAACCTGCACCTAGGTGATGTAACCCTCTTGCCTGGGTTTTGTTTTAAGGGAGCCTTATGACATATCTCAGGACCCAGCACTCAGTTTATGTGGTTCTTCTGCCCAGTTTCTGCCCACATGTTAGACTGTGACAAATACATAGGGAAGCACCTAGGTGATAAGATTCTTTTTTTCTACCTCAAGCCTGCATACTGGGGAAATTGGAACACATCTCTGAGCCCATGACATAACTGATATGACTTTCTTCTCTTGCCTGGATCTTTACAATGCGGGGATTGTGACATATTTCTGAGCCCAGCCCTTAGGTAATATGACTATCCTCATTTTTCTGAATCATGCACACAAGGGGAAATTTTGATCTATTGCAGGGCCCAGAACCCAAATGATGTTACTCTTCTGCCTAAGTCCTGAATTAAGATGGAATTATGGCATATTGCTGGGCCCAGCACCCTGATGATGTGACTCTCCTGCCTGTTCCAGAGCCACAGAAGGTATTTTAGCCTGTCTTAGACCCATCCTTTAGGTGTTTGGGCTCTCATGCCTCATCTGTGTTTATTCCACATGTATTAGTCTGTCACATTGCTGGGTCCAGCACCCAGTTTATGTGACCCTCCTTCTTAGGGCCTGCCTAGAGAGGGCATTGTGACATACTGCTAGATCAAGCACACAAGTGTTGGTACTCTTTTGCCAGGGCCATGTTTCAAGGAGGACGTTGTGACATATCTCTGGGCCTATCACCTAGGTGATGTGACTTTCTGCTTGGGCCTTGCCCACATGGAACATTGTGAAATAAGGGTGGAACCTGCACCTAGGTGATGTTACTCTTTTGCCTGGTGTGATGGTTAATACTGCATGTCAACTTGATTATACTGAAGAATGCAAAGTATTGATTCTGGGTGTGTCTGTGAGGGTGTTGCCAAAGGAGATTAACATTTGAGTCAGTAGGCTGGGAAAGGCAGACCCACCCTTAATCTGGCGGGCACCATCTAATCACCTGCCAGTGAATATAAAGCAGGTAGAAAAATGTGAAAAGGCGAGACTGGCCTAGCCTTCCAGCTGACATCTTTCTCTTGTGCTAGATGCTTCCTGCCCTCAAACATCGGATTCCAAGTTCTTCAGTTTTGGGACTCGGACTGGCTCTCCTTGCTCCTCAGCTTGCTGACAGCCTGTTGTTGGACCTTGTGATCATGTAAGTTAATAATAAACTAACTCCCATATATATGGGAGTTTATTTTATATATATAATATTTTATATTTATATATATGTGTGTGTGTGTGTATATATATATATAGTCTGTTAGTTCTGCCCCCCTAGAGAACTCTAATACAGATTTTGGTACCAGTATTGGTTCTAACAGAATATTAAGGATGGAGTTCTTTTATTGGTTTTGGGGTTTCTGGAGTTGGCTGCTTAATATGATTAGACCCCAAAATGCTAAGGAGTCTACTTCTAATAGTATGAAGAACACTGATAGTCCTTGGCATGAACTGTTTAGAGAGTTATGCAAAATAAATGCATTTGATGCTCCTGATTTACTGCTTGTGAGGGGCAAGAAGTTTAGTGACTCTACACATAATACCTTTGACCATATGTGGAGAACCATGGAACATAGTGAAGCTTGTTGGTTGCTCCTAAGTTCAGCAGACAAAGTGATGAAAGAAAATGACGACATCAGGGATGCCATCTCCTGGCTTCAGAAGCAAATACGGAGCCTCAAATCTGCTAAGATTGCCCTGAATGAGAGTCTTATCTGATGTAGAGAAAGAGCTGAAATTGTGGAAAAACAGACACAAGCTTTTACCATGCAAGTGGCTGACCTGCAATGGAAGATGCATGCACAGCCTCTCCAGGTGTCTACTATTAAAGTGAGGGCATTGATTGGAGAAGAATGAGATCCTGAAACTTGGAAGAGGGATGTGTGGGAGTACCCTGATGAAGCTGCGGACACCGAATTTTTAAACTCTGATGAACCTGTTTTACCAGAAGGAACAGCTTCCCCATCCCCAGGAGTGGCAACATCCCCTTCCCAACCCATGCCATCAGCCTTTCCACCTTTGTCTGAGGAGATAAACCCTGGGTTGCCTGAGAATATTCTGTTCCTCTAGATGGCCTCCCCTGAGGCAGTTGCCAGGCAAGATAACGTTGATTCTCCACAGGAGCCACCCCCAACATCCCATTTGCTTCTAGACCTATAACTAGACTAAAGTCCCTGTGGGCCCTAGAGGTGGGGTTCAGAGTGTGACCCTGAGAAGGTATGCTACACTCAAAAAGAACTGTTTGAGCTCTCTAATTTATATAAACAGAAATCTGGAGAATGGGCATGGGAATGGATATTAAGGGTAAGGGATAATGGTGGAAGGAACATAGAGTTGGATAAGGCTGAATTTACTGATTTGGGCCTACTAAGTAGGGACTCTGCTTTTAATGTTGCAGCTTGGGGAGTTGAAAAAGTTTCTAACAGTTTATTTGCTTGGTTAGCTGAAATATGGATTAAAAGATGGCCCTCTGTGAGTGAGCTGAAAATGCTTGATCTCCCTTGGTTTAATGTAGAGGAAGGTATCCAAAGGCCTAGAGAGATTGGGATGGTGGAGTGGATTAGTCACTTTAGACCTACTCATCCCAGCTGGGAAGGTCCAGAAGATATACCCCTGACCAATGCCTTCTGATATTGTTTGTGATAGGTGTGTGGGGGCAGCACCCGCATCTTTGAAGAGCCCTGTAATTGCTCTTCTCTGTATGTCAGATCTAATGGTGGGAAATGCGGTCACTCAGCTACAAAATTTAAATTCAGTGGGAATCATTGGATCCCAAGGTGGCAGGGGCCAAGTGGTGGCACTCAGCCATCAAAGGCAAGGTGGGTGTAGTTACCATAATGGACAGCAGAGGCAAAGTGGCAGTCAGAATAGTCTCACTTGTGCAGAGCTCTGGCATTGGCTAATTAATCGCGGTGTTCCTAGAGATGAAACTGATAGGATGCCTACTGCATTCCTACTTAATTTATATAAGGAGAAAACTTCTAGGTTGAATGGACAAAAGACTAATTTAAATTATAAAAACAGAGAATCATGGCACCTCAATCAATTTCCAGACTTGAGCCAGTTTACAGACCCAGAACCCCTTGAATGAAGGAAGGGGAGGCCAGATTGTCTTGAGGAAGGACCCCACTACATTACTGACAATTTACGTAGTGAATCTTTTACCCATCCTTCCCCAAGCAGACCTCCGTCCTTTTACCAGGGTAATTGTGTAGTGGGGAAAGGAAAATGATCAGACATTTTGGGGACTACTGGACACTGGCTCTGAGCTGACGTTAATTCCAGGGGACCCAAAACGTCATTGTGTCCCTCAGTTGAAGTAGGGGCTTTCTGGCCTCCCAGAATACTAGGGTGAATTTATATTTATTATTTATTTATTTATTTATTTATTTATTTATTTATTTATTTATTTATTGAGACAGAGTCTTGCTCTGTCGCCCAGGCTGGAGTACTGGAGTGCAGTGGCCCGATCTCAGCTCACTGCAAGCTCCGCCTCCCGGGTTCAAGCCATTCTCCTGCCTCAGCCTCCTGAGTAGCTGGGACTACAGGCGCCCGCCACTACACCCGGCTGATTTTTGTATTTTTTAGTAGAGATGGGGTTTCGCTGTGTTAGCCAGGATGGTCTGGATCTCCTGACCTCATGATCCGCCCGCCTCGGCCTCCCAGAGTGCTAGGATTACAGGCCTGAGCCACCGCGCCCGGCCGAATTTATTTTTCTGTAACACCGCCAGGATTCGATGGTGCAAGTCTTGTAGTCCAGAGACATCTTCCTGACGCTGCTCCCCATCTTGTGCCCTCTCTTTCCTGGCATCCTTCCCCTTGCAGAAGGAGGAACTTTTCTCATGTTCTTTCCAGTCCCTCCCTAACAGGGAAGCCTGGAGACTAGGGTGCCTGCTTTCCACTGCAGCCACAAAGTATGGGGGTGCCAGCTAGGAGGTGGTTTCCTGGGGTGCCCTCCCGAGGGTGCTTGGTAGGAGCATCTGCTGTGCTCTGCTCTGAGGACTTTGATCCTCCTGGGCAGAGGACACTGGCATCAAGGGGGCAGCAAGCAGCCCTGCACCCTGGCCCTTTCCTAGCTGGCAGCTGTGGTGTGTCCTACTACCATCTAAGGTGCCCAGGAAAGAAGGGGGCCAGGGCCTGGTCATGGGGGCACCTATTGTTCCTTGAAATTCCATTGGCGGGGTACATGTTTTACTGAAAACTGTCGGTGTGGAGTGCACCATCCTTGCACAAGGTGGGGGGCTTGGTGCCTGGTGCGATTGTGAACCCAGAAAAAAAGACAGGGGTCCTTCTCCCACTGGAACAATTTTTTTTTTTTTTTTTTTGAGATGGAGTATCGCTCTGTCACCCAGGCTGGAGTGCAGTGGCACGATCTTGGCTCGCTGCAGCCTCTGCCTCCCGGGTTCGAGAGATTCTTCTGCCTCAGGCTCCTGTAGCTGGGAGTACAGGCACCCACCACGCCCGGCTAATTCTTGTATTTTTAATAGAGACGGAGTTTCACCATGTTGGCCAGGCTCAAACTCCTGACCTCAAGTGATCCGCCCGCCTCAGCCTCCCAAAGTCCTGGGATTAGAGGTTTGAGCCACTGCCCCCGGCCCTACTGGAACAATTTGTCGCTAGTTCTGGGGCTTCCCTTCCTCCTCTCATACTGGCCCACAGTCTAGTGTTGCTACCTCTGCCCCTAGCAACAGCCTCTGCCGGGGCCCCCTCGCCCCCTCCCCACTCGCCTCTCTTAGAAAACTGCTACCCTGTTGTTTCCTGACTTTTTAATGATCGCCATTCTAACTGGTGTGAGATGGTATCTCATTGTGGTTTTGATTTGCATTTCTCTGATGGCCAGTGATGATGAGCATTTTTTCATGTGTTTTTTGGCTGCATAAATGTCTTCTTTTGAGAAGTGTCTGTTCATATCCTTCGCCCACTTTTTCATGGGGTTGTTTGTTTTTTTCTTGTAAATTTGTTTGAGTTCATTGTAGTTTCTGGATATTAGCCCTTTGTCAGATGAGTAGGTTGCAAAAATTTCCTCCCATTCTGTAGGTTGCCTGTTCACTCTGATGGTGGTTTCCTTTGCTGTGCACAGGCTCTTTAGTTTAATTAATCCCATTTGTCAATTTTGGCTTTTGTTGCCATTGCTTTTGGTGTTTTAGACATGAAGTTCTTGCCCATGCCTATGTCCTGAATGGTATTGCCTAGGTTTTCTTCTAGGGTTTTTATGGTTTTAGGTCTAACATGTAAGTCTTTAATCCATCTTGAATTAATTTTTGTATAAGGTGTAAGGAAGGGATCCAGTTTCAGCTTTCTACATATGACTAGCCAGTTTTCTCAGCACCATTTATTAAATAGGGAATCCTTTCCCCATTTCTTCTTTTTGTCAGATTTGTCAAAGATCAGATAGTTGTAGATATGCGGCATTATTTTTGAGGGCTCTGTTCTGTTCCATTGGCCTATATCTCTGTTTGGTACCAGTACCATGCTGTTTTGATTACTGTAGCCTTGCAGTATAGTTTGAAGTCAGGTAGCGTGATGCCTCTAGCTTTGTTCTTTTGGCTTAGGATTGACTTGCTGGAGAGGATGTGGAGAAATAGGAACACTTTTACACTGTTGGTGGGACTGTAAACTAGTTCAACTATTGTGGAAGTCGGTGTGGCGATTCCTCAGGGATCTAGAAGTAGAAATACCATTTAACCCAGCCATCCCATTACTGGGTATATACCCAAAGGATTATAAATCATGCTGCTATAAAGACACATGCACACGTATGTTTATTGTGGCACTATTCATAATAGCAAAGACTTGGAACCAACCCAAATGTCCAACAATGACAGACTGGATTAAGAAAATGTCGCACATATACACCATGGAATACTATGCAGCCATAAAAAAAGATGAGTTCATGTCCTTTGTAGGGACATGGATGAAGCTGGAAACCATCATTCTCAGCAAACTATCACAAGGACAAGAAACCAAACACCGCATGTTCTCACTCATAGGTGGGAATTGAACAATGAGACCACATGGACACAGGAAGGGGAACATGACACACCAGGGTCTGTTGTGGGGTAGGGGGAGGGAGGAGGGATAGCATTAGGAGATATGCCTAATGTAAATGACGAGTTAATGGGTACAGCACACCAACATGGCACATGTATACATATGTAACAAACCTGCACGTTGTGCACGTGTACCCTAAAACTTAAAGTATAATAATAATAAAAAAATAAATAAGTAAAGATAAAAAAAAAAGAAAGAAAACTGCTACCCTGATGTTTGCTAAGACACAGGGGAGGTTCTTCCCCTCACCGACCCCCTCCCTAGGAAGCGGCATGTTTTCTGGGCCAAGGGCGCATCGAGGATGTGACCCACTCCCTGGCCAAGTGTGAGGCCGGGGCGTGGCGGCTGATCCCACTGCTCGGCGGGGCACTTTCCTTTCCAGGCAGAGAGGAGCCCTGGAGGGCACCGGGATCCCACCCAGCGCAGAACGCACTGGCCAGCGGGCCGCTTGGCAAGCGCCATGGGCCGCTGGCGACCCTCCTCAGCTCTGCATTAGTGAGAGGTTATGTAGAAGAGGAAAGAAATTTTCCTTGCTTAGCCGATTTGTCCTCCCTCTCTGCTTACTGGTTAGGAGATAGAACCCAGATCCGGGTGGCAATTCACATTCCATTACAAAACTCTACACAGCTTCCGGGCTAGCACCAGCACACATTTGGGGAACATCGGAGGGATTTTCTTCTTCTTTTGTGGGTGGTCATGATCGTGGTAGCGGAGAGACATAGAAGGGTGAATAAAAAATATAACGATTTGGTAAGTCAGAGCACCTGTCTGGGATTTTTATTAACGGAAAATTAAACCTTCGTTCTTAAGAGTTTAAGCTTAGCCCTTTCTAAGTCAATGGAAACAAAGTGCCTGTTGGATAAGAATGCTGAAATAGTAAGACATTTCTGTCTTTAAAAACCTTAAAATGATTTCTGCCAAGACAGAGTTTCCAGTATACCCACATATATTTGAGAGGGTTTGTTTTGTTTTGTTGTTTGTTTGTTTCTGAGACGGAGTCTCACTCTGTCGCCCAGGCTGGAGTGCAGTGGCACGATCTCGGCTCACTGCAACCTCCGCCTCCCGGGTTCAAGCGATTCTCCTGCCTCAGCCTCCCAGGTAGCTGAGGCTACAGGTGCGTGAAAGGGTTTATTTTTCCTTACATATGTAGTTGTCTCTGAATCTGTGCACGATTATTCTGAAGGAAGTTTAATAGAAGTGGAAGGTGAGGGAGAGAACTGCCAAGAGAAGGATGTGATTTTGTTTTCATTTTTTCACACTCATGAAAAGCATCCTCTAGATTTTGTGTTTTTTCAAGTAGGCAGGTATAGTTTTGAAGCCATATTTTAATTAGGGAATCTGAAATTAGAGGCCAAAGTCTTGGCTAAAACCTCTTTGAAAAAACAAAAAGATGCTTAGTTCAGTGCTACATTCAATTGCCACAGAACTTTTGCAGGAATGGGTATGAATTCCTTCTAAAGGATCCTGTGCTCCATTTCAGGTAAATAAAGTTACACTGTCTTATCATTCTTGAAAATACAGCTGGCCGGGCATGTTGGCTCATGCCTGTAATCCCAACACTTTGGGAGGCCTAGGCGGGCAGATCATCTGAGGTCGGGAGTTTGAGACCAGCCTGACCAATATGGAGAAACCCTGTCTCTACTAAAAATACAAAATTAGCTGGGCATGGTGGTGCATGCCTGTAATCCCAGCTACTCGGGAGGCTGAGGCAGGAGAATCGCTTGAACCCTGGAGGTGGAGGTTGCGGTGAGCCAAGATTGCGCCATTGCACTCCAGCCTGGGCAACAAGAGTGAAACTCCGTCTCAAAAAAAAAATATGGCTAAACTGGTAGCATATTAGGGTGTCTTGTTTTTCAAGGGATTTGCTGGATGTGTGATACTTTTAAAAATGCCATGGATGCTCACTGATATATGGAATATCATTCTCTGGGGTTTTCTAGATACCATTTTATTTCTCATCAGAAATTCAGACTCTAAGTTGAAAAATCAGGCAATGAAAGGAGTTCTGATGCTCTTACGTAGCATAAGATCTACTCTGATGGACTTAAGCCATTGTAAAAGTCCCAGCTTGGTTCCTATCAAAAGCCTCTTTCCATGAATGTTATGCTTACAAGTCAAACAGATAAAGCATCACTAAAGCAAACATAAACTACAAAGCTCTTAAAATTTAGGTGTACATTTCATTTGAAAATTATTCAAAAGCTCAAGCCATCTATAAGAAATGTCTTCTTTGCCTTTTAGTATCAAGAAATTAAAAAGAAAGAAGAAAAAGGAGAAGTGGGCAGACACGTGTTTGTTATGTGATAGGGAACATGTATCTCACTGAGCTGGTACAGGTGGTGCACCCATTCCTAACTTGTTACAACCATCCAACAAGTGACCTTTTGATGAAGGGATCTTTTATTTTAAGTTTCTTCAGGCAGATTCCTGAGGTCTTATTTGCATCTGACACAGGTACAGCATGTTACCTTTACCTAAAGCATTTTTTTCTCCTTTAAGAGAAAAAATAAACCTTACCTTATAAGTCCTGCATTTAATCAATAGCTTTTTATTGGCTACCTGGTTTATGCCAGGCACTATACAACATAGGTGTGCTGGTAATAAATGCAACTGCCCTACATCAGGGGTCGCCAACCCCTGGGCCACAGACTGGTATAAAGAGAGACTGTTGCTAGTCTCATAGATGATATGTCACATTGAAAGAGACTCAGCCAGCCATGAAGAGGTCATTTATATCTGTGTTAACTGCTAAAAGTTAAGTATGACAAGAACCTATGAAGTAAAGTTTGGCCTTTGTGTTGGGGGGAGAAATGGAGGATGCTGGGATGCAGGTCAAGGAAGGCATCCCATGGAAGTGACATTTTAACTAATATCTGAGGGATGGGTGACAGGAGGGAAAGAATGCTTCCGAGAACAGTTGGTACAGAAGCCCTGAGGTTGAAAAGGTGGATGTGTCCAGGGTAGTGAGAGAAGTACAGTGTGTTTGGAAGAGGAAAAAAATACTGAATGACGTAAATGACAGGAATGGTGAGGAAGGTAGGGAGTTGACCAGGTTTGTAAGAACTGTGGAAAGCTGTGAAAAGTGTTGGCCCAAAAAGCAGCATGATGATTAGCTGGGCACGGTGGCTCAGGCCTGTAATCACAGCACTTTGGGAGGCTGAGGCAGGCACATCACCTGAGGTCGGGAGTTCGAGACCAGCCAGACCAACATAGAGAAACCCCGTCTCTACTAAAAATACACAATTAGCTGGGTGTGGTTGCACATACCTGTAATCCTAGCTACTCGGGAGGCTGAGGCAGGAAAATCACTTGAATCTGGGAGGCGGAGGTTGTGGTGAGCCGAGATCGCACCATTGCACTCCAGCCTGGGCAACAAGAGTGAAACTCCATCTCAAAAAAAAAAAAAAAAAAAAAAAAAAAAAAAAAAAAGCAGCATAATGATATTTGCATGTTAGGGACTATTTTTCCCCTGGTAAGAGGAAATAATAATTGGCCTTCTCTTTGGAAGGAGATCAGTTAGAAGGCTAGTTTATGAAAATTTTGAAAACTAGTGGTGGCCTGGAGCATCGTGGCAGTAAAGATGGGAGCTCAGATGGATTTGATAGAGAATTAAGAGGTAGGAAAAGCTTGCCAATAGAATGGTGTTGGGAAGGGATGGATGACTTTCCGATCTTGGCTTTTATAGCTGGGTGGATGCTGATGCCTCACTGATACTGGAATGTTGGATTAAGCAATGTTTATGAACACAGCATGTTTTCTACCCTTTATAGAGTTATGCACATGTTTTTCATGTTTTTAGCTTTTTCTCTACTTGTAATGTGTTTTAGTTGGTTAAAAGTTATGTACCTGGCATGGATGAAGCATAAAAAGTACTCATGTAACAGTGAAAATTCAATGTCATTTTCTTACCTATTAAAATAATTAAATGGTTTCCTACTGCCCACTTCTCCTTTTTCTTCTTTCTTTTTAATTTCTTGATACTAACAGGCAAAGAAGACATTTCTTATAGATGGCTTGAGCTTTTGAATAATTTTCAAATGAAATGTACACCTAAATTTTAAGAGCTTTGTAGTTTATGTTTGCTTTAGTGATGCTTTATCTGTTTGACTTGTAAGCATAACATTCATGGAAAGAGGCTTTTGATAGGCACCAAGCTGGGACTTTTACAATGGCTTAAGTCCATCAGAGTAGATCTTATGCTACTTAAGAGCATCAGAACTCCTTTCATTGACTGATTTTTCAACTTATTTCTTAATTGGAACCCCATAAAGAACATGAGTGGTCTTCTGATACCCTTAATGTCTTAGCATTATATCAATATTTTGCTTACCAGTAATCTGTGTGAAAATAAAGTTTATTTAGTAAACGAAAGTTGCTGTGTATCTACTGTATGCTAGGATCTTCACTAGATCTGTGGGTGCCAAAGAAAAAGATCTATTTTACCCCTTTTGCAAAGAGTGAAACTTATTCCCACAGAGTGATTGTCTAACCAGCACTTAAATACATTTGGTGATGGCAGACTTACTACCTACCCCTCGACAGCCCTTGGGTTCCTACTATATTCATTCACTTCTTTTTTTTTTGAAACAGAGTCTCGCTCTGTCGCCCAGGCTGGAGTGCAGTGGCACAATCTCGGCTCACTGCAACCTCCACCTCCCAGGTTCAAGCAATTCTCCTTCCTCAGCCTCCCAAGTAGCTGGGATTACAGGCACCTGCCACCATGCCCAGCTAATTTTTGTATTTCTAGTAGAGACAGGGTTTCACCATTGTGGCCAGGCTGGTCTGGAACTTCTGACCTTGTGAACCACCCGTCTCGGCCTCCCAAAGTGCTGGGATTACAGGCGTAAGCCACCACGCCCAGGCTAATTCATTTTCTTTCCCATGACAAATAAAATCTTTTTGGAACAAGATAGATTGTGATGTGTTTTCTGCTGAGTTGGTACATGCTAGAAGCTGTTGTGCAGACATGTTGTTCTCTGCTTTATTCAACTTAGGAGACAGTGTGCAATCTGATCCCCAGAGAATTCTATCGGGGCATGCTTCAACTACTCAGCAAGTGGACATCTTTTACATGAAGATTTCTGCTCCTGAGAGAAGATATCTGTCTCCTTGGGCTGCACAGCCATCCTCTTATGTGTGAACTGGGCCACAATCCTCTTAAGACAATCTCACATGGAAGTCTTATTGGGACTCTCATTTTGGGCAATGCTTGTCTCTGATGTCATCTAAACAACTTACCAAAACCTCAGGTAACCCCCACTGTGCTCCAAAGAAGGTTCTCTTTTGTGGTGTCAATCCTGACAGATGCAACCTGAACATCCCTTTGGGCCCCAGGGAGCACTGGTCTCTCCATTTTGGAGAGAATGTGATTTTTCATCTCTTGCTTGGGAGCATGGATATTTCTGAATAACCACAACCATAAATTCTATTAAGAGAGACACCACACTTTATTTCATCTCTCTATTAGATAAGATAAACTGAATAGGAAGGAATCAAACATTAAAAAGCCCTCCCTACTCCTCATTTTTTAAAATTGGAATAGCTTGGTGAAGAGATGCTAAAGAGAATACTTCTAAAACTAAGCTTAAGTGTGATTTTTGAAAATTTAAATTTTAAGGTACTCTACAAATAACTCAGAGTGCTTTGCCTCACTGTGACCCAACCATATGTGTGGGTTTAGAAGCCTAATTATATGTTATTTATAAATATAACTTACCAGATAATTGCCTTGTGTGAATATCCAAGATTGAAATCAATAGTATGTTTAGAACCAATTTTTGGTGATGAGCATATATAAGCTAACTTTTGGATAAGCCATGCATAGCTACTTATTTTAAAGAATGCAGGATAGTGGTGACCACACATGCTGTCTGTTGGGTGATGAATTTTTAAAAAATATTTGTGTATTTGCACTATTATAGTGTTGGCTTCCTCAAGGCCCTGGTGTGTTGAATTTGCTATGCTTTGGGGTATGGGCATGTGTTACATACAGCTGTCTTCTAAATATGTTAGACCATCTATTGTGGTAAGATTAAGTGAATGAAAGTTGAATATATTTTCTGTAAGTCCCTGAGAAAATTAATGAAATAAGTGAATAAAGAAATACATGTTTTCGAATTTTAGTGAGTTTACTTCAGAGAAATTAAAAATTGTATCAGGTAAGCCAGGCCATGTAATGTGTCTTAAGGGTGTCTGTGATATGCTCATTCTTTGCACACTCAAAACCACTGTTGGTTAGGCGCAGTGGCTCACACCTGTAATCCCAGCACTTTGGGAGGCCAAGGCAGGTGAATCACTTGAGGTCAGGAGTTCGTGACAAGCCTGACTAACGTGGCAAAACCCCATCTCTACTAAAAATACAAAAAATTAGCCAGCCATGGTGGTGTGCACCTGTAATCCTGGCTACTCGGGAGGCTGAGGCAGGAGAATCAATTGAACCTGGGAGGTGGAGGTTGCAGTGAGTGGAGATCACATCATTGCACTCCAGCCTGGGTGACAGACCGAGACTCCGTTCCAAAAAACAAAACAAAACAAAACAAAACAACCACTGTCATCTTGCTAAGAATGTGGCATTGGGTTACATGCTGTAAAATCACCTTTTCCTCAGAAAAGTGGATGTTCTGCCTTAGAATGAGAGAGTGTGTGTGCATGTTTCATCTTCCTCTGACAGTAAGTGCTGAGAACAGAATAGCCACTCACTTTCTCAGTTTCTCATTGATTTTGCCTCTTTTTAAAAGCAGCTCTAGATTTAGATGGGGTGAGCATGGTGGTCTGTGTGTTCTGAAGCTTGCTTTGTACCTTCATTTATCTGTTCTGCACTGGAGAGTAGATGGTGGGTGGCCACGTGTTTGTTTTGCGTTATGCTCAAAAAAAAGGGAGAAGTATATGTATATTGGGAAAGTGGAGTGGTTAGCACTGATCAAATTCTTATGTTTATAGATTCTGATTTATTTCATTATTACCTTTATAGTAAGTGATTTTTTTTTTTTTTTGAGACGAGTCTCATTCTGTCACCCAGGCTGGAGTGCAGTGGGGTGATCTCGGCTCAGGGAAACCTCTGCCTCCCATGTTCAAGCGATTCTCCTGCCTCACCCTCCCAAGTAGCTGTAATTACAGGCGCCTGCCACCATGCCTAGCTAACTTGTGTATTTTCAGTAGAGACAGGGTTTCACCATGTTGGCCAGGCTGGTTTCAAGCTCTTAACTTCAGGTGATCTGCCCACCTCGGCCTCCCAAAGTGCTGGGATTACAGGCACGAGCCACCACGCCTGGCAGTAAATGAAATTTTGTAAAATCTCATTGGACCAGCTTGTCTCTAAGAAGTCTGATAGTAGCTACTGCTGTCTCTTGTGTCTCTTCAAAAAAACTAAAAACACAGAAATCCTGGCTGGGCACAGTGGCTCACGCCTGTAATCCCAGCACTTTGGGAGGCTGAGGCAGGTAGATCACCTGAGGTCAGGAGTTTGAGATCAGCCTGGCCAACATGCCAAAACCTCATCTCTACTAAAAATACAAAAATCAGCTGAGCACGGCGGCAGGCACCTGTAATCCCAGCTACTCGGGAGGCTGAGGCTGGAGACTTGCTTGAACCTGGGAGACGGAGGTTGCAGCGAGCCAAGATTGCACTACTGTACTCCAGCCTGGGGGACAGAGTGAAACTCCATCTCAAAAATAAATAAATAGACAAACAAACAAACAAACAAACAGAAATCCAGTCTGAAACATCAGAAACTACAACATGCTTATATTACAAATGAATCTGTCTAGACTATTTTTAAATAAGTTTAACCTACAGCATCCAAGTTACAGACAAATTTTGGTGAAAATCATTTCTTAGCCAGACCTGCCTGTATTTGCTTTAAATCAGATAAACCAGAAATTAAGTATTTCATTTTCTCTTCTGCCTGTGCTAGACTTATTACCCCAATAGGTCTCCAGTTTGACAAGTCAAGAATCTAAAGTTATACTTTAATTTTTACCCTTTGTTTGTTGTTAGTTTATGTAGAAACACACTCAGCATGATAGCAGTAGGAGCAGAAGTCAGAAGATCTAACAATTATTGAGCACTAGCTACCAGCATCCTAATTTTTTTTTCTTGTGACATCTCATTCATTCATCACAACAACTCTTTTACACAGAGATGTAGATGTAATTATTATCCTCAGGATTCAAATGAGGAAATAGAGACCCAGGGAGGCGGCCAGCTATTAGAACTCAAACTGTTAAGTGTGTCTCTAGGGCTGTGCTTCTGACCCCTTCCAGACTACCCGCCATAGAGTCATGATCCATTCACCAAACAAATACTAACTGAAAACCTCCTCTGTGCATAGTCCTCCCTGTGAGGCACATCAAGGGAAAAGATGGGCACACCAAGAGAGAAAAAGAAGTGTGCCAGCACAGGGTTCTGGCTTCCAGAAATAGATTACAGCACATTCTAGCTAGTATTTGACAATATAAGTTAGACCTTCACTTCTGTGATGGTCAGGAAGTGAGAGGGATGTTTTGCGGAGGGAGGGGCTTGCAGAGGTGGTGGTAGTACATGAAAGAACTGACTGGGATTTGTGTGCCCTTAGAAAAGGGGAGGTCAACAAGACACTAAAGCAGAAGGTTGACAGAGTGAGATCCAGTGGCAAACTAGAATGAAACTTTGGACAAATCCTGCCAAAGACTGAATTGTTACCATGTTCTTATTGGAAAGGCTAGGCTGTGGAATGGAGATGGTCTTTCACATGGTGGGAGATGTCCTAGAAGTGGAGAAGTGGGCGTGGACTCTAACATTCTGATGGTCTTCTGTGTGGTGGCTGGTGGGGGACTCTTCTGCCTTTTAAAACCTTCCTTGTGGACACTGACTTTTAACCTCACTGAAAGTGCTGAGCCCTGTTCAAAGACTCATATGTAGCTTACTTTTGAAGAGACTTGAAGCTGTAAACTTCATAAGTGTTTGGGAAATTTAGTTTTCTTTGGGTAGGGCCAATGCCTTGAGAACAGGTCCATTGTTTTGTGTTATAAGAGGTTATTGTTATTTTACATAACATAGAAACTCAAGGTTTTGCCTCGGAATTTGTATTGGGGTGATCCCAAGAGGTTTATAACATGTGATATGAGTCAAGTAAGGGCAACAACTGTATTGACCTAATTACTAATCAAATCTAAAAATTTGTCCAAGTTCAAGTGTGATAGCCTCTGGGAGATATTATTTTGTTA
This sequence comes from Homo sapiens, assembly GCF_000001405.40. Taxonomy (NCBI): domain Eukaryota; kingdom Metazoa; phylum Chordata; class Mammalia; order Primates; family Hominidae; genus Homo; species Homo sapiens. The sequence continues at coordinate 64,416,180 of NC_000007.14, forward strand.
TTGTTGTTTTTGAAGCAGGAGGAGTCAAGTGTACTGGAGGACAGTAAAGAGGAAGACCTTCTATCTCTCTTAGAGTGTGTCTGAGATGGGGGTCACCAGTGTGCCTTGTTTATTTTATGAGGGTGCCTGAGCAAGTTATGGAATTGGAAGATTTTGCACTGTGATAAGCACTTGAGGGTCTGTTTCCTGTTTTTTCCTATCTGTGGATGAGGACTATCTTGAAACTAGCAATAAATAGAGAATTTAAGTCATGCATGCTACCAGCTCAATTATAACTGACTTATTTTGTGTATTTAGTACTAGTATCATTATTATCATTGTTATTTTGCTAATGACAATGGGGGAGTTTTAGCAAAATAATAGTGAAAAACCATCTGGATTAGTAGACAGGCATTCTGGCTCATTTTCTCATCTGTTGAATATCACCATCAGCAAGTTTGCATTGGGAACCATTTTTTGACAATTACCCCAGCGCAAGGCTCTAGAACTGCAAAGATGGATAAAATATGATTCCAGTTCTAAAACTCACCAGTGCCTCACAATCAGCAAGAACAAGTGGAGAACATTCAAGTGGAAAGAGAAAGTAATGCTCTCAAATGTGCAGGGTTTGCCATGTGGAAAAGAAAGATGTGGGAATGGGAAAATGTACATTTAGGAAAAAAACAGTTTAAGTATAGGCCTTGGAGTATAAAAATATGAGGCTTACTTGAGGACCGAGTAGGACAAGAAGTGGAGTGTGAGTAGAGAATAGAGTTTGGAAGTGTTGCATAGAGTTGTGATAATAAGAGGTGTTGACCTTGGAAAAATGAATGGGGGGTCGGTTGTGCTGGCTGCTATGAGCCATCAAATGTTTTGGAACAGGGCTGTCATGTGAGCAGCTCTGTGTTTCAGAGAGAACACAGCCAACACAAAGGCAATGTGTTTAGCAAAGTGCAGTGTGAACTTGGAATTTGGTCCCCTCTTTGACAGAATACATTTTCCCTTTTTAAAAAGAGATTTATCAGCCTAGAATGTATGGGCTCCTTTCTATACATGGTTAAATAATAATGGAAAGGTAAGAACATTTATTTTCCACAAATAAAGTTCAATTAGATAATGTTTAAACTTCCCTAATTGTGTTTGAGTAATTGGTACTTGTTTAAGCTCTTTAGAGAGTGGAAATCTTTAGAGGGGAGGAAGTCCTTTTCTCTCAAAAACATTGAGAATGAACACTGGAATCTGAATGGAGATATATATATATAATAATTTTGGACAAATGGTTACTATAATGGGGAGCTCATATGAATCACTAAAATATTAAATAATTGAATAGCAAAATAAGCAGAAGACATGACTAGGCAATTCAAAAAGTAATACACTAAACATATATAAAACCAAGTTACCTAGTTACTAAAATGCATATTAAAATAATGAGATGCCAGTTTTTTACATACCAAAATGGAAAATGTTTTTAAAAATAACATATTTCATTGAACTATTCATAAATGGTAAGTGCAGGGAAACAAGAGCTTTGTAATACTTTTTTTTTTTTTTTTTGAGACGGGGTCTCACTCTGTCACCCAGGCTGGAGTGATGTGATCTCAACTCACTGCATCCTCTGCCTCCTGGGTTCAAGCAATTCTCTTAACTCACCCTTGTAGGGTTACAGGAGTGCACCACCATGCCTACTAATAGAAAAAAGTTTTTTTCTACTAAAAAAAAAAGTTCATATTTTTAGTGGAGATGGGGTTTCACCATTTTGGTCAGGCTGATCTTAAACCTCTGACTTCAAGTGATCCACCTGCCCTGGGAGCCTAAAGTGCTGGGATTACAGGTGTGAGTCTCTGTGCCTGGGCTCTAAGTATAATTGGTGTCCTATTTGTATATGGCAGTTATTGCACTGTGCATCAGCAGCCTTAAAATGTGCTATATTTCTTAATATAGCAATTTTAACTAATAAATTTATCACTTATAATGAAGCAGTGTCGTCTGTCTGGGGTAAATACTTGGGTTTTGTCGTCTCATGCCAAGGAAATTGAGTATGTGGACACACAAGAAGTAGGTTTAGAAGTGGAGGTTTAATAGGCAAAAGAAAGAGAAAGGAAAATAGCTCTCTCTCCTGTGAGGGAGAGGGTTGCCTGAGTGGACTTCCGGCCTGCAGCAAAGCGCACCAGATTTTATAGACCGGCTTGAGGAGGCAGGGTCTGATTTACATATGGCCCAAATATTGGTTGAGCCAGGTGTGATGTTTACACAGTGCACGGGGAAGCTGACTGCCCCCACCTAATCTTCTATAATGCAGATGCGGTCTTTGCCTGGCTGATGCCATGTTGCCTGCTTCTTACTGTACACATGGTTTACAAAGGAAAGGGAAGATAGAGCCACCATTCTGAACATGCCTAGTCCCCAGGTAGCACCTTTTCTTATTGACACAGCTGCCGGCGTTTATCTGTGCAAGCTTCCGTCTTGCTTATCTATGTCTGCAGCTCAATTTTACACACTGCTCTATGTTAGAAAAGAAATAATATGGGGGCTGTTTTTATTAAAATTAAAATTTCTTTTTAGCTCCTGCATCAATAATAGTTAATGTCATGGGAAACATTCATAATGTATTTGCATTTATAAACAAACAAGATAGTAAACTCTTGTGGTTCTTTTTAAGTTATTTATACAAATGTATGGGGTACAAGTATAATTCAATTACATGCATATATTCCACAGTGGTGAGGTCAGGGCTTGTAGGGCATGCATCACTCAAATAATGTAGATTATAGCCATTAAGTAATTTCTCATCTTCTACCCCATCCTAACCCCTCACCCTATTAAGTCAGGTGTCATACTGTGCTGAATCTCAATGACCAACACAACAAAGATACATTGTTTTCTGAGACTCAGTTTTAAAAATCAACCTCAGATAAAAGATGACTCCTAAGCCAATAAAACATTGTATTTGTTGTACACACACACGCACATACACGTGTGTGTGTGTATATATATATATATTTGTTTATACTCAAGAAATGTATGCAGAGTCTTTCCCACTGCACAAACCTAAAAGTAAAGCCAAATGGCCCTATGCAATAAACATCATGGTAATAACTTCAAAAAATAAGCTTCCTCCAATGAATGTAAATTCAAAATAAAAAGAAGAAACTGTTGCTCCAGATGTGCAGAAATCAATATAAAGACACAGGAAGCATGGAAAAGCAAAGTTTATGACACTTTCAAAAGAACACAATAATTTTCCAGTATTCTAACAAAAAAATTCATCGAAATGTCAGACTTTAAAAGACTTTTAAAAAATAGGTTTTAAAGGAGCTCAAAGAGATGCAAGAGAAATCTGAAAACCAATACAAAAATAAATAAATAAATAAATAAATTCAGAGAATGAATGAGAAATGTATCAAGGAGGTAGATATCTTTTAAAAGAAATCCAAACAAAAATTATGGAGGTTTATTGAAGGAAAAAGAAAATACATTTAAAGACTCAATAATAGATGAGAACAGGAATAAAACGAATTTTCAGAACTTGAAAACAGGTCTTTCAAAATAATCTACTCAGACAAAAATAAGGAAAAAAGAATAAAAGAGAATGAACAAAGACTTTGAGATGTTTGGGACTAAATATAGTGACTAAACTTACAAATTATCAGTGTTTTTGAGGGGTAAAAAACATCAACATTTTAGAAAACCTATTTAAGAAAATAATTGAAAACAAAGTTTAAGAAAACTTCCCAAACCTCGCAACAGAGTTAGAAATCCATATACAAGAAGCCCAGCAATCACAGCAAAATACATTGCAAAAGGAATTCGTCATGGCATATGATAATCAGAATATCTAAAGTCAAAATGAAAGAAATAATTCTAAAACCAGCAAAAGAATAGCATCTAGTCATTTATAAAGGAAACCACATCAGACTAACAGCAGACTTCTCAAAAGAAACTTTACTGGCCGGAAGAGAATGGGATGGCACTTTTAAAGATGAAAGGAAAAGAAACTGCCAGCCAAAAATTTTACATTAAGCTAGATTAACCTTCACAAATGAAGAAGAAATAAAGTCTTACCCTGACAAATAAATGCTGGGGAAAGTAATTACCACTAGGCTGGGCCTACAAGAGATGTTCAAAGGATTTCTAATATAAAAACAAAAGATTGATATTCACCATCATTAAAACATGTAGAAGTATAAAATAGGTCTTAAAAAAGAGAGAAAAAGAATAAATATCAAATCACAACACGACAGAATTTTATCAAACCACAAATATAAATAGATTTAAAAAAACTAGAAAGCAACATTATGACAAAAACAAAACCTTACATGTCAATATTAACCTTGAATGCAAATCAATTAAATTCCACATCATGTGGTACAGATTTAGGAAATGGATAAGAAAAGTTGATTCAATACTATGTTGCCTACAAGAATATCACCTTACTTGTAAGACACATACAGACTAAAAGTAAAGGGAGGAATATAGTAACACAAATAGAAACCAAAAGCAAACAGGAGTATCTATACTTACATCAAATAAAACAGACTTTAAATAAAAATCAGTAACAAAAAGGATAAAGAAGGTAATCATCCAATAATAAAGATTCAATTCAGCAAGAGGATATAACAATTCTGAATATATATGCACCCAACATCAAAGCACCCAGATTTTTTAAAAAATTACTAAACCTATAGAAAAAGATAGACATCAATACAATAGTGGAGAAATTTAAAATTCTACTCACAGCATTAGAGAGATCATTGAAATAGAAAAGCTGAAAAATAATTATTTGACTTAAATTGGACTTTAGATCTAATGGACCTAAAAGACATCTGCAGAACATGTTTCCCACTCAATCGTAGAATATACACTCCTGTCATCAAAACATAGAACATTCTGCAACATAGACCATGTGGTATGAATAAAACAAGTCTCAACAAAGTACCCCCCAAAATCAAAATTATATCAACTACCTTTTTAAACCACAGTAGAATAAAACTACAAATCAATATGAAGAGGAATTTCAGAAACTAAAATTATGAAGAAATTAAACAACATGCTCTTAAACAGTCACCGTGTCAATTAAGAAATTAAGATGGTCAGCCGGGGGTGGTGGCTCACACCTGTAACCCCAGCACTTTGAGAGGCTGAGGCAGGTGGATCACCTGAAGTCAGGAGTTTGAGACTAGCCTGGGAAACATGGCAAAACCCTGTGTCTACCAAAAATACAAAAAAAAAAAAAAAATCTGGGTGTGGTGATGTGCACCTGTGGTCCCAGCTACTCAGGAGGCTGAGGTTGGAGGCTCACTTGAGCCAAGAGGTGGAGATTGCAGTGAGCCAAGATCATGCCATTACACTCCAGCCTGGGTGACAGAGTGAGACCCCATCTCAAGTAAAAAATTAAGATGAAAAGTAAAAATTTGTGGGAACAAATTGGAAATAGAGACGCAATATAATAAAACCTGTGAGACACCACAAAAATAGTACTAAGACAGCAGTTTATAGCACTAAATGCCTGCATCAAAAAAGTAGAAAGCTTACATATTAAGGACCTAACATCACACTTCAAGAAACTAGAAAATTAATAACGAACCAAATTCCAAGTTAGAAGAAGAAAAAAATAACAAAAACAAGAACAGAATCAAATGAAATAAAGACCAAAAACAATACAAATGATCAACAGAATAAAGAGTTAGTTCCTCAAAAAGACAAAATTGATAAATTGCTAGCTAGACTAACTGCAAAAATAAGAGAGATCTAAATAAACAAAATCAGAAGTAAAAGGATAGACATACAATGGATACAACAGTAATAAAAAAGATCACTAAAAACTATTAAAAACAACTAGACACTCACAAACCTGAAAACCTAGAAAAAAAAAGAATAAATTCCTGGAAATATACAACCTCCCAAGATAGAACCAGGCAGAAACAGAGTGCCTGAAAAGACCAATAATAAGTAGCATGATTGAATCAGTAATAAAAAAAGTCTTGAAAAAGAAAATCTCAGGACCAGATGAATGCACAAATTCTACCAAATGTACAAAGAATTAATAATAATCCTCCTGAAACTCTTCCCCAAAATTGAGAATAATGAAATTCTTTTTTTTTTTTTTTTTGAGACGGAGTCTCGCTCTGTCTCCCAGGCTGGAGTAAGTACACTGGTGCGATCTTTGGCTCACTGCAAGCTCCGCCTCCCACGTTCATGCCATTCTCCTGCCTCAGCCTCCCAAGTAGCTGGGACTATAGGTGCCCGCCACCATGCCCGGCTAATTTTTTGTATTTTTAGTAGAGATGGGCTTTCACTGTGTTAGCCAGGATGGTCTCGATCTCCTGATCTCGTGATCTGCCCGCCTCGGCCTCCCAAAGTGCTGGGATTACAGGGATGAGCCACCGCGCCCGGCCATGAAATTCTTTCTAAGTAATTCTGAGGTCATTATCACCCTGATACCAAAACTAGCCAAGGACACACAACAACAACAACAACAACAAACTATAAGCCAATATCTTTGTGAACATAAATGCAAGAATTTTCAACACAATACTACTAAACTGAATCCAACATAAAATAAAAATATATATATACCATGATCTAGTGGGTTCTATACCAAGGATGCAATAATGGTTCAAAGTACACAAAGCAGTATACATAATAAGCTACATGAACAAAATTAAAGACAGAAACCATACGGTTATCTCAACAAATGCAGAGATAGAATTTAATAAAACTCACCATTTCTTCATGATGAAAACCCTCAATAAATTAAACATAGAAGTAACATTATAATTATAATGAATGAGAAAAATTATTTTTAAGAACCAAAACAAGAAAAGGATGCCATTTTTACCACTCCTATTTAATATAGTATTGGAAGTCTTAGAGCAATCAGGCAAAAGAAAGAAAGAAAGAAAGGCACCTAAACTAGAAAAATTAAATTAAATTATTCCTGTTCACTGATGATGTGATATTATATTTAGAAAGACCTAAAAACTCTACCAAAGTCTTTAAAATATGATAAATGAATTGAGTGAAGTGTCAAGATACAAAATCAATATGCAAAAATTAGTAGTATTTCTATACACAAACAGTGATCCAACTGGGAACCAAATCAAGAAGGCAATTTCATTTACAATAGCTACCAAAAAGATAAAATACACAGGAACATATTTAATCAAGTAAATGAGAGATCTCTATAGGTAAACTACAAAACATTGATTAGACAAAATGTAAATGCCACAAAAAGAAAAATGGCTCATGCTCATGGATCGAAAGAATTAATATTGGTAAAATAACCATACTGCCCAAAGCAATCTACAGATTTACTGCAATCTCTATCAAAATACCCCCATTATTTTTTACAGAATTAGATAAAAACTATCATAAGATTCATAAGAAAGGGGCCAAAAGAGCCAAAGCAATCCTAAGCAAAAAGAACAAAGCTGGAGGCATCACTTACCTGACTTCAAATTATACTGCAACACAATAGTAACCAAAGCAGCATGGTACTGGTATAAAAACAGACATGTAGATTAAGGAAACAGAATAGAAAACTCAGAAATATGTAACCCCAGCACTCTGGGAGGCCAAGGCGGGTGGATCACAAAGTCAAGAGATCAAGACCATCCTGGCCAACATGGTGAAACCCTGTCTCTACTAAAAATACAAAAATTAGCTGGGTGTGGTGGCGTGCTCATGTAGTCCCAGCTACTTGGGAGGCTGGGGCAGAAGAATCGCTTGAACCCAGGAAGCAGAGGTTGCAGTGAGCCGAGATGGTGCCACTGCACTCCAGCCTGGTGACAGAGTGAGACTCCATCTCAAAAAAAAAAAAAAGTAAAGAAAAGAAAAGAAAACTCAGAAATAAAGTCACATATCTTCAGTCAATTGATATTTGACTAAACTGATCACAAGATACACTAGAGGAAGAATACCCTGTTCAGTAATAGTGCTAAGAAAATTGGATTACCATATACAGAAGAATAGAAACAGATCCCTATCACTCACCATATACAAAAATCAACTCGAGATGAATTAAAGAATTAAAGTAAGACCTGAAGCTATAAAAGTGCTAAAAGAAGATGTGAGAAAAACTCTTCTGGGCATTGGTTTATGCAAAGTATTCATGACTAAAACCTCAAACATGCAATAAACAAAAGTAAAGGAAAATAGACAAATGGGACTCACACTAAAAAATTTTGGCACAGCAAAAAAAATAATCAACAGGGTAAACAGGCAACCTACAGAATAAAAGAACATATTTGCAAACTATGTGCCAACATGGAACTAATATTCAGAATTTACAAATAACTCAAACTCAAATCATCATAGTAATAAAAACAAAGAATCCCATTGAAAATGGGCAAATAACTAGGCATTTTTCAGAAAAGACATACAAATAGCCAGCATGCATATTTTAAAAAAGCTCAATATCACTAATTAGCAGAGAAACAGAAAGTAATACCACAGTGAGATATTGCATTAGCAATAATGGCTACTATTAAAAAGAAAAAACATAATAAACATTGGCAAAGATGTGGAAAAAGGGGAACACTCTATACACTGTCAGCAAAAACATATAAATTAATGTAACCTCTGTAAAAAACAATATGGAAATTTTTCAAATAACTAAGAATAGAACTACCATTTGATTCAGAAATCTCATCATTGGGAATCTACCCAAAAAAAGAATTTATTATATTAAAATGATAGATACATTTGCATGTTTATTGCATCATACTCAAAATAGCAAACCATATATATGATAAGAGTTTAATATTCAAAATATATGAGAAATTCAAAGCAAAGGTAAATATAATAATAATGATGATAATCCAACTGAAAAATAGACAGAAGACTACAAAATATTTTGTCAACAAATATATACAACAAATGACCAACAGGTATATGAAAGAGTGCTCAATATCACCTACCATCAGGCAGTTGCAAATGAAACCAATAATGAGCTACCACTTCAAATCTGTTAGGATTGCGAAAATCAGAAAGAAAAAATAGAGAAATAACAAGCCACGTTTGTCATTGATGTTCCTGAGATTCCTGAAACAAATCTTAATATCACCACTGCTCTCACACATTTCAGACATGATGGAAAAAGAAAACTTTAAAAATGATCTAACATGCAGTTCCTCAAAAATAAAGATATTCTTGTATCCCCCCAAAGCAATGGAAGAACAGGCATATCATGCAGTACCTTATAAGCCATAAAGAAGACTCTGGCTCTCATAGTAATCTCAAAGGAAAATCACAGAATGGGAAGTAGAGTCTTTAGAGAATTTAAGGGTATGGGAAAGAAGATGCTCCTATTTGAGAGCAAGAGGAAAAAGTGGCTTTTTAGGAAACATTTCCATTGAAGCAGAGTGTCCCATATCACATTTTAAGGTCTGGCATTCTTTTTGACCTTTGTACCTCTGGTCTGTGTTATCTGCTTCATTCATGCTTACCTATCTTAGTATTTGACTACTGTCTCATGTCTCTTCACATTCCAGGGCTCTTTTATTTGCTCAAGGCAGGAGATCAGATGAGGGTTACAGACAGCAAGACCTGTTAGAAAAAAGTAACATGACTTGCTGGGATTCTCCAATTACTGACCTAGTATTATGTTCAGTAGAGAGGAGAGAATATTATAAAACATTCTAAAAAATTAATTTCAAAGTACTGTTTTCTGACAGAACCTTTAGAATATTTAAAACATATTTTACATTTCTGGGCCCTTAGCTCTACTATCCAACACTATTGAATTTAAAATTGGTGATGAATATTGGATTTCAATATTTGGGCAACAATATTTTACGCCACTGAATTTCTAGATTTCTACTAATCTAGAGTGAAGGATACAGATTAGCTCAAGAAAGGGGAAGGTTTCTGTTAAGATAAAACATCTTGAAGATTTTCTTTCTTTATTCCAAAAAACCTTCATGTTTCCCTTAAAAGTATTGATCTAAAAATAATTTAAGCAAGCAAAAACTCCCAAGATCATTCTACAAAGGGAGCAAATAGAAACCTTAGGGTGTATTAGGAATTCCGGGGAAATGTCATTCTCACCTAGGGAAACCAGCTTTCTGAGTTTTCTAACATCACATCCCTATACAAATTCCACTGAGCAGGATTCAGACATTCCCACTCCTTCTAAGATAATTCTATGGCCGCATCCTTCAATGTTCGCAGTTTCTAAAAGACAGACACACACACATATTTAGCAAGTGGTCATGGGCAGAATACCTAATTTGACTCTAGGTGTTTGAGAGTTAAGAGAGGTGGCTCTGTTTTACACAAGAGACTTGAATTATCCAATAAGATACTGTTTAATACAGAATGATTCTCTAATGTATTCCCTCATTCTGAGAAAAGAGAATGAAATAAGATCCACAGAACCAGTGTAGGTACTATAGTTTTCTGAATGATGCAGCATACAATTCATGGCATAAACACAAGCATATACAGTTTTGAGTGCTATATTTACATCATACAGAGTAAGTTGTATATAGTTCCCATATGGAGAAGTCACATTAAGTTAGAAGGTACCTCTCATATGTTAATGTGTACATCAATAAACTGGAGATTTTGTTAAAATGCGTATTCTAATTCAAGAGACTTGGGATGAGACTTGAGTTTCTGCATTGCTAACAACTCATCAATGATGCCAATGATTCTAGCTAAGAAAAATATTTTGTAAAACATCTAGTAAGTGACAGAACCTGGGTTTTATCCCAGTGTATAAGACCAGTAAACAATGATGACAACCTTCATTTTCTGAAGCAAGGTATAAACAAAGAGAAACAAATAAGAAAGGGGTACTTTCAGATTAAATGTGATTGTTTATGCACATTGATCAGAAAGTCTCTCCAAGATACCTGCTAATGACAGAGTTCAAAGAAAAAGTAACTTTATGGTGGAGGAATCCTTTAGAGAGCATCTTAACCAAGTGAATAAAATTAATGAGACAAATTGGTATCAGGTGCTGATACATATGGGCAGATTCAACATGACTTCTGGAAGATTACTGGCCAAAAAACATAAACCATAATCAGAATCTAATCATAAAAAATCAGTTTTATGTAAAATTCAAGCCACATATGTTTCCCATGTTTTGTAATTTCTAATAGTGTATTTAAATACTCCCTCTTTAGCATCCTAGAAGGCACATTTAAAAAATTTAATTCCTTTTCTTATCTTCTGAATTATCCCAGGCAATTAATTCCATCCTTTTTAAGTGTGCATTTAAAAGTTATGTTCTTCACAGAGCTGATGGAGCATCCAGATGGAACATAAACAGTGGACTTTTCTCACTCACTGATATCTGAGGACCCAGCACCATCCCCAAAAAGAATGTTTTATATCCCCACCTGCCCAGACAGATCTGTCAACAAAGGGCATACTTTCAATATTTCAGAGTATAAATTCAAGATGAGAATTATCTGTGATATGTAAGAAGCCTGGATGGAGGGAATGAAGATAAGGCTCTAATATAGAGGGGAGAATTATTTTAAAGAGGTCCTTTCGCTGTCATGAGAAGAAAAGAAAAAAGGTAGTTAAAATAATCTTGTTAGGCAGAAACATCAGAAGTAGAAATGGAAATGATTGCAGTTCTAGATACATGACATTCTAGAAGAAAAAGTGGACACAGTTTTTGACCTGGGACACACTTATCTGAGAATCAGCCATTTTTTCTCTCTTCTCGGATTCCTTCTCAGGAGAGATTAACTGAACAAATCTCACCTTCATCTTCAGAATGTGTCCTTGAAGGCATCAGGCCAAACTTTTTACCTGGCACCACCACACCCACAGGCAGAAGGACCTTAAAGTGCAGAAAATGTTCTCTCCTTCTGGCCTCTGTTGTAGAATTCAGAAACAATGACCTGCTATATAAAGATTTTCTCATTTTTCTGCCCTCTAGTACTCTCCCTCGCCACAGACTCCAGTGATTTCTGTTACAGCAATGGGAATATGGGCCAAACTGACTAGCACCCTACCAAATGCAAGCAGAGAGCCTCTGTGATCTCCCTTCAGGGAAAAAGCTTAAAGCTTTTCAACTCTCCTGAAAGGATTTGGGAGCCCTTGTGCTTTACCCTGGCCTCACCTGGGAATCACATGGGGCAATTAATTAGAACCACATGAATGATTCCACCCAGAACAATAGGTAGAAGCAGTGGCGAGGGCACAGGGGATGGCATTTCTTCAAACTGGCCAGACGCTCTTAAATGGAAGTTTAGGGTGAGAGCCACTTAGCTAAGCATTGCCTTTCAAGCTTTCATGTGCATATAAATTATTTGGTATTCCAGATCTCACTCACTGTAAGAAAATGCGATTCTGTTGGTTTGGAAGGGAGCTCATTAGTTAACTTATTTTTTTATTTTTTTTTTTGAGACAGAGTCTCACTGTGATGCGCAGGCTGGAGTGCAGTAACATGATCTCAGTTCACTGCAACCTCCGCCTCCAGGGTTCAAGCGATTATCTTGCCTTAGTCTCCTGAGTAGCTGGGATAACAGGTGCCCGCCACCACGCCCAGCTAATTTTTGTATTTTTAGTATTGACGGAGTTTCACCATATTGGCCAGGCTGGTCTCGAACTCCTGACCTCAAGTGATCCGCCCGCCTCGGCCTCCCAAAGTGCTGGAATTACAGGCATGAGCCAGCGTGTCCGGCCCATTGCCCTTTTTTTAAGCCTAGGCTTGAAGTCCATGCTGCCAGTCGGGTTGCAGTCACCACTCACAGCTCAAGATGCTCACTTACCCCAACTTCCTGTGGCAGTAGTAGAGGCTGTGCCTGCAGTGGTGTGCGAAGGGAAAAGAGGGGTCTCATTCTCCATGCTTGAGCCACTGCACAGAGGCTGTGCAGTTGGTGGGAGGGCATTTCACTCTTCATTTGCAGTGTGAGGACAGTTTTCGCACCTGTTGAGAGCAAAGTTACTTTTCACAGTCCCCAAGCAGGCAGCTATTGGACTCTGAAAGTAGAATGCTTTGATTGTCTTTTGTCCCAGTTTCGCCTTCTTGGTTCACTGAACTCTCCACTTTCCCAGGAGCAGCACTCTGTAAGGGCCAAAATTCTGGGGAACTGTGTCATTCCTGGGTCCAGCCAGCTCTGTGCCACTGCAGCCCTTCAAGCTGGCACTGGCCAATGTCAGCGGTAGCTCCTGAGATGCAGATAGGGGAACTGAGGTTCACAGGGATGGAGTCAGTCCCCTAATACCTGCATTTTCCCAGTGGCATCCTGACACAACCACTTGTATCTTGGTGGAAAGTGAGTAGCACAGTATGAGTCCCCAGTCTGGTGCTATGCTCCAAGGGTTCTTGAAGTCAACAGCCATGTTAGTGTCAGGGTTCATGAGAACAAAGGAGCTCTCCCACAGTTCAGACTGTGGCAGTCCACAGGAGAAATGTAGGCTGTGGAAACATTTCCTACTTACCTGTCCTCAGCAATGCTGAGGCCCTCCAGGTTCCTAGCAGGTATCTGCTGAGTTGGCCTCTTGCTTCCTTTTCCTTCGGTTCCTCAGGTTTTCTCTGTGAGTTCTCAATTAGGTTCTAGTGTTCTTTCCTTGATATTCTGTTTGAGGTATAATTACCAGTTCACAATATTTATTGTTCTTTCTAAGGAGAACTGGCATCCAATGTCACTGGTTTACCATCTTGAGCCCCTTTCCTTTTTTAAATATTTTATCTACATGTATGTTTTCACAACTACCATGCAATGTAACGATGTCAAGTTGTACAGATGTGCATAATTTTTGTTACTGTTGATACTGAATAACCTGATTTTGTTTCCTTTTTTGCACATTATTTAAAATATTAGATAGTGGATAAGATACCATCTCACACAAGTTATAAAGGTTATTATTAAAAAGTTAAAAGGTAACAGATGCTGCTGCCGGGCACGGTGGCTCACACCTGTAATCCCAGCACTTTGGGAGGCCGAGGTGGGTTGATCACGAGGTCAGGAATTCGAGACCATCCTGGCCAACATGGTGAACCCCATCTCTACTAAAAATACAAAAATTAGCTGGGCATGGTAGCACACGCCTGCAGTCCCAGCTACTCTGAAGGCTGAGGCAGGAGAATCACTTGAACCTGGGAGCCAGAGGTTGCAGTGAGCCAAGATCGTGCCCCTGCACTCCAGCCTGGCAACAGAGCGAGACTCCATCTCAGAAACAAAAACAAACAAACAAACAAAAAGTAACATGCTGCAAAAGTTGTGGTGGAAATGGAATACTTGTACACTGCTGATGGGAATGTAAATTAGTCCAGACATTGTGGAAAGCACTGTGGTGATTTCTCAAAGAACTACAAACAGAAGCACCATTTGACCCAGCAATTTCATTATTGGGTACATAACCAAATAAATATAAATTATTTTATCATAAAGACACATGTACACACATGTTCATTGCAACATTATTCGCAATAGCAATATCATGGAATCAACCTAAATGTGCATCAACAGAAGACCAGATAAAGAAAATGTGGTACATACACCATGGAATACTACATATCCATAAAGAAGAATGAGATCCAGTAATTTGCAACAACATGAGTTGCAGGTCATTATGATAAGTGAAATAAGCCAGGAAAGGAAATGCAAACATTACATGTTCTCAATTATTTGTGGAAGCTAATAATTAAAACAATTAAACTCATGGAGATAGAGAGTAGAAGGATGGTTATTACAGGCTGGGGAGGGTAGTGGGGGGGGGTTGGGAAGAAGTGGGGATAGTTTATGATACAAAAAGTAGTTAGAAGAAATGAAAAAGACCTGATATAACACAACAGGGTGACCATAGTCAATAATAATTTAATTGTACATTTTAATATATCTAAGAGTATAATTGGATTATTTGTAACACAAAGAATAAATGCTTGAGAGGATGGATACTTCATTCTCCATAATGTAATTATTATATATTGCATGTCTGTATCAACATATCTCATGTATTGCATAAATATATACACAAATATATATTTAAAAATATTTTTGGCCGGGCGCGGTGGCTCACACCGCCTGGCCAAAAATATTTTTAAATATATATTTGTGTATATATTTATGGATTTTTGTGTATATATTATGGATATTTATAATCCCAGCACTGTGGGAGGCTGAGGCAGGGGCGGATCACGAGGTCAGGAGTTCAACACCATCCTGGCTAACACGGTGAAACCCCATCTCTACTAAAAATACAAAAAATTAGCTGGGCGTGGTGGTGGGCGCCTGTAGTCCCAGCTACTCGGGAAGCTGAGGCAGGAGAATCCCTTGAACCTGGGAGCTGAAGGTTGCAGTGAGCTGAGATCGCACCACTGCACTCCAGCCTGGGCAACAGAGCAAGATTCTGTCTCAAAAAAAAAAATTTATGAGGAATCATAATAATATTTTCATTTTTTTTTGTTAGAGGTACAAAATTTCTACAAATTTAACAATACAGATTTTTATATTTAACACTTTACAAAAAAATGGAGTTAATAATTGAAAATGAAAGAAAATAATGGCTGGAGCCTTGTGATGGGTAATCAGGAATTTCTGTATAATTTCCATATTTTTGTTTACATTTTTAACTGCCATAATAAGTTTTAAATAAAAAATTTAAGTTATTTTTAATAAAACCTTCAAATACTGAACATTAGCCATGTTATGTAATAAAAAATAGGCAGATATCTTCTCATAAATTACAGTAATAAATTTAGAGATTAGTATCAGATTTGGGTATTGAGATTGGTTTTGAAGAAGCGATGAATGTGCAGCTTTTGCATTAGCAATAGGCTACTCTGACTGTAGAGACGGGTGCCATCAACCAACTTTATGTTAGATTGCTTCTCCAAATATTTTTAATTAATTAATTTTTAATTTTTCCTCATTCTATGATGACATCATTACTTATTTGTAACAATTGAGTTACAGTAGTCTTCTGTAAATGACTTCAGTTTTCTAGTCTAGTAAAACCAGATGGTTCCTATCCGTAAATACTCCTTACAAACTGTTTTCTTTTTGCTTACGTAACCTCTATAATGTTTTTGGTCGCACTTGTGTCCTCTTGTGATATTTAAAGTATCTTCTTCTTCTTTAATACTTATTAAATCAACAGAAATAACTTTGGTGTTAAAAGTCTGTTACTTGGATTTCTTAAAGTCAGAAGCTATTTTAATACTTTTGGCATGTTAATTTTTGATAGGCTTTAATGGGATATAATTTACATAATACAATGACATTTTCATTGTAAATATCAATTTTTTTTATTTTTGATTTTTTTTTGAGACGGAGTCTTGCTCTGTCGCACAGTCTGGAGTGCAGTGGCGGGATCTCGGCTCACTGTAACTTCTGCCTCCCGGTTCAAGCGATTCTCCTGCCTCAGCCTCCTGAGTAGCTGGGACTACAGGCATGCGTCACTACGCCCGGCTAATTTGTTTGTACTTTTAGTAGAGATGGGGTTTCACCACGTTGGTCAGGCTGGTCTCGAACTCCTGGCCTCAAATGATCCGCCTGTCTCGGCCTCCCAAAGTTCTGGGATTACAGACATGAGCCATCGCGCCCAGCCTGTTTTTAATATTATAACAGAGTTACATATTGATAATCACAACTAACTTTAAAATATGTTCATCATCTCAGAGTAAAATCTGTCTTGTTTTCATTCACTCTCCACCATCACCCAGGCCTTAGACATCCATTAGTTTATTTTCTGTCTATCAATGAGCTTTTTATGGACTCTTCTTATATGTGGAATTATAAATTATGTAATCTTTTTGAAACCTAGTTTGTTTCACTTAGTTTACTATTTTTGAGGTTTATTTCCAATGTAGCATGGATTATTGCTTAATTCCCTTTGACTGCTGAGGATTTTATTGCATAAATATGACACATATTTTTTCACTAGCTGATGGATATTTGGATGGTATTCCCCTTTGGCTCTTATAAACATTGCTGCTATGAACATTCACATACAAGTCTTTGTGTGACTTAGGTTTTCATTTCCTTTGCATACATATGTGGAGAAAAATTTCTGAGCCATGTGGCAATTCTGTGTTTAAAATTTTGAAGAATTGCCAAATTGTTTTATAAAATGACTACATTATTTTACCTTTCCAGCTGCAATGCATAGAAATTCCATACTTTCCACATTTGCCGACACTTGTTATTGTCTCTTTGTTATAGCCAATATAGTGTGTTCATTATTATCTCATTGTGATTTGATTTTTATTTTCCTAATAGCAAAATATATTGAGCATATTTTTATGTTCATATTAGCAATTTGTATATCTTCTTTGGTAAAACATATATTCAAGTCCCTTGACCATTTTTAATTGGTAATTTGTCCTTTTATTATTGACATACAAGAGTTTGTTTTGGTTTTGTTTGTATTCCGGATACTAGAGCCCGAGAAGATATGTAATTGGAAATATTGTCTCTCATTATGCAGCTTAGATTATATATTCTTCTTGGTGTTTGGAAAAAAATGTTTTTCAATTTGATGAAGTTTATCAGTTTCTTCTTGATTATGCTTTTTTGTTGTGTTATTTAAGAAATCATTAGTTGCCAGGAAGCGGTTGCCACAGAGCTGAGCAGTTTTCCGCGTGGGCAGGGGAAAGTCCCGGATTGTGGTGTCGCCATTTTTGCTGCCCAGAAGCGGAGCGAGAGGCAGAGACACTATCCACTTCCATCGGTCGCGCAGACCCTGTGGGAGCGGCTGCCGCTGTGGATGATCGAGAGGATCTGGTACCAGGTAAAGCTGGCCGAGCAGGCTGAGCAATACAATGTGCTCTGGAACTGAACTGGCAGTATCTTCCAAGAAATGGTGTAGTCAATGAAGAAAGTAGCAGGGATGGATGTGGAACTGACAGTTGAAGAAATAAACTTCCCATCTGTTGCATATAAGAATGTAATTGGAGCTAGAAGAGCCTCCTGGAGAATAATCAGCAGTATTGAACAGAAAGAAGAAAACAAGGAAGGAGAAGACAAGCTAAAAATGATTTGGGAATATCAGCAAATGATTGAGACTGAGCTAAAGTTACTCTGTTGTGACATTCTGGATGTACTGGACAAAAACCTCATTCCAGCAGCTAACACTGGCGAGTCCAAAGTTTTCTATTATAAAATGAAAGGGGACTACCACAGGTATCTGGCAGAATTTGCCACAGGAAATGACAGGAAGGAGGCTGTGGAGAACAGCCTAGTGGCTTATAAAGCTGCTAGTGATATTGCAATGACAGAACTTCCACCAATGCATCCTACTCGCTTAGGTCTTGCTCTCAAATTTTTCTGTATTCTACTACGAAATTCTTAATTCCCCTGACCATGCCTGCAGGTTGGCAAAAGCAGCTTTTGATGATACAATTGCAGAACTGGATACGCTGAGTGAAGAAAGCTATAAGGACACTATGGACTTCAGGCATGCAGGGTGATGGTGAAGAACAGAATAAAGAAGCGCTGCAGGAGGTGGAAGATGAAAATCAGTGAGACATAAAAGCCAACAAGAAAAACCATCTCCGACCACCCTGCTCTTCCCTATCCCACCCCTTGGCAACTCCCCATTGTCACTGAGAACCACCAAATCTGACTTTTACATTTGGCGTCAGAATTTAGGTTCCTGCCCTGTTTTTTGTTTGTTTGTTTGTTTGTTTGTTTGTTTGTTTTTTAAACAGTTTTCAAAAGTTCTTAAAGGCAAGAGTGAATTTCTGTGGATTTTACTGGTCCCAGCTTTTAGGTTCTTTAAGACACTAACAGGACCGCATACAGGCTTTCTCAGCATTACTGTATTGTCTCCGTGCCAGATGTGGCAAGATTACCATTAGAAATGGAAATTACCTTTGAAAGCCATTAGGTGACGCTTCTAGGTGATGCAAGCGTCTAAGGGAGATATTAATCACACTATAGAGGCAAAAGTGGTATCATTTTTCAGTTTTTCTAATTGTTTAAACCGTATTTTATACCAATGTTTGAAAGTAACTCGGTGTTAGCTTGAGATGGTTAAGGTTTGTTTGGGGAGAGAGTTTTGAAATGGTTTTGCTGTAAAAAGTTTTTCAAACTCTACTGAAATGTTGCTGAAAAGCATGGTGCTGGTAACAGTTCAACAATCGTGGCTGCTCATTCTTGCCTACTTTTACTCTCCCACTGAAGCGGGTTAGCGTTGCAGGTGGTGTGGAAAAGGGCCTGCATGCGTGTTCAATTATTTGTTTCCACTCCTTCTCCATCCCCCTACCTGCTTCCCCTCACTCCTCCCCTCTTCTAGCTCAATCACTTTTGTTCAGTATGTGTAACTTGAAGCTAATTTGTTCTACTGGATATCTGACTGGAGCCACAGATATAGAATCTGTATTGTTCTTACTGAAACACAGTATGGAATTAACATTAAACTTAAATAAAACAAACCTAAATGTAAAAAATAAATAAATCGTTATTGAATAAAAGATTATAAAAATTTACTTCTGCGTTTCTTGTAAGGAGTTTGTCATTTTAGCTCTTACATTTAGCTTTACAGCTCATATTAAGTATTTCAGTATGTATTTGATTTGAGATGGGGTCTGACTTCTTATTTTAAACGTTTATAGCCAATTTTCTTAGAAAAATTCTTGGAAAAGCTGTTTCTTCCACATTGAAATTTTTTGGAACTTTTGTGAATGTTAATTTGCCATAAATGAATGTGTTTTTAAATGGATCTTCCTTTTTTTTTTTTTTTTTTTGAGACATTTGCTCTGTTGCCCAGGCTGGAGTGCAGTGGCAGGATCTAGGCTCACTGCAACTTCCACCTCCCAGGTTCAAGCGATTCTCCTGCCTCAGCCTCCCAAGTAGCTGAGATTACAGATATGCACCACCATGCCCAGCTAATTTTTTTGTATTTGTAGGTGAGATGGAATTTCACCATGTTGGCCAGGTTGGTCTTGAACTCCTGACCTCAAGTGATCCACCCACCTCACCCTCCCAAAGTGCTGGGATTACAGACATAAGCCACCGCACCCGGCTGGATCTTCAAATCTATTAATTACATGACTCTATCCTTGATAATAAGAATTTACATCAAAAAGTATAAATTGTTTTATTTTTCTTTTTAAGGACTGTTTTGTGTATTTGGTATTCTGTGCACATTTATATTGTTTTTTAAATCTTTTTTTAGAGAGAGAGTCTCACTCTGCCACTCAGGCTGGAGTGAGGTGGATCAATCAAAGCTCACTGTTACCTCAAACTCCTGTGCTCAAGCAATTCCACCACCTCAGCCTCCCAAGTAGGTGGGACTACAGGCATGCGCTGCCATATCCAGCTAATTTTATTTTTTTATCTTTCTGGACACAGTACCTTCCTATGTTGCCCAGGCTGTTTTTCAACTCCAGGCCTCAAGTAGTCCTCCAACCTCAAGCAGTCCTCCAACCTCAGCCTCCCAAAGCACTGGGTTTACAGGCATGAGCCACCAAGCCCAGCTTATCTATATTTGTTTTTGGGAAGAACTTGTCAATTTCCATTAGAAATAGTTAAAAATTTGGAGAGATTTTATTGAATCTGTAGATCAATCTGTGAGATATTCTAATCTTAAAAATGATAATTTAAAACTTGATTATCTAACATATGTTAATTTATTCAGTTCTATGATTTTTCTGAATTAAGAAATAGAGTGTAATATGTTTGTACTTCCTTTTAAAACTTTAATATTTCTGCTTATTGCTATTATAAATATATTTTTTCTTTATTTCATTTTCATTGTTGATTTATTTTGTCTATAAGTGCAATTTAATTTTGTTTTCTGATCTTTCATTTAGTGACATTAATTAACTTGTTTATAGTTCTAGGGATATTTTATTGAACTCCTTATATATTTTTATATAGAAAATTATATCATCTGCAAAAAAAGACCTTTGTTATTTTTCAATCTGGAGAATTTTTTAAATTTTTATTATATACTTTATTTTATTGTACAATAACTCTAGTGTTGTGGGTTAGAAAGTATAAATTTCTTTTCAGTTTTTGAAAGTTTTTTTAAACAATTGATAGTATTTACTAAATATTCATTGAATTTGACATATAAGATATCAGGCCCTAAACTTTTCTTTGTGGAAATATTTTTAATTAATACTTTACTCGTTACATGATTATTTATATATACATATATATTCATATATACTTTCTTATTTTTAATTGTTACAGACACATAATAGTTGTACATCTTTATGTAGTACATGTGATAGTTTGATACAAGCATATAATATGTAATAATCAAATCAGGGGAATTAGAATATGCATCACCTAAAACATATTTCATTTATTTTTGTTACAAACATTCTCTGGGAAGTATATCTTATTTCTTAATTTTACTTTCATCATTTGTGACAACCGATTTATTTATTCCTGTTTTGTGGTATTCTATGTGTAGTAAATGTTTAGGTAACACAAAAATAGAAATAATAATATAGAATAAGTCTTTTGTCCAATAAATAATCCAAAGTTTTCTTTGTTGTAAGGTGAAGAATGTAATTATATTTTTATCCTTAATGCTTATACTTATTATTTGAGGCAATAAAAATCTCAATCTAATCCAAATTAGTAAAACTGACATGTAACTTTGGCTTTTATCAAGAGGGCAGATTGAATTGACCCCATAAATTTTATGAAAATTTTTTAAAGACAGGAAATTAATTTTAATAATAAATGCAAAACAATATCATATTTGAATGATAATATGGAAAAGATAATTTGATAAATTAGAGAGGTTACTACTTAGCATATGTAGATGAATATATAACAAAACTGTGATAAATATATGTATATGTAATTTATCTTTAATGAAGATGAAAATTCTGCCATTTTCAACAACGTTGAAGAACCATGAAGACATTATGCTAAGTAAAATAAGCCAGATACAAAAAGACAAGTACCGCGTGATTTCGTATTTATGTGAAATCTTTAATAACTCAGAGTCATAGGAAAAGAAGAATAATAATTACTACGGGCTAGGGTGTGGGAGGAAATGACAAGGCATCAGTCAAAAGATACATACTTTCAGCTAGAAAATACATAAATGATGGGAATGTAACATATAGACTGGTGACAATAGTTAATAATACTGTATACTTAAAATTTTTGAAAATCAAATCTCAAGTAATCTCACCACACATACCCACTCACACACAGACACATAAAGTAACTATGTAAAGTGATAAATATGTTAACTAGCTTAACCGAGGTAATTAAAAAATGTATACATGTCTCAAAACATCATATTCTAAATCCTAAATATATACACCTTTAGTTTGTCAATTATACCTCAATTAATGTATTTAAAAAGTTAAAGGTAATTAACAAGTATTATCTAGCCACATGTAAACTCCATTTAGAACCATTTTCAACATCTTCTGGATTAAATAAAAAATCTAAATCCGCATTATGTTTTTGATATCAGGGAAGTGCTAATGAGAAATAATGGTAATTGTAGAAAAAATCTGAATTAAGGTAAATGATTTAACCCATATTAGCTTTATATGATATAAAACAGTAATTCTGGCTGTATATTCATTGGAGTGTTTCTGAAATTTGTGCATAATACATATGTAATACATACATAGTAGTAAAAAGTAATCACACTTCACAAATTATTACAATATGGTGTATTAGTAAGGAGGTCTTCTACATGAAGAAACTTGAGATTTCACACAAGATGACGTTTTATGTCATAGACAATCTATGAGACATATTTTACTAATGTATGCAACTGTTGCTATTTATGCTTTTCAGGAAAATAATGTATATATTCTAAATATTTAATACAGATAATTAAAATTGTCAAGAAGTTAAAACAATCCACATTATGCTAAATATAGTTGAAGAAAAATATGAGAAATTCCCAGGACCAGGAGTAAATGAAGGGAATAATCCAGTGGAGTAGTCAACCTAAGAAGCACGTGCTCTATTCAGACAGGACTAATCACAAGAACATCAGATTCATGTGGGTTCAACTTCCAACAAGGCAAATGGAATCAGCAAAGAAACATACAGACTGGAGACATTCCAAGTATGATATCTTCCATATGTGAAAACTAAGTTATACATTATGTTGCACACAATTAGATAAACTACCAAGATGAAGAGTCAAAAGAAATTGTATGGTACATAAACATCAGATATTTGGCTTATGTTTAAATATTTTTCAATACAATGAAAAAACAGAAAACCAAAGTAATGGGCAAAGAAAAAAAACTAGAAGCTTCTCAAGTCATATCTGAAAAAAAAGCAAATTGAAAGTAAGCTATTACAAATGTGGTGAAACAATGTAATGTACAACATATGGGTTACATATGAAAATACACTGAGCTGATGAGAGGCCAATAAAATAGAATACTAACCAAAATTGATGTAGTTACATATTTTACAGAAGGCGAATTAATAGAGAATGAAATATATACATATATGAAGATTGGATTGAGAAGAAATGAACATCTAATTGCTTTACTAGACTATATAAAAAAAGAAATATTTAAAGAATTGGTGATTAAATAGTTTCTAAAACTGAAAACCTTTAAATCCTTTAAAAGTTTAGAAGTGTAATGTAGTATCAAGAAGAGATTTAAAAATTCTTAAGTAAAGTAATAGTTTGGCTATTACAATTAGTGATGCAATAAACATGGTAATAATGTTGCCTCTTTGACATACTGATTTTATTTCCTTTTGATATATACCCAGTATTGAAATTGCTGAATCATAGGGTAGTTCTATTTTTAATTTTTGGAAGAATCTACATACTGTTTTTCCTAAAACAGAATAATAATCTGTCATTTAGAGCAACATCGATTTACCTGGAGGACATTATGTTAATTAAAATATGCCAAGCATAAAAAGACAAACCCCACATGATATCATTTTTATGTAAAATTTAAAGCTGATCTCATGGAAGTAGAGTAAAATGGCCAGAGGCTGGAAAGGATGTGGGGAGGAAGAGATGAGAACAGGTTTGCCAATGACTGCAACATTATCATTTAAAAGAAAGAATAGGCCGGGCATGGTGGCTCACACCTGTAATCCTAGCACTTTGGGAGACAGAGGCAGATGGATCACCTGAGGCCAGGAGTTCGAGACCGGCCTGGCCAACATGGTGAATCCCTGTCTCTACAAAAAATACAAAAATTAGCTGGTCATGGTGGCGAGTGCCTGTAATCCCGGCTACATGGGAGGCTGAGGCACAAGAATTGCTTGAACCCTGGAGGTGGAGGTTATAGTGAGCAGAGATTGTGCAACTACACTCCAGCCTGGGTAACAGAGCGAGACTCTGTCGCAAAAAAAAAAATAAAATAAAATAAATTTAAAAATAACAGAAAGAATAAATTTTTGTGTTATGTTACACAAAGTAGGGTGACTATAATTAATAATAATATGTTATTATATAGGTTAAGTTAGCTAGAAGACAGAATTTTGCATATTATCAGCACAGAGAAATGACAAATATTGAAAACAATGGCTATGTTAATTATTCTGGTTCTATTAGACAATGAATAAATGCACTGAAATATCACACTGTATCCCATAAATGTGTACAATTATATGTCAATTTTAAATTAAATAAACCTTAATTTGAAAAAGGTCAAACTTCGTAACACCAACATGAAGAAAAAGCTCATAAAATCAGTGAGAGCAAAATGTCTCACCTTTGTATAAAGCCAGAAAACAGAAAAAAAAGTTAATAAAATGTTAAAGTAAAAGCTTCTACATGGCACAGAAAATAATCAACAGAGTGAAAAGACAAACTACAGGCCAGGTATGGTGGCTCATGCCTGTAATCCCAGCACTTTGGGAGGCCGAGGTAGTGGACCACTTGAGGTCAGGAGTTTGCAACCAGCCTGGCCAACATGGTGAAGCCCCTCTCTACCAACAATACAAGAAAATTAGCTGGGCGTGGTGGCACAAGCCTGTAGTCCCAGCTACTGGGGAGGCTGAGGCAGGAGAATCGCTTGAGCCCAGGAGGCAGAGGTTGCAGCAAGCTGAGATCGCACCACTTGCACTCCAGCCTGGGCAACAAGAGCAAGACTCTGTCTCAAAAACAAAAACAAAAACAAAATGACAAACTACAGACTGGGAGAAAATGTGCATACTGTGCATCTGACAAGGGGTTAACATCCAAAATATATAAGGGGCTCAAATAACTCAATGGCAGAAATAATAATAATCATCATCCAATTTTAAAATGAGCAAAAACCTGAATAGGTATTTCTCAAAACAAGATGATAGATAGATAGATAGATAGATAGATAGATAGATAGATAGATAGATAGATAGATGATAGACAGATAGATACACAATAGATAGTTGACAGGTATATGAAAAAATGCTCAAAATCACTAGTCATCAGGGAAATGTAAAAGTAATATAGTTATTACCTTACTTAAATTAGCATGGTCATTATCAAGAAGACAAAAGATAACAAGTGTTGGCCATATGTGGAGAAAAGGAAACCCTTATGCACTGTTCGTTTAAATGCAGATGAGTACAGCCATTATGTAAAAAAGTAGAGGTTCCTCGAACTAAAAATAAAACTACTATATGAACCAGCAATCTCACTATTGGGCATATATCCAAAGGAAATAAAATCAGTACGTTAAAGAGATGTCTTCACTCTCATGCTTATCACAGCACTAATGACAATAGCCAAGATAGAGAATAATCATATTATCCATCAAGGGACAAATAGATAAAGAAATCATGGCATAGAAACCCAAATGAAAGGCTATTTATTCATATAAAGAATGAAATCCTGCCATTGAAAACAACATAGATGGGCTGAGCACACCTGTAATCTCAACACGTTGGGAGGCTGAGGCTGGCAGATAACCTGAGGTCAGGAGTTCGAAACCATCCTGGCTAACGTGGTGAAACGACGTCTCTACTGTGCTCCATTGCACTCCAGCATAGGAGACACAGCAAGACTTCGTCTCATTAAAATAAAATAAAATAAAATAAAATAACAACATAGATGAACCTGGAAAACATTATGTTAAGTGAAATAAGCCAGGCGCAGTAAGACAAATACAACAAGATTTTGCTACAATGTGGAATCTAAAAAAGTTGATCTAATAAAACTAGAGACTAAAATGGTTATAAAATATAAAATAGTTACTAAATGCTGAGGTGATTAGAGGGGAGAAGAGGATAAAAAGATGCTGGCCAAAAGGAATATAATTACAATTATATCAGAGAAATAAATTTAATGATATTTTTTACATAGCAAGGTGGCTATAGTTACTTATGAGATTGTACAGTCTTGAAAAGTGCACAGATAGTGGATGTTAAGTGTTCTCACCACAAAATAATAACTTAGATAATGCATTAATTAGCTAAATTTAATTATTTTACAATCTATATGTACTTTGAAATCTTTTGTTATGCATAATAAACTTGTACAATGTTATCTTCAATTAAAAATAAACTTTAAAAGCATGCTTAGAAAAATTATTATTCAGCTGGGTGCGGTGGCTCACTCCTGTAATCTCAGCACTTTGGGAGGCCGAGGAGGGCAGATCACCTGAGGTCAGAAGTTCGAGACCAGCCTGACCAACATGGAGAAACCCCATCTCTAATAAAATATGAAATCAGCCCGGTGTGGTGGCACGTGCCTGTAATCCCAGCTACTGGGGAGGCTGAGGCAGGAAAATCCCTTGAACCCGGGAGCGGAGGTTGCAGTGAGCCAAAATCCAAGAGCAAAATTCCATCTCAAAAATATATACATTTTTTTCAAAAGTAGTAACACTGAGTGATATGCTTGCTAATAGGAGCCACATAAGCATACACTCAGGAAAATAATGTTTTCCTGGCCGGGCACAATGGCTCACATCTGTAATCCCAGCACTTTGGGAGGCCGAGGTGGGCAGATCACCTGAGGTCAGAAGTTCGAGACCAGCCTGGCCAACATGGTGAAACCCTGTCTACTAAAAATACAAAAATTATCCAGGCGTGGTGGTGGGCACCTGTAGTATCAGCTACTCAGGAGACTGAGGCAGAAGAATCGCTTGAACCTGGGAGCAGAGGCTGCAGTGAGCCGAGATCGTGCCACTGCACTCCAGCCTGGGAGACAAGAGCAAAACTCCATCTTAAAAAAAAAGAGAGAAAATGTTTTCCTGTATAAAGGTAAAATTAAAATTAAGTAGTGAGAGACATGCTTTAGGAATATTAAACCATGGGGGACACTGAACTGAGAACAACATATAGTTCTTAGCACCAGGAAATTAAAAAAATATTGAGACGGGCCGGGTGCAGTGGCTCACACCTGTAATTCTAGCACTTTGAGAGGCCGAGGTAGGCCGATCACTTGAGGTCAGTAGTTCAAGACCAGCCTGGCAAACATGGCAAAACCCTGTCTTTACTAAAAATACGAAAAAAAAAATTAGCTGAGCAAGGTGACAGATGCCTGTAATCCCAGCTACTCGAGAAGTTGAGGCAGGAGAATTGCTTGAACCCAGGAGGCAGAGGCTGCGATGAGCCAAGATTGCACCACTGCATTCAAGCCTGGGCAACAGAGTGAGACTCCATCTCAAAAAAAAATTAGATATTACAAAACTGCAATTCCAGATGTTTTATTTAAATCAGATAGCAAATTCTGTGTTTTTAAATAATTTAATTAATGACAGCAAAATTATTTTTAGAAAATTTTATCACTAACTTGTTAAAAAGGGATGGCACGTCCAATGAACCTTTGGCAGAATACTGATGATTCTTTTATCAGATCTGATTAGCACCATAGGACTGACAGTGGCATAGGCATTGACCATAAACTTGTGGACACTGTAGATGACAGGGCTGAATACCCATAACAACATTGTGGAGGATGAGACAATTAAGTCCAATGAGTACATAACCACAAAGAAACTCACCAGCAGCAAGATGGTCTTGGTGGCCCTTTTCTCTGGGGAGGTTCTTAATAAAAAGCTAGTGCTGTGAAGGTGCTGGGAGCGCCTCTGATGCCTGGACAAGAGAATCACCATGTAGGCACTTGAGAGCGGCATGATTCCTACAAGGAAGACATCTCTGGATAACGACAGAGTAACAAACAGCCTTCTGATGGTGACATTCATTGGGGAAAGTGAGCAGTATTTACTGACATTCAGAATTATCTGGGTCACACTGGAAAAACCTACAATGTAGATAATCATGTCACTGTTGAAAGAAAAATTGAGGGACCAAAGAATAATAAAGCCAGGATATTGTATTTTGTGATTTTATGTTTAAATCTCACCAACCAGGAGGTGCTGGGGCTAATGGTGATGGCCTGAAGCATGCTCAGGAGAGAGGTTGTGCAGATCAAGAGGCCCCTCATTGCCTTGTATGTGTAGAACACAGCCTTACATCTGAAGTTATTCTGAAAATTCTGTGACTCAAACCCATCTGGAGACAATAGCTTTGCTGCAATGACTAGCATCAGTATGTGAACAAAGGTCAAGTGACAGATGATCAGGTCATGGTTTTTAGGCTTGTGATCCTTAAAGAATATAAAAATGTGCCAGAGAAGAAGAAATATGTTGGCCGAGATTCCAATGCCAGCTTGAAAATAAAAGGCCTTTTTCAAAGATAACATATGAAATGTGTGTTCATCCTAATGATGTAGAAGAAACATATTTTGAAGACCTGAAAAAAATACATCTGTGTCATCAATGTTCTTTTGTCAGTGTTCAAAATTATTACCATTATGATTATTTTTATTTTACTCTCATTTTCTTGATTAACCCCATCTTATATAAATTCTTGATAATGTATCTCCTGCACTATTTTCTAAACCAAATAAATGTATACATATATAATTATGAATATATATAACAAATACATTTTCAATTATGCCTGTATAAGGTGCACACTATCTATATTCCTCACGTACCTTGGCCTTCATCTCAGTAATCATATCCTTGTTTTATGTTCTCTTATTTTATATTTACTACTTCAATCGGGCATATAAAATGAATAGCATTTGTACAGTGGAATTGAATTAAATGTATGTTAATGAGAAAAGACTCACTAAAACAATTAAAAATATATATTCAGTTAAGACTTTCTCATGGTCTATCATTTTGATGAAATTCATTCATCATCAGTCTTCCATGGTTTTTGACCCTTGTGATTTTACTGGACTCACCATGATAATTCATGATATTTCATCAGCATATTAGCAATTTTTATCCTATCTGCACCCTTATATTCTCTTTGTCATGAATTATAATGTGTAATGTGATATCTTGGAATTCAAATGTCAATATCCTTAGAGGGACTGGGGGACATTGTTCTGCTTAATCAAACCCTAATTTACTGTATATAATATAGAAATAGTTCTGGCTGTCTCAGTTTAGTTCATATCCCAGAGATTTATTATGTGATTTCTCTTTATCTCAGAACACATTTTTTAATATTTTCCTCTCAGTTACCAACATGATAAACACTACCCTTTTTTTTTGAGACAGAGTCTTACTCTGTCGCCCAGGCTGGAGTGCAGTGGCATAATCTCTGCTCAGTGCAACCTCCACCTCCTGTGTTCAAGCAATTCTCTTGCCTTAGCCTCCCAAGTGGCGCCCACCATGTGGCACCCACCATCATACTAGCTAATTTTTGTATTTTTAGTAGAGGTGATTTCACCATGTTGGCCAGGCTGGTCTCAAATTTCTGACCTCCCAAAGTGCTGGGATTACAGCCGTGGGCCACCGAGCCCAGCCACTACTTTTAATTACTTTGTTTCAACCATGAAGTTGCATCAACATAGTCACATCTTCCTGAGACTTCACTTAATACAGAGACACTCTACCATGCCTAGAAAAATACGTAGTCTTCAATAAGAAAAATAATTCCTCTCAAGTTTTCTTGGGATAACTTCAATACTATAACACCTTGTAAAATTTTGCATAATAATTTTGCAGTTACCATTTCATATTATTTGGCCAAGATTCAGACATCATTTATCATTTTAATTTAATTCAGGGCTAAGAACAATTTAGCTTCATGACATTAAAAAAGTGAAACACCATTAAATTCACTCAGTTTTTTTTAAATAAAAGTGTGTCTGATTCAAGGTCACTTATCATTATACAATTCCATAAATAAAAATATATGAGACAATGCAAAAATGTTGACACTGAGTATCCTTGGATAATAATCAAAAATTAGTGACTGAGAAAATGTTGCTCTAAAACCACCAGATATGTTTGATTTTATAAAGGAAACATCTAGTTGACTAAATGGTTATTACTCTTTCTACAAAACTTTAATAAGTAAACACATTTATCTTAGAAACAAACAGTGAAAGGTTTCCACCAGCACACATCTACACCATCAGCGCGGTTGAGTTCTGCTGTCAAGTTGAAATCGGAAAAAAACACAAAGTAATTTTAAATTAAAGACTTAATGGTATCCAAATTTTAAGGATCACACTTCAGTACTAGAAAAATATATTTGAACATGAGATAATAATATATGTACAAATGAGTTATTAACTATATATCTGTATAGTTTTATTAACATAAGCCATATATTATGAACCACACACCAAAAGAAGATATAGGACAAATAATTAGATTAAATAACATAGATAAGAATTTTAATATTTTATTTTTTCACCGTATAAAACATCCAGTTGATACTAATTCATTCTCCTTACTCTGTAAATAACCTGAACATACTGAAACAGAATAATCTGCCTTATCAAATGGTGTATTTTTCCACTGAGGCTCTTGAGAGCATTGATGCTGATCCCAGACGAGATCAGCAATCTTGGTCATCACAATCTTGGTTGTCATAAATTAGAGCACACAAATAGAGTACGATTGAATTGATTGTCTCTTCAAAAACTTTTCTCACCTGCCAGAGCTAAACAATTGATAATTGCCTTTAACATATTGCAGAAGTCATTTTTAATCCAAATATTAAACTTAGCTCTGTTCTATGTTTTTATCTGATAAGTCTGACAACTACACCATGGAAGAATTATGGAATTTGCATTAATATGATGCCAAACTGGGTGAAACAAAATAGGAAAAAATCCATAGATGCTACTTTTAGGTTGTTCAGAGTGGAAAGAAAAATTTGGTTCTTTGTGACCCATTAAAAATTTCAAAATCTGAATGCACAGCTTAGCTCTCACCATTAGAAGTGATAACCTAAGGCTGCTGAGGCTGACAGTGAAGCTCCTGAGCACTCTCAGTAAACACAAAATGCAGCTCAAGTTTATTCTCATTATACTGTCTTTCACTTTAGTGTATTCCCAATATTCTTAAGTCCCAAAGTGTATAAATAATCATGTATAATAGGGGAATAACACTATTATACAGACCATGAATGAAAATCTGATCATAAAAAACATAAGCTTAGATCAGACATCTGAAGCAAAGATAAAGGGTGTATAAAGGGAAAAAGCTGTTTTGCGTATGATGGATATGTTATTTGTAGAAAAAGAAGTTAGATAAAATATAGTTCCTCATCTTTATTATAAAACATAGTTTTTGAGTATTGTTATTTTATTAATAATGTTATTTGAATAGTGATGTTTGCACTCTCTTGTGTAGATTTAAAATATAATCTATATAAATGTAAAGCATTTTTATTATATTGATAAAAAGACTCATTTTTATCATTCATTTACAACATTTATTGAGCAGCCTTGTTAGCCCTATGAATTTTAGATGCCAGGGAGAAGGGGTTTGTTGTTAAGTGGCAATAAATGGCAAACTGAAAAATCCAGCCGGCAAATTTAGAAAAGAAAAAATGTTTCCCTCAAGATTAGGCCTGTTAAAAAGAAGTTTTATAAAATACACCAAGACTAAAATAATAAATATGGTAAGTATCAGATCCATTGAATGATCGTAATGCATTTGCCACTCTTTGGAAGTTGAAATTAGTGTAGACTGCAGCTAGAAGCACAATGCTTGCTGACACGGATATTTATAATTTCAAGACATTTAATTCCCAGCTTCCTTGGAGGAAAAAATAAGCAGGAAAATCATTACTTTAAATGTGGGCAATAGAAAAATACTGGAGGGACTTGATCACAAATTCTATGCTACCAATTTTGAAAAGCCTAAAATCCTTTTGGAAGAGTGTTTCTTTCCAGTTATTTCAACTGAGGAGATACCAGCTAAGTGTAACACTAACTTTTTCCTAAAAATTTGAAAGGTGTTGTACAATCATGCCCCTGTGTATCACAGTATAGATAAGAGTCTTACCAAATGTGTCAAATATTGAATTTGGAGAAATATTTCCAAGTTGAAAATTGCAATTTGGAAAACCTCGTCTTCTATTCATCATGTACACTTATTATGAGCAGTTGAGGTCCTTTCTCCCTAAATACATAAAATGCAGATATGTGAAGCACTTAGAAATGCTTTATTTTTTTCTTGATGTTCAGAGACCTAGTGATTTTGTACTATTATATTTTCCTGAGGGTTTGATACCCTTATGAGCCACAATTAGACAACCATTATTATTATCTTTTTCTTTTCTGTTTTGACTTCTCCTTATTCCTTTCTCTTACATGTTAAAAAATCGCAGAACTAGAAAACAGTATTTCCTAATAAAGTTAGACAAAATTAACATATATTTTAACAGCAAAATTGAAATATACTGGCCACCACATTCATGAATATATTTTTAATATATAAATTGCAAGTTTGAAACTTACCGAGGAAGCTGTAAGAGTGCAAAACTTGGAGAATTTTTTGTAATAAGGAAATGCTATTTTCCTCAAATTTTGAAGAATATTATTCTCTTCGTTATTGAAAATCTTACCCAAACTAACATATAGAACATTTTATAAGTTTTAACTTATTAATAAAATATTTATTATATTAGCTGTTTATATTAATAAAATGTAATACACTAAAGCTGAATTTGTTTTACAAATTTGTAATCATGCTTAATATTAGAAGCTTTTATATATGTGATGTAGTGATTAACTCTACAAAATGTGATAAATGACAAAAAGAGGTATTTGTTTACAGTTTCATAGTAACCAGAACTAAATCCTGTGTGTGCAATAACTATACCAAAATAAAACAAAATAATTTTATGGTCATTCACTGAAAGCTAATTAATGTAAAATATTAAATAATAATCACGTTTTGAGATGACTCTAAAAATTATTATATACTTAAGTGTTTTCAAATTTAAAAGAACAAAGAAGTACGACTAAATTCTTAAGAATTAGTTCAGATTTCTTGTGTTTCAAAATATAAAATTTTACCTAGGTATATACAGTAAGTTAAACTGAGAAAAAGCTAATATAGTAAGAAATAAAATACAATTACAATTCAAATGCAATATTACAAAATTAACAAAGTATAAGATCAGTATGTTATGACCTCAGTATTCACAAAGTTGCATTTTTCATTTGGAATCATCTATTGTACTTAGATATGATTCACTGAGACATGACTGAAATTAGGAAAAGACAATGATCCTAGCTCTTAATTGAAAAAATTCTGCCTCATCCCACCACTCACCTGAGTCTTGAGCTCTCACTGTTAATAATGCTGACAGACAGACAGTCACCCAGCTGGGTTTTTGGAGTGAGTTCATGTTTGTAAGATGAGGCTCACAATATGTGGTTATAAGGAAGCAACGCCATCAGCCCATCCCCTCAAGGCCTATAATTTTCACGTCAACTATAAAGATAGTACAAGCTCTGGTTTTGTGATTTTAAGAAAGGGAACCACCAAGGGAAAATTAAACTTTTTGATTCCTAGAAAATACATTAGAAACAGCTGTGCTCCAACTTTTCCATGTGTAAGCTTATTTCCCCAGGTATATTCAGCCCAGTGGATTGTATGGTGTCTGTTCTTATTAAAAAAAAAAAAAAAGAGTAGTCTCCCAATTACCCAACCTTCAAAATTAGTAGCACACAATGTCAGATTTTCCACTGCATTACTACAGGTTCAAGTAATTCATGGTTGCCCTCATCAATGTTCCCCAGCAATCTCTGATTTTCATGGTCAGAAATAGACCAAAAGCACCTTTGTGAGAATTGGAAAAATCCCACCTCTATCACACCTAAATGGGTAAAGTGCTCCATTTTCCTGAGGACACAGTTCTGAGTCAGGGCACTAGACATGGGAGCAAAATATAGGCTGCTTTATACCTCTCATTAATTTGTTCAGGTACATTTATAGAGTACAGAAATGCACATCTATTTCAAGCAGCGAATGTTTGGATACAAACTGTCCATGCCAAGAAATTTTTTTTTAGATATGAAGTATCAAAGGGTTATTCTACCACCTTGACCCTCAGGTTTCTTTGTGGCTTCCACTCACAGGAGTGCTTTACACACTCAGTAGTAGAGCACACATTTTATAGCAAAGGCCATATTTTTGCTTCTGTGACACCCATCAAACACGATTCTATTAAAACTAAAGTTAACATTAATCATAATTATCACTGCCTATTTGCTTTCTTAGTCTAATATTGTATGTTAAATTGTTGTACGTTAAAATAGTGACTTTTATTTCAATAAACCTGTGGGTCTTAGCACAGTGCAGGCACTCAGCCTTTTTAGTTTCAGCGTGGCTGTGCTCTCATGCATCCATCTTTAATTCTCTAAAAAGCATGTCCTCCATTTGGCCTAAGTCAGGACCAAACAACTCACAGACTTCTATTGTCCGTAAGTTTAATTCTTCCTGCTCTCTGCATCCCAGTCTAACGTATCATCAGCTGCCATCAATGTAATTTTATTTTCAATTCAATTTAAAAACAATTTCAAATCCATTTTTTAGATCATAATTTAGTTGCCTTTTGGAAGCCTTTCAATTTCATTTAAATCTTTGTGTCTACTCATCAAAGAAAAACTGTCAAGAAATAATCTTCTGAATGTGAAAGCTATCAATAAAAAATAAAGGCAAATAAGGCCTTTCTAGGTAAACAAAAACTGAGTTGATTTCAACTAGGTAAAACTACAAAAATTAGCTGGGTGTGGTGGCGGGTGCCTCTAGTCCCAGCTACTTGGGAGGCCGAGGCAGGGGAATCGCTTGAACCCGGGAGGTGGAGCTTGCAGTGAGCCGAGATCATGCCACTGCACTCCAGCCTGGGCGACAGAGGGAGACTCCGAGAAAAAAAGAAAGAAAGAGAGAAAGAAAGAGAGAGATAATCAAATAACCAAAGAGAACAATTTGAATCTACATAAAATGACAAAAGCACCGGTAAAGATAATCATGTCATTATAAAAGACATCATGCATATATTTTTTAATTTCTTATATTATTTTAAAAAATGAATGCATAACAATATAAATAAAATTGTATTGTTGGACCAATTACAAATACATGTAATATACTTACCAATAACTAAACAAAACAGGTGAGTGATAGCATGTTTTGCAATAAAAATTAGCTGAATATTCTGGAACAAATGAGAAAATTCAGAAATGGGAAATAAAAAGTTAATATCAAACAATTTGTAGATATATCTTTGCTCTTTTTTCTTTTTATCTCATTTTTAAAATTGAAATTATATAAAATAATATGTGTAAAATAATAAGTTTATAGCATGTGTCGATATAATAAGTGTAAAATTTATATCACAAAACGAGAAGCAGAAATAGAAATACATAGAACTAACGTTTGTATAACTCATCAGTATTGTTATTATAAATGTAAAACAGATTCTGAGGAATGAAGATGTATATCAGAAGCCCTAAAAGAACAAGAGATAGCTCCAAATATACATTAAAAATTATTTTTAAAATTGCAATGTTATATAAAAATGCTTTCTTAATGCAAAATAAGGCAAAATAGTAGAAAAAGAAATAAAATACACATGATATGTAGAAAACAAAAATAATACAGAAAAAATAAATCGAACTATACGAATAATACTAAATATAAAAAAGATTAATTAATTAAATAAGAAAAACTAAGATTGTTAGACAGAATACAAAAATAAGAATCCCTGCTACTCAGGAGGCTGAGGCAGGAGAATCGCTTGAACCCAGGAGGCGGAGGTTGCAGTGAGACAAGAACACACCAGGCACTCCAGCCTGGGTGACAGAGTGAGACTCTGTCTAAAAAAAAAAAAAAAATTGACAAAAATAAAGCAAGAAAGAGATAATCAAAAAATAACAGTTTGAGATTTAAATACTTCATGCTCAATAATGAATTAAAACACAGTCAACAGGTCAAAGAGTAAACAGACTTGAAGAAAACAAAACCACTGAGATCTAGCAGATATATATAGTTCTTTCCACATAACAGGAATAGATATGCATTTTTACTAAGTATATATGGAATGTTTTTTAGAATAAACTATACTCTAGATAATTAAATACACAATAAAATTAAAAGAATTGGCCGGGCGTGGTGGCCACACCTGTAATCCCACCATTTTGGGAGGATGAGGTGGGCAGATCACCTGAGGTCAGGAGTTCAAGACCAGCCTGGGCAACATGGAGAAGCCCCGTCTCTACTAAAAATACAAAATTAGCCACACGTGGTGGCAGGCACCTGTAATCCCAGCTACTCGGGAGGCTGAGGCAGGAGAATAGCTTGAATCAGGGAAGCAGAGGTTGCGGTGAGCCAAGATCGTGCCGTTGCACTCCAGCCTGGGCAGCAAGAGTGAAACTCTGTCTCAAAAAACAAACAAACAAAAATTAAAAGAATTGTGTAAATGCAAAGTATTTTCTCTCACTGCAATGGAATAAAATTAAAAATTAATTACATCAGGAAATCTGGGTAAGTCACAGGTATGTGAAAATTAAGCAATGAAATTCTAAATAGCCAAAGTGTCAAAGAAAAAATTTAAAAATTGGAAAATATTTCAGATGAATAAAAAGGTTTACTCAACAAAACATGCAAGATGCAGCAAACATGGTGTCCAAAGGGTATTTGTAGCAGTTAATTTCTTCATGAACAAAGGCATTTCAAAACAATAACCTTAGGCAAAGGGATTTCTTTGAGACAAAAAGTAGTCATACTGAAATGCCTAACAGGAGATAATGGAGAGTGCAATTCTTTGGGAATAAGATCTTTGAAAAGTGTCCACATAGTTAAGAGAATCTAGCAGGCAGTGTATAGGATTAGGGCCAGCTGCAGGCTCAGAAAAGACCTAGAATGATCCTAATTTCTGACGTCTATTTGACCTTCAATCTCTGGACAAGCAGAAAATAAAGGGGAAGGCCAAGTTGAAAACGTTCTCGTTAAGTGGAAAAGGTATTCTACAAGAGACACACAGAACACAGCTTCAAGAACTTGAAATTTTTGGCATTGGTAAATTTATTTATTTAGGTTAGTTATTCTATAACTGACACATAATTTCACATATTTATAGGGTATAGCATAATGTTTTAAAATATATGTACATTGTGTTATGATAAAATTCGGGTAATTAGCATGTTCATCATCTCAAACCATTATCATTTCTTCATGGTAATAACTTTCAAGTTACTGTTTTCTAGCTATTATAAAATATATATGTTGTTATTATACCATAGTTGTTATAGTCACCCAACTGTGTAATAGAACACCAGAACTTATTTTTTCTATCTCACTGTAGCTTTGAACCCAGTGAATGACCTCCCTTAATCTTTTTCTTCCCAGACCCCTCCCCAGACTCTGGTAACCACCAGTCTGTGCTTAACTTCTGCAAGATCAACTTCCCTATATTCCACTTATTAGTGAGCTCATGCAATATTTGTCTTTCAATCTATGGTTTATTTCATTGAACATTATATTATCTAGGCTCACACATATTGCTACAGATGACAGTATTTTGTTTCTTTCCATAGCAAATAGTATTCCATTGTGTATATATACCACATTTTATTTATCTATTTATTTATTGATGGGCACATTTTGATTTCATCTCTTGGCTACTGTGAATGGTGCTGGAATAAACATCATAGTGCAAATATCTTTTTGACATACTGATTTTAGTTACTTTGGCTATATACCAGTAGTTCAATAATGAACCGTACTTTAGCTCTATTTTTAACTTTTTGAGAAATCACCATACTTTTTTTATAATGATTGTGCTAAGCTACATCCCACCAACAGTGTCAAAGAGTTTTCCTCTCACTCTGTCCTCACTTGTATTTGTTATGTTTTGTCTTCTTTATACTAGCCATTGTTACTAGGGTGGGATGGTATCTCATTGTAGCTTTAATTTTCATTTCCCGGCTGGGCACTGTGGCTCACACCTGTAATCCCAGTACTTTGGGAGGCCGAGGTAGGCAGATCACAAGGTCAAGAGATCGAGACCATCCTGGCCAACATGGTGAAACCCCGTCTCTACTAAAAATACAAAAATTAGCTGAGCGTGGTGGCGCGTGCCTGTAGTCCCAGCTACTTAGGAGGCTGAGGCAGGAGAATCGCTTGAACCCGGGAGGCGGAGGTTGCAGTGAGCAGAGATTGTGCCACTGCACTCCAGCCTGGGTGATACAGGGAGACTCCATCTCAAAAAAAAAAAAAAAATCATTTCCCTTATAGTTAGTAATGTTGAGCATTTTGTTATAAACCTGCCAGCCGTTTGTACACTTTTTTGGGAAAATTGTCTATTAAGGTTTTTTTGCCATTTTTAAATTGAATTATTTGTTTTGTTTTGTTGTTTGTTTGCTGGTTAGTTGTTTGAATCCTTTATATACTCTGGATATTTGTATAGTTTACAAATGTTTGCTCCCATTCTGTAGCTTGTCTCTTTCATATTTTGTAAAGATTTGAGAAGTATTTGTATTAATTCTTCTTTAAATGTGTGTCAGACTTTGACAGTAAAGCCATTAGTCCCTGGGCTTTTCCTTGAGAGGAGAGTCTTTACTTCCAGTTTGATCTTGTTACTAATTATTTGTCTTTTTATGTTTGCTAATTTTTCATGATTTAATCTTGGTAAGTAGTATGTCTCCACAGATTTATCTATTTTTTCTCAATTTTTCATTTTATTGACATACAGTTGATCTTAGTAGTGTCTTGTGATCCTTTGTATGTCTGTGGTAGCAGTTGTGATTTCCCTCTTTTTATTTCTAGTTTTATTTATTTGAGTCTTCTCTGTTATTTTCTTAGTTTACTAGGAAGTGTTGATTTTATTATTTCAAAAAACCAACTGCATCTTTCATATTTTCTATTTTCAATTCTCTATTTTGTTTACTTTTACTTTGATTTTTGATATTTCTTCCCTTCTACTTTTTTGAGATTTGTTTTGTCTTGTTTTTCTGGTTCTTTGAGATGTATTATTAGGTTGTTTATTTGAAATATCTTTTTCATGTTGGTGTTTATTGTCATAAACTCTTCTCTTACAATTGCTTTTGCTGTATCTCAAATTTTTTTTGATATGTGGTGTTTTCATTTTCATTTCTCTCAAGAAACTTATCATTTTTAATTTTTTTTACTTAACCACTCATTGTTCCAGGGCATGTCATTTAATTTCTATAAATTTGTATAGATTTTACCATTCCTTCTGTTATTCATTTTTAGTTTTCTTATGTTTTGGTCAGAAAATATAGTTAATATAATTTCAATCTTTATAGATTTATTAAGACCTTTATTGTGACTTAACATATGATCTATCCTAAAGAATATCCATGTCCTGTCCAGAAAATTTTATATTTTGCTGATGCTGGAGGAAATGCTCTGTAAATGTCCCTTAGGTATATTTGGCATAGAATGCAGTTTAACTCTATTTTTCTGTTTCTTTATTTTCTGTCTGGATGACTTTTTTATTGCTGAAAATGTGGTGTTGAAATTTCCTATTATTATTGTATTATAGTTAATTTCTCCCTCTAACCTTATTAATATTTGCTTTATATATTTTGATGCCTCAGTGTTTAAGACATATTTATTTACAACTGTTATAAACTCTTGTAGTATTGACCTTTTTATTATTTTATAATGGCATTTTACCATTCTTGACTTAAAGTCAATTTTATCTAATATAAGTGTATCTACTCTTGCTCTTTCTGAGTTTTCATTTCATGGTATACCTTTTCCCATCACTTTAAGTCTATGTGTCTTTGTAGATTAAATGACATTTTTATAAAAAGCATGTATTTGGTCCTTTTTTTTACCCATTCAGCCACACTTCATTTTTTAATCGAATAATATAATCCATTTACATGCAAGGTTATTATTTACAGGAAAGGGTTTTTTCTACTACCATTTTGTTACTTCTTTTCTGGTTGTTTTGTAAATCTTTTTTTCTTTCTTCGTCTCTTACTATCTTCCTTTGTGGTTAAGTGATTTTCTCTAGTAGCGTATTATGATTTTATGCTATTTCTTTTAATGTATCTATAGATTTTTGTTTTGCAGATAACGTAATGAATGCTTAACAAAAACTCCTTATGGTTATAGCATAGTCTTTTAAATTAATAACAACTTTAATTACAAATACAAGTAATATAAAACGCTGCGCTTTAACACCATCTCCCTCACACTCTTACTTTTTGATATTTTAAATTACATCTTCTTATATTACGTATCTCTTAGCCAATTGTCATAATTATTCTTGTGGCTAGTACTTTTGTATTATGTCCATACTTAAAATATAAGCAGTTTACCTACCACGATTATAGCATTATTCTGAGTTTTTCTGTATTCCTATTAAGACTTCTACCCGTGAGTTTTATAATTTTAGATGTTTCTTTGTTACATGTCAATGTTTATTTCTTTTAGATTAAAGAATTGTCCTTAGCATTTTCTGTAAGACACATCTGGTGTCAAGAAATTCCCTCAGCTTTCATTTGTCTGGAAAAGTCTTTATTTATTTTTTGTGTTTGAAGGCTAGCTTTGGGGGGTACAGTATTCTTTTTTTTATTTTTGAAACAGAATGTCTCTCTGTCATCTAGGATAAAGTGCAGCAGCAAGATCATAGCTCACTGCAGCACTGAATTCTTGGTCCCAAGTGATCCTTCCACCTCAGCCTTCCAAGTACCTGGGACTACACAGTTGTTTTAAATTATTCATAAAGCAAGACATAAATCTATGTTTCTTTAGGCTTGTTTTCTGAAGGTTTATTTTGTTCTATTGATTGA
The DNA here is from genome assembly GCF_000001405.40 of Homo sapiens. Classification (NCBI taxonomy): domain Eukaryota; kingdom Metazoa; phylum Chordata; class Mammalia; order Primates; family Hominidae; genus Homo; species Homo sapiens. The sequence continues at coordinate 64,457,073 of NC_000007.14, forward strand.
GCCATGTTTCCCTGTTTTATATGCCTTATAATCTTTTTATGAGAGTTAATAATTTGCAGAAAAAATAAAAACCCCAGGCACTTTATTCACTGTTTATAGACAGGCTTACTGCAGGAATAAACTGTCACTAATCAGTGTGGTGTAGAGATGCTAGAAACTCACAAAAGCTTCCTGGGTTTTTAGTGTATATTTTTATTCCAGTTTCTGATAAATATACTTCTCATGTCTCAATTTACCCAAGAGTTTCAGCCAGTTTTGTCTCAAAAGCCTGGGGTTTCTGTTTTGTTTCTCTGACTGTAACTTGCTGCCTTCAGGTCCCTGGATTACTATAGAATTTCTGCAAATCTAACACAACACGGTGCCTGCTGCTGATTTTCACGGCCTCCATTCTGTTATCCAAATTTTGCTTCATTTATATCAGTGTTTCGAGTTGAATAAAACAGGAGCCACTACCTCAGTTAGTACAGCAATTAACTACAATGATCCAAGTTATTTCTAGTTATTCCATTTTATATGAGGTAGAAATTGTGAATTGGCTGCCTTCCTTCAGATTACAGTACACTGCACCAGATCAGGATAGAGAAAAAGCACATGAAAAATGCCGCCGAATTTTCTAGCATTTGAGGTGCAGTTTTTTTCATAACTAAGCATTCGGTTGGTTGCTACAGTTTCTCAATTGATTGCTAGAGTTGCCACAAAGATATTTTGTGCATATGTTGTTGTTAATTTCTTATTTCCACAGGGAACTGAGGGCCTGAAACTTCCTAGTATGCCGTCTTTCTGACATTACCTCCTTAGAAAAAAAAGGACTTATTTTTAAAAATTGACTCACTCAATTATTGAGGCTGACAATGCTAAATCTGAAGAATAAAGTGGCACTGGATACTTAGGGAAGTGTTGATGTTTTAGTCTCAAGTCTAAAGCTATTATGTAAGTAGGATATTTTTCCTTGGGAGAACTCAATATTTCCTCTTAAAGCCTCCAATGGGTAAAATGAGTTTCTGCCATATTATGAGGGTAGCATGCTTTGTTCAACTGAAGAAAATGCTAAGTATTTAAATGTTAATCTCATCAAAAAGATACCTTTACACCAACATCTAGACTGGTGTTTCACAAACAAAAAAACTTAGTACCAAAGCTTAGCCATGTTGACACATAGAATAAACCATCACAGACACTAAAAGTATTGTTAGTTTCAGGCTATTACAAATCCTTCTTCAGTGAAGGGAATGGTATAGAGCTTCATGTGTTCTTTAATAGAATTTCTGTAAGTATATTCTCATAGGAAGAACTGTTGAGTCATTAGGTTTCTGTTTAATGTTATTGTCCTATTTGCCCATGCTTGAATTTGTCCAGAGTTTTAATCTTTTTTTCATTCTGATTAATATCATTGCACCAAGACACATCACATCACTGTCTTCAAGTTCTGCTGGTGATTGGTAATTGGAAACCTGTTATTTATTTTCAAGCAGAAAAGTTGTAAATGTATTGCCCTTTTTGACTTAAGATTGATAAACCCAGACTAATAGTACATAAACAATGGATAATCCATAGTGAGAATTGACCCATTAATATAAACATGCAGAAAAGAAATAAAAAGTGCTTAAAATAGCTGTCAACTTTGAATCAAACATAAGTGGAGTTAATAGAAAAAAATAGTCCCAAGAATCTTTACACTGTTGATATTTGAGAATATCTGGATATTCATAGCCAAATGTCTTAATGGAAAACAAAATTATCAACATGAAAAACAGAGGTAGTAAAAAAGATTAAAATCCTTTAAAAAAGGAGTACTGAGAAAAACCTTTATATTATAGAAACTCACAAATATTTGGTAATATTGAAAGCACAAAGTATAAAGTGTTAAGAAATTTATTCAGACTTTGAAAACAAAATGACAATTTTTCAAGGCATAGACTTTTCAAGGTAAGAAAAGATGCTTACTTGATAGTGCAAGTTATACAACAAAAAGTAAAGCTTTACATGGTCATTTTACAGCCAAAACTACAGTTCAAAAGAGGACTGTTTTATGGCTACAGTTTTTTCACTGTTTTCTCCATGCCATGTCCTTTCACATGTTCTTTCTAGGTCCTGATGAGAAGTTTGAAATTATTTAATGTGATGAAAACCTGTTTTTTAACTGAAGGGTTTGAGGTTCTTTACAGCTTATCAATGCAATGGTTAAATCATTTAATTGAGATAAAAGGCATAAATCAGGCTGTTAGCATTGTTTGTCTTTGTCTCATTTTTATGAGATTCCAACACAAAATGTGGTAAATATTACATTAGTTAGAATAGGTAAAGCATGAACGTGAGTAGGTTGCATATTGTAAGCACCATAGAAAGAAACAAATCAGAATTTTGAAATCTCTTACGAGAAAATGTATCTTACAAATAACATTTTCAGGATACTTAATGGTAAGTGAGTAATTCTAAATTAAGATTTTGGTGACACACATATACCACAGCTTATTTTTCCATGTAAAATCTTCTGTTTGAGTGTGAATGTTAAGTGTGGAAAAATAATAGAATAACCTTGTGGATTTAAAATCTGAAATGATCTTTCCTTTCCAGATTGAGATTACAATCTTGAAGAATTTCTCTTACAATTTTTTTTATTTTACTGGGTGCAGCTTATGGCCTACAGTTTTTAGTTACCTAACTGTAGCCAAGATTGGAGATCGTGGCAGCTTTTCAATTAAAACATTTTCTCACTGATTTTGGGTGCAAATTTATTTAATGTGTTTACAGAATAGTTAATTATGAGACCTGCCCTTTTAATGTCTTTCATACTATTACTGTTGCGGGAAACTGAGGAATGGTGAGACCGATATGGAGAACAGGAGGATTGTTTATTTTAGGTATGCACTGGCTCAGTGGATTTGCATTCAAAAAGCTGAGTCTTGAACAAATACAGAGCAGGGTTTTTATAAGCAAACTTACAGAGGCAAAACAAAAGCAGTTAATCATACAATGACAGGTCACGTAATCTATAGCATAACTGTTGACTTAGCATAACTTGTGGCCTTGCATAGCTAGTGACCTTGTAGCTGCGTCAAAAGAAAAACAAGAACTGGCTAAATACAGACATTTGTAAAACATAATCATGCTTAAGAAACCAGGGAAAGGAGTAACAGTAAAAGAATTTGTCTTTCTCTTCTTTTTTTCCCTTCAACGTTGTTCTGGTAGCGGGTAGGGGGGTGGTGTCTGAAGCCCATTCCTTTGGCCTTGGCTTTCCAGACAGCATTATCTTATAACTGTCCTTGAAGTGAGCTGCTAAGCAGAGGAACAGTTATTGTTTTCTTTTTAACCCTTGCCTTGCCTGTTACTTTTCTTAGAGTGAATGAACGCATATTTATTTTTAAATTTCTGCCTCATTACCATCAGCACTAGAAACTCCAAGATGCCTCAAGCTTAAAGTAAAAGCCCTAGAGTACATTGGCTCTTCCCATGTTCTGTGCTGGGTCTAGAATATGCTGGTAAATATTAGAGTTTCTATAGTTATTAAATTTAAAAAACAAAACTGGCTGGGTGCGGTGGCTCACGCCTGTAATCCCAGCACCTTGGGAGGCTGAGGTGGGTGGATCACAAGGTCAGGAGATCAAGACCAGCCTGGCTAACATGGTGAAACCCTGCTTCTACTAAAAATACAAAAAATTAGCCAGCCATGGTGGCACACACCTGTAGTCCCAACTACTTGGGAGGCTGAGGCAGGAGAATCGCTTGAACTTGGGAGGTGGAGGTTGCAGTGAGCCGAGATTGCACACTGCCCTCCAGCCTGCGTGACAGAATGAGACTCCATCTCAAAAACAAAAAAAAACAAAAAAAAACAACAAAAAAAACTAAACTAAAACTATATACTTTTGATATGATTTAGTTAAGTTTATGACAAAGAGAGCATTTGAAACACTTTCATTTTTCTATAATGTTTTTAAAAATATGTTTTTAAATTGATGCATAAAATCTGTATTTATCCATAAAACATGATGTTTTAAAGTATATATACATTGTCAATGCTTAATTCTAGGTAATTAACAAATGCTTTATCTCACATCATTGACACTTTTGCGACAAGAGCATATAAAATTGACTGTCCTAGCATTTTTTAAAAATGCAATATATCATTACTAACTATAGTCACTATTCTGTACAATAGTCCTTTTGAACTTATTTTTCCTAGCCAACTGTAATTATATATCTTTTCACAGACATCTCCACATACATTTCTTTCTTCTAATTACATTAGAATCTGGTAACCACCACAAAACTCTCTACTTTAATAACATCAAGTTGTTTAGATAAGTGAACAACAGTGAAATGATGAGGTGTTAATCTTTCTGTGCTTGACTTACTTTAACAAATATAATTTCCTCTAGGTTCATCCATATGATTGCAAATGACAGGATTTTCTTATTTTGTGTATATACATATACACAAAATATGTATATACACAATATATATAAATATATATACTATAAATATAACCTGAAATATACATATATATTATATATATGTTTATATAAAAAATACATACAAACAAAAAATATATACCACATTGTCTTTATTCACTTATTGGATGATAGACACTTAGACTGATTCTATACTATGAATCTGTGAAGAGTTCTGCAATAAATATAGTAGTGCAGATTTCTCTTCAACATACGTATTTTATTTGTTTTGGGATTTAGACCCAATAGTGCAATTGCAGCATCATATGATAGTACTATGTTAATCTTTTTGAGAAATCTTCATTCTGTTTTTTATAATGGCTTTACTGATTTATATTCACACCAACAGTGTTTAAGCATTCTCTTTCCCCTATTTACTAATACTTGTTATCTTTTTCTTTTTAATAAGAGTCATTCTAGCAAGAGTGAATTGATATCTTATCAATGTTTTGGCTTGCCTTTCCCTGAAGATAACTGACATTGAACCTTTTTTTTAAAGATATGTTTGTCATGTGTATGTCCTTTTTTGAAAAATGTCTATTTTGGCCTTTTGCTCATTTTTAATAGTTGTCTTCTTTGTTGTATAGTCATTTGAGTTTCTTATATATTTTTGATATTTAACCTCTTGTCAGATGTAAAATTTGGAAATATTTTCTCACACATTTTAGTTGTCTTATTATTCTCTTGATTGCAAATGCTGATGTGTAATAGCTTTTTAATTTGAAATAATCTGATTTATCTATGTTTACATTTGTTCTCTAGGATTTTGAGGTTAAATCCAAAACATCATTGCCCGGACTCATGTTATAAAGCTTTAACAATATTTTTTCTTGTAGAAGTTTCAGAGTTTCAAGTCTTAAATTCAAGTTTCTAATTCATTTTAGATGAGTTCTATACATGGTATGAGATGAGGGTCTTATTTTATTGTTTTCATGTGGATATAAAGTTTTCCCAACATCATTTATTGAAGAGACTCTCTTTTTTTAATAACTTGTCACCTTCATCTAAAATCAATTAATTGTAAATGCATGGATTTACTTCTGGTCTCTCTATTCTGCTTCATTAACCTATGAGTTAATTTTTAAGCCAGTACCATACAGTTTTGGCTACTATACCTTTGCAGGATATTTTGAAGTCTGGTAGGGGAATGTTCTCAGCTGTGGGTTTGTTTTTTTTTTTATTTTTTTTTATTGCATAGTGAGAGTCTTTTCTAGTACCGTATAAATTTTGGAATTGTTTTTAAATGTTTCTGTGAAGAAAGTCATTGGTTTTTGATAAAGGTTGTATTATATCTGCAGATCATTTTGTGTAATACAGACATTTAACAATATTAATTATGCCAATTTACAAATAAATATCTTTGCAAGTATTTGTGTATTATTTAGTTTCTTACTTCAACAGTCTTTAGCTTACAATGTAGAGATCTTTAGTTTATAACTTAGGAATAAAATAATCACAGGTACACCAACAGGTGGGCCAGCAATGATGTACCTGTGATTATTTTATTCCTGCTGCCCTCTGCTTTTTACATGGACAGTATCTGTTCCACCCTCGGAACTGAAGAGAGATGTTGGTAGGGAGAGGCTCTTCCTTCACCTCTGGCGGAAAAGATTTTTTCAGGATCTTCATCCCCTGTCGTCGAAGCTACACTTTAATGTAGCAGCTATTGACCAAGTGTGGCTACTGAGTGCCTGGTATGTGGCTGGTCTGAACTGCGATGTTCTAGAAAGGTAAAATACAGAGTTAGTTTCAAAGATTTATTTCCATATATATATATACACTTTATTAGTAATAAATATTTCTTACATATTGAAATGATAATATTTTGAATATAGTGAGTTAATTAAATTGCTACAATCAATTCCACCTGTTTCTTCTTTTTTTAAAGTTTGGCTACCAGAAAATGTAAAATTCACATGTGGCTCACATTTTATTTCAGAGGATTGCCTCCGTTTTAAAATCCCAGGCTGCCTGCTCAACAACCAGAAGCCAGGAAGGTCATAAAATCTGAATTTGTTAAATAATGGTTATTATATTCTTTGCATTTGTGAATAGCCATATAATATATTATTTATAAATGCATATGACCTTATACGCATGGTTAAATGCAAATGCCCTCTGGGGCGGGACTGGCTCAGCTCAGGAAAAAGCCCTGCCTGAAAAGGCGGCAGCTTAGGTTTCACTCTGTCTTCATTCAGCCCAGCATCTGAGCACATCTTCCGCTACTCAGGGCCTGAGTGGGTGGGGCCCTAAACATTATCCAATCAGGATCGCTGGGCTAGGAACCGTCCAATCAGGCACGTAGCTGGAGCGGACAGGACGGCTTCCGGGATTTGGCGCGGCCTTTGTCTCGCTACCATTGGAGCTCCAGGTCTTCTCTTCGCTTTTCTGTGTCCTCTGCTCCTAGAGGCCCAACCTCTGTGTCCCTGTGACCTGTAGGTATTGGGAGATCCACAGCTAAGACGCCAGGACCCCCTGGAAGCCTAGAAGTGGTGAGAGTGACGGGTCCGACATCCCGAGAGAGAGGGAGGGGGCTGGTTGGAACCGGTAGGAAGTGGCTGTGGCGGGACTCGGGCCTCCCCGAAGTCGGCTCCAAATTCCACGGACCTCCCCCGTCCCCACTGAGTTCTCCTTGGCTCAGCTCGGCCCTCAGCCCCCTTTAGCCATAAGATGGCGGCCCGGCTCACAGCAGTGACCCCGGGCGTCCTGTCTCCTCCCTGCGCAGTGACTGTGCCCTGGCCTGGAGTCCTCTCTGGGCAGCTCTGCACCTACAGCGCCGCATCCCTCCCCGATTGTGCAGGGACCGCGAGAAGGTAGTCGGGAGAATCCTGACTCGGGGTGCGGGGTTTATGAATGGGAAGAGCTTTGATCCGTGGGGTTCCCAGTCACTCTTTTCTCCTGTAAAGTATTTATGGGAGTAACCAGAAAAATATTAAAGAATTTAATCAAAGAGTGATTCAAAAATTGTAGAGCACCAAGCTATGGTTTCTAGTTTATGTTCCATCAGGTGGACTTAAAGAAAAGTCATTTTAGGCCAGGCGCGGTGGCTTACGCCTGTAATCCCAGCATTTTGGGAGACCAAGGCGGGTGGATCACCTGAGGTCAAGAGTTCGAGACCAGCCTGACTAACATGGTGAAACCCTGTCTCAACTAAAAATACAAAAATTAGACGGAGGTGGTGGCAGGCGCCTGTAATCCCAGCTACTCAGGGGGCCGAGGCAGGAGAATCCCTTGAACCCGGGAGGCGGAGGTTGCAGTAAGCCGAGATCACGCCATCGCACTGCAGCCTGGGAGACAAGAGCGAGACTTCATTTCAAAAAAAAAAAAAGTCATTTTAAGGTGCATGATGAAGAAAATCAGTGGTTAGGTACAGTTACGTAGTTTCTCAACTTGTATGATCGAGGTGAAAATTTCCTGATAATGTAATCAGCGGTTAATTGGCAGTTTATAGTTGCCTAAATTTTGCTTTCTCCAATATAGTAATTGACAAAAAAATGCACTTGAGTTAGATTTTTGTTTTTTTAAGTAGGAATCCAGGGGCTAGAGCCACCTCAGTCTAATTGCCTGCCATTTAATTATGTTCACACTCCACAGGGGACAGATTTTACCCTGCATTTTTCACATGTGTCCCAAACAGGGTCTCAAGTCTACCCCCCACCCCCTAATCCTTCAGTCTAACTCTGGCTTGCAGTAAAATACTAAATTTCCAGTTCCTTGTGACATTCCCAAATGCCAACTTCCCCTCCCTAATTTGCATGATCAACTATTTGTTCTTTAGTATACATTTTTGATACTGCATTTTAATTAATCATTATTAATCATTATGACAAAGTATTGGATGGCACTTTTTAAAACATTTGTTTTCTGTTTGTAAATATTTCCCATAAGAAGAAAGTTCCACAGACACTGTATTGTAAAAAAGTCTGTGCCTCTTTTTCTTTTATCTTCCCTAGGCACAGAGATCTTGTCAGAATGTTTTTGGGTCATGGTTTCCCTTTGGAAACTATGGGGTGATGTGTTCTCAGCCATCATTTACTTTTTTACTGGTCCTGGGTTTCAGTACTGTCTGGGGATGAACCAAGATACCCACCATGGCTGTCTGCTATAATGTCTAGTGACTCTCAGGTCCTGGGTCATTTTCTCCAATAGGAAAACTGGAGGTATGGAGTGTAGCCTCTTGAAAGAGCAGATGGATGCCCTAGGGCTGAGAGGAATCTCCTGGTATACTATTTTTTTTGAAAAGTTAACCCCGTGAGACATTAAGATTGTCTTCAAGCCAGATTCCATTTCTTGTAGACACATTGCTGGTCAGATAATCAGATGCTGGTATTGAGGGGAAAACACAGAAATAATTTTTGCTCCCTGGATTCTGTATAGGGGCAGAAAAATTGTGAAAGAAATACAACAGAGGAAAAATTGTGAAAGAAGTACAACAGAGGAAAAATAGTGAAAGACAAATAGTGAAAAATTTGTGAAAGAAAAAATAGTATTCCAAAAAAACAAACAAAAACTGACCCCAGTGAGATGGTTCAATAACTTAACCCCAGGTGCAAAGTAAAATGCACCTGGGGCACGCACTGGGGCATAGTGCAATGTCTCCTGAGAGACAGGTTATTGAGCACTTAAGTGAGCAGGATGGGGGGTGAGAATCTCTTAAGCGATTGGATGGCCTGACTTGACACATGAGTCAGGCACATCTGTTTTTTAATCAGCACTGCCACACCATAAATTTGTCACTGTGAAAATATTTGTTTACTTATTTTGACCTCAGTTATTTTATTTTATTTTTTTAACCAAGACCGAGTCTTGCTCTATTGCCCAGGCTAGAGTGCAGTGGTGCGCTCTCAGCTCACAGCAACCTCCACCTCCTGGGTTCAAGCGATTCTTCTGCCTCAGCCTCCGGAGTAGCTGGGATTACAGGCGCACACCACCACGCCCAGCTAATTTTTGTATTTTTAGTAGAGACTGGGTTTCACCATGTTGGCCAGGTTGGTGTCAAACTCCTGACCTCAGGTGTTCCACCCGCCTCAGCCTCCCAAAGTGCTGGGATTACAAGCGTGAACCATGGTACCCAGCCTGACCTCAGTTTTTAAACTGTAAATTGCATTTTATTAAGTAGGGCTTGACAGGTAGAAAAAAATAATTAAAAAGGACATAAAAGAGGTGGGTTAAAAAAATTAATATGTAATCATATATTCCATTTGTTAATAATTCTCATTTACTTTTTTCTTTCCCAGAGTGAGTTTAACAATTTTCTCAGGTGTATTTTTTATGGCTGAGTGATTTCAAACAGAATTTCAAGGCTTAGCTTTTAGATTACTAGCTACCAAGGAAAATTATAGGGAAAATCACTCTTTTATTTTGGTTTTAGAAAATGAATACATTTCCACAAGAAAATGTTGTAGCTAATTGGTGAGTTACATAGATTCATGAAAACATCAGTTTCTTTTTTTGCAGGGTAAGTTTGTGACACTATCTCTGTTCTAGATCCCATTATTTTGATTTCTGAGTTTCTTTTTTTTTTTTTTTTTTTTTTGAGACGGAGTCTTGCTTGTTGCCCAGGCTGGAGTGCAGTGGCACAATCTCAGCTCACTGCAAGCTCCACCTCCCGGGTTCACGCCATTCTCCTGCCTCAGCCTCCCAAGTAGCTGGGACTACAGGCGCCCGCCACCACGCCTGGCTAATTTTTTATATATTTTTTTAGTAGAGACGGGGTTTCACCGTGTTAGCCAGGATGGTCTCGATCTCCTGACCTCGTGATCCGCCCGCCTCAGCCTCCCAAAGTGCTGGGATTACAGGCGTGAGCCACCACACCCGGCCTGATTTCTGAGTTTCATGCTAAATTTTATGAGGTGAAACTTGGTACCACTTAGAAGTGTTCCCATATGACTAGTTGTTTACTACATGATTATTAATGGAAATAATAAAATAATACATTTATTATCTGAAAGGAATAAATACTTTTACTTTTCTTATTGAAGTGTGAAGTGTAAGCAGCGTATAAATTCCTTTCCTTACAGTAACACCATGTTTGAGTAATTGTGCTGGATTTTTCAAACAGTTACTTTCAAAAACCAAGTGAATACCTTTGACATAGAAATCAAATCTTTAGCCTGGTGACTCCAAGCTAGGGCTAATATTGAGCCTGCAAAAGGATGTTATTAAAGGTCCAGTTAATTCTTTCTAGGGAGCCTCCCCTGCAGGTGTCCCAGCCTGTGCACCCCAGCCATGAAAGAATCCTTTATACTGAGGCTACAGAGCCCTAGAAAGCTGGGGACCCACAGGCAGATGCAGTTAAGGTTAAGAAGGAAGGAGATTGGGAGGGTTTTACTGAAGATGAAGTTGTTATTGTTTTGAGGCAGTTTCTAAACATTGTAAAATAAAGTTAGATTTATGTAAAAAATTTGAATACCAAACAAGCATTGCAACAGGAGGAAGTACCAACTATAAGATCTTTAAGGACTGCAAAGTCTAGGCAGACAAGGGCTTTCTTTCATAGGGAGGAGCAAACAAGATTAAAAAGGAGATGGGGGCTGGGCGCGGTGGCTCACGCCTGTAATCCCAGCAGGTTGGGAGGCTGAGACGGGCGGATCACAAGTCAGGAGATCGAGACCATCCTGGCTAACACGGTGAAACCCCATCTCTACTAAAAATACAAAAAATTAGCTGGGCGTGGTGGCGGGCGCCTATAGTCCCAGCTACTCGGGAGGCTGAGGCAGGAGAATGGCGTGAACCTGGGAGGCGGAGCTTGCAGTGAGCCGAGATCGCGCCACTGCACTCCAGCCTGGGCGACAGAGCGAGACTCCGTCTCAAAAAAACTAAAATAAAATAAAAAGGAGGTGGGGGGGGATGGCAAATGGAGGGTGAAAATAATTATATTTTAGATCAGAACATTTTTTACCCTGAACTCAGCATGTTCTTAAAAGGGACATAAAATGGGGTTCTATGTTGGCTCAGACTGAGGGTAGCTCAAAGTTCAGAAGCTTGTGGGAAGGAGATAAACTTTGATTAAGAAGTATTTTATTCTGACCACTGAAGACAAATCCAACTGATTTCTTAATGAGAAAAAGAAGATGTGGAGAGTTCATGTTTGGCTATGTGATAAGTAAGATAAGAGAGTACTTACACCATCTAAGTCAAATGGACAGGGTGTTTTTTTCTGTAAACTGTTCCTGGAGAACACAAAAGATGGATAATTTTATTAATCACAGCTGTTTACCAGGATTGTCTATGTGCTTCATCTTTCCCCACCCCTTTTTTTGTTCTATACATTTCTTCTATTTGACTTATTTTATTTTTTGAGACAGAGTCTTGCTCTGTTGCCCAGGCTGGAGCACAGTGGCACAATCTTGGCTCACTGCAACCTCTGCCTCCTGGGTTCAAGCAATTCTCCTGCCTTGGCCTCCTGAGTAGCTGGGATTACAGGTGCCCACCACCATGCCCAGCTAATTTTTGTATTTTTAGTAGAGACAGGGTTTCACCATGTTGGCCAGGCTGGTCTCAAACTCCTGACCTCAAGTCATTCACCCACCTCAGCCTCCGAGAGTGCTGTGATTATAGGCATGAGCCACCATACTCAGCCTATACATTAGATTTGTAAAGTATATTCATCTGACTCTAGCAAGTGGAGAAATATTTTATTTTTATTTCTTTCAGTTAAGTATTCTCATTATGCCCAAGATCTTTGGCTAGAACAAGGCATAAAGGCTTCTTTCCAAAAAGTGATACTGAGAAGATATGGAAAATGTGGACATAAAAATTTACAGTAAAGAATAAACTGTAAAAGTGTGGATGAGTATAAGGTGCACAAAAGAGGTTATAATGAACTTAACAAATGTTTGACAACTACTCAGAGCAGAATATTTCAATGTGATAAATATATGAAAGTCTTTCATATATTTTTAAATTCAAATTGTCATAAGACATCCTGACAAGAAACCCTTCAAATGTAAAGAATGTGGCAAATCATTTTGCATGTTTTCACACCTAACATGACATAAAAGCATTCATACTAGAGATAATTCCTACAAATGTGAGGTGTGTGCTAAAGTTTTTAACTGGTTATCACAGCTTATTAAACGTAAAAGAATTCATACAGAAGAGAAACCCTACAAATGAGAAGAATGTGGCAAAGCCTTTAACCAATCTTCAACCCTTATTAGACATAAGAAAATTCATACTAAAGAGAAATCCTACAAATGTTATTATGTGGCAAAGGTTTTAGTGTATTCTCAATCCTTAGTAAACTTAAGATAATTCATACTGGAGACAAACCCTTCAAAGGTGATGAATGTCACAAAGCCTTTAACCAGTTCTCAACCCTTACCAACTGTAAGAGAATTCATACTGGAGAGAAACCCTACAAACGTAAAGAATGTGGGAAAGGTTTTAACCAGTTTTCACACCTTACTAAACATAAGAAAACTCATACTGGAGAGAAACCCTACAAATGTAAAGAATGTGGCAAAGGTTTTAACCAGTTTTCACACCTTACTAAACATAAGAAAACTCATACTGGAAAGAAATCCTACAAATGTGAAGAATGTGGCAAAGCTTTTAACCAGTTTGCAAACCTTATTAAACATAAAAGAATTCATACCGGAGAGAAATCCTACAATATGAAGAATGATGAAAAGCTTTTACCCAGTCCTCAGACCTTACTGAACACATGAGAAATCATACAGGAGAGAAACCCTACAAATGTGAAGAATGTGGCAAATGTTTTAATGGGCCCTCCTACCTTACCTGACATAAGATAATTCATACTAGAAAGAATACCTACAAATGTGAAGAATGTGGCAAAAGCTTTAGTGTATTCTCAACCTTTACTAATCATAAAGCAATTAATACTGGAGAGAAATCTTACAAATATGTTGAATGTGACAATGTTTTTAACTAGGCTGCAACTCTTGCTGATCATAAGAAAATTCATACGGGAGAAAAACCCCACAAATGTGACAAATGTGGCAAAGCTTTTAACTGCTCCTCAAACCTTACTAGACATAAAAAAATTCATACTGATGAGAAACTCTACAAACCTAAAAGATATGACAATGATTTTGACAACACCTCCAACTTTTCTAAATATACAAAAAATCATCCTGGTGAAAAACCTTTAAAATGTGAAGAATGTGTGGCCGGGCACGGTGGCTCACGCCTGTAATCCCAGCACTTTGGGAGGCTGAGGCGGGCGGATCATGAGGTCAGGAGATTGAGACCATCCTGGCTAACACGGTGAAACCCCGTCTCTACTAAAAATACAAAAAATTAGCTGGGTGTGGTGGCAGGCGCCTGTAGTCCCAGCTACTTGGGAGGTTGAGGCAGGAGAATGGTGTGAACCCGGGAGGCAGAGCTTGCAGTGAGCTGAGATTGCGCCACTGCACTCCAGCCTGGGCTACAGAGCAAGACTCTGTCTAAAAAAAAAATAAAAAATAAATTTTAAAAATGTGAAGAACGTGACAAAACCTTCAAGTGGTTGTCACACTTGATTATAGGTAAGATAATTTATACTGGAGAAAACTTAATAAGTAAAGAATGTGGCAAAACTGTGAAGCAATATCCACACCTTATTGCACAGGAAAACATTTATACTTGAGAAAGATTATACAAATATAAAGAATATAAAAATGTCATTGATGTCTGCTCACATCTTACTCAACATCAGAATTTTTACTTAATTAGGAGCATTATAAATGCAATTACTGTCAAAAGATCTTTCAGAAACTATAACCCTTTAAAGTAAAAAGCATGTTTATGCTGAAGACAAATATTACAAATATAAGGATGGTGTAGTACCTTTACTTGTATCACAAATCATATTGTACACATTTTATACTAGAGGAAAACCCTGAAGCAGTTGCTCAAACTTTGTTCAAAATCAGATAATTTATATTGGACAAAAATCTTGCAAATGTAATAAATTTGGAAACACATTTTTTAAAAAACCATAGCCTAGAAAACAGAGAATTTATACTGAAATATATTTTTGCAGATGAAGTAAGTATGAAAAATATTTAATTCACAGTCTATGTAAATATCAGAATTTACAGTAGAAATAAGTTACTGACACTTTAGATATTACACTAAATCAGAGTGTTCAGTATAGAAAATATAACTCAAGTTGTTAGATGATTTGTATATAACTGTAAAAGGAGTAAGGCCGGATGCAGTGGCTCACGCCTGTAATCTCAGCACTTTGGGAGCCTGACCTGAGGTCAGGAGTTTGAGACCAGCCTGATCAACTTGGAAAAACAAAATTAGCTGGGTGTGGTGGCGCATGCCTGTAATCCCAGCTACTCAGGAGGCTGAGGCAGGAGAATTGTTTGAACCCGGAAGGAAGAGGTTGTGGTGAGCCAAGATCACGCCATTGCACTCCAGCCTGAGCAACAGGAGCAAAACTCCATCTCAAAAAAAGAAAAAAAAAAAAAAAACAGGAGTAGAAGATTTTCAGGAGAGTTATAATTACATTCAAAGTATACTTTTAAAAAGATTGCAGATTATTTGAAAAGCAGATAATGATGAATTCAACTCTCAAATTACATTATTATGTTTTTTCATTCCTATTGTATTCACATGTGAAAGCATGTAACGAATTGTTGCTGTGTCAGAGATACGAGATTCTTTTTTATTAGGTGAACACTGATTTTTTTCTATAGAAGAGTAAGGGCATTAAAGCTTAAGATTTATAATGAAAATCTAAGTAGGTTCTTGGTGGTTAACTTATAATACTGAGTGATGAGGTAGGTGTTCAGAGTAATATTCTTCTGCATTATAGTGAGAGAAAGGCATTTTTAATTTTAGTTTAAATTAAAGGGGCTGGGCACAGTGGCTCATGCCTGTAATCCCAACACTTTGGGAGGCCAATGTGGGTGGATCATCTAAGGTCAGGAGTTCGAGACAAGCCTGGCCAACATGGTGAAACCCTGCCTCTATTAAAAATACAAAAATTAGCCAGGCATGGTGGTGTGTGCCTGTAATCCCAGGCTCTGGGGATGCTGAGGCAGGAGAATCACTGGAACCTGGGGGACAGAGGCTGCAGTTAACCAAGATCGTGCCACTGCATTCCCCACTGGGTGACAGAGCAAGACTCCATCTCAAAAAAAAAAAAAAGTAATTAAATTACCAATTTACTAATTGTACTTTTATGCAGTAAAATGCAGTACATTTAAAAATTTTTAGATTATGTGTGAACTTAATTTTTTAATTGTACATTTTTAACATGTTAAGACTATTGTGCATTCAATAAAGTGTTATACCACTAACATTCACCTATTCCACCTTACTCAAGAGTGTAGGTAAAAGATAGTAACAGTATGTGATTTGGTAAAATAGTGGAATAATATCTCCAGTAATCTCTTTTGCCAGTGGCTTTAAACTGCAAATAAGTTAAAGAACATTGTTCCCATCACTTAAATTTTTATTTCTTTTCTTTTTATTTAAATTTATATTTCTTAATTTTTGTGGGTACAGGGTATGTGCATATATTTATGCCATATATGTTATGTTTTTTAGTTTTAGTTTTTGTTTTTCACTCTGTCACCCAGGCTGGAGTTCAGTGGCATGATCTCAGTTCACTGCAACCTACACCTCTGGGGTTCAAGTGATTCTCCTGCCTCAGTCTCCCAAGTAGCTGGGACTACAGGCATATGCCACCACGCCCGGCTAATTTTTTTGTATTTTTAGTAGAGATGAGGTTTCATCATGTTGGCCAGGCTGGTCTCGAACTCCTGACCTCAGGTGATCCACACACCTCGGCCTCCCAAAGTGCTGGGATTACAGGGGTGAGCCACCGTGCCTGTCCTATGTTATGTTTTGACACAGGCATACAATCTGTAATAATCACATCTGGGTGAATCAGGTATCTATCACCTCTAGCATTTATCCTTTGTATTACAAACAATCCAATTGTACACTTCTAGTTATATTAAAATGTACAGTTAAACTGTTAGTGACTACCAGGTCATTTTAGGTCATAATAAAAATTACATAGACATATACATAAATTTATACATTTCTGAGTCCTAAATATTTTTCAAGTTTTATTATATTTTTCTATGAACATGTGCCCTCTCTTCCTGGAAACACAGACTTTTAATTTTTATTTACACAAACATATATTACTATAAAGATAACTGTTAGGTGAAAGTAAATTATGAAGTAAGTGTGTGTGTAAGTATGAGTTTGTACTTATTTTCAGAGTAAAAAGCGATATTGAAACAAAGCATTATTTTAATAAGCTGACTAATTTACTAGAAAACTAAAAACTTCAAAAATGCTGGAAACAAATCTATGATCTCTGCTTTATGTTGAATTCATTACTGTAAAATATTAAGGCTTATGGTTCAGAATCTCCTCATGCAATTTTTTTTTTACTTGCCTGGTACTCATGCTAGACTTATAATTATCTTGTATGTTATAATTTCTTTGTTATATAGTATATAAAGTACTCATTATATGAGCTGGTAAGGGATTATATGAATGATTTTAATAAAATCTAGTAGTGCACACAAAATAATTTTTAGATGTAATTCCAAAATTAGTGTATTATGTTTTCAGTTAGAATATTCCATTTAATTGCAGAACCCTATATAAGCATACTATTCTTGTTTTCTTTTTTCTTTTTCTTTTTTTGTGTGAGACGGAGTTTCACTCTTGTTGCCCAGGCTGGAGTGCAATGGCGTGATCTCAGCTCACTGCAACCTCCGCCTCCCAGATTCAAGTGATTCTCCTGCCTCAGCCTCCCAAGTAGCTGGGATCACAGGCATGTGCCACCACACCTGGCTAACTTTTTATATTTTTAGTAGAGATGGGATTTCACCATGTTGTACAGGCTGGTCTCAAACTCTTGACCTCAGGCAATCCACCCACCTTAGCATCCCAAAGTGCTAGGATTACAGGCATGAGCCACCGCGCCTGGCCAAGCCTACTATTCTTTAGTTATTGTTTCTTTCATGTTTATAATTGACACAAGTAAATTTATTTATTGAACCAATTTGTTCAGGTAAGTACAGGCTTTATAAGTCATGAGGATTTTTAAAAATATAAATGTAGCAAAAAACATGAAAGTGCTTGCTGTATAACAGATGCTCCATAATAAGCCATAAATATTTCTGCTGGAGTTAGTTTGTAACTTCAAGTCAGAGATGGAAAATATGAATTGTGAAGAAATAACTAACTATTCATGTGAAGAGAACATTTATTACAGGCTGCAAAGCTGAATTTTGCTGAATTTAAACAAATTCTGCTTCTGTTACATTCTAATTATCTTCAGTTTTGTCATTTTATTGTATTCCAACTATGTATGCATTACAGCCCGTCTCCTTTTTCTGTGTTGTGATTACAGTTTACTCACTGTTGTCTTCATGCCGTGTCATTTCACTTGGTACTTTGTAGGTTCTGATGAGAAAGTTGGTATTTTTTAATGCACTAAAAAATTGGTTTTAACTGGAGAGTTTATTAATATAACTTTCAGATCAGTTAATTAACATAATAGGCATACACTGTCGACAGATGAGAGGATTAAATCAGTTAGCATTGTTTTCCTATGTGTGTAAAAGGAAAATTTTATTAGTTTCTTACACAAATTGTGGCATATATAAAATTTGCTAGAAAATATATCTTAGAAATTCTTAAGAGTTAATGGTGAGTGAAGAATTTTAAATTAAATTTTTTTTTTTTTTTTTTTTTTGAGACAGAGTCTTGCTCTGTTGCCCAGGCTGGAGTGCAGTGGCACAATCTCGGCTCACTGCAAGCTCCGCCTCCCAGGTTCACGCCATTCTCCTGCCTCAGCCTCCGAGTAGCTGGGACTACAGGTGCCCGCCAGCACGCCCGGCTAATTTTTTGTATTTTTTTAGTAGAGACGGGGTTTCACCGTGTTAGCCAGGATGGTCTCGATCTCCTGACCTCATGATCCGCCCGCCTCGGCCTCCCAAAGTGCTGGGATTACAGGCGTGAGCCACCGCGCCCAGCCTAAATTAAATTTTTTATGATACACTTATAGCGCATCTTATGTTTCCATGCAGTTTTTTTTTAATTTTATGTGTAAATGTGAAGTGTTGCAAAATAATAAAAGGAACTCTGTGGGTTTGAAATTTGGAATAATATTTTTTTCCATGTTGATGTTACAATTTGGAGAAATTTTTCTCTTATTCTATGTAAAATTTTTAGGGGGTGTAAAGTTCAGTCTACAGTGTTCATTCTTAGTCACCTAACTGTAGCCAACTCCCTTGTCATTTTCTCTGGAAAAATTTTGGGATCATGGCAGCTTTTGGATTAAAATATTTTCTGTTAATTTGTAAGTGAACTTGTTTACTGTGTGGGTAGTCATGGAACCATAAGCAACACCTGACCTTTTAGTGTTTTCCATATTATTAAAATCTGCACCAGAAATTCCAGGTTTCCCAAGCTTTAAGTAAAAGCCCTAAAGTACATTGGCTTCTCCTATGTACTGTGCTGGGTCCAGAACATGCAGTTAAGTATCAAAGTTCTTATGCTTATGACTGACAAATTAAGTGACAAAAACAGCACAAAAATTACATATTTTTGGTATCATTCAACCAAGTTTATGACAAAAACACAGTATTTGAAACATTGTTATCCTCTTATAATGTTTAAAAATATATATATATATATATATATATATATTTTTTTTTTTTTTTTTTTTTTTTTTTTTTGAGACGGAGTCTCGCTCTGTCGCCCAGGCTGGAGTGCAGTGGCGCGATCTCGGCTCACTGCAAGCTCCGCCTCCCGGGTTCACGCCATTCTCCTGCCTCAGCCTCCCGAGTAGCTGGGACTACAGGCGCCCGCTACCACGCCCGGCTAATTTTTTGTATTTTTAGTAGAGACGGGGTTTCACCGTGTTAGCCAGGATGGTCTCGATCTCCTGACCTCGTGATCCGCCCGCCTCGGCCTCCCAAAGTGCTGGGATTACAGGCGTGAGCCACCGCGCCCGGCCTAAAAATATATTTTTAACATGACAGATAAAATGTGTATTTATTCGGTAAAACATAATTATTTTATTTTATTTTATTTTATTTTTCTTGAGACAGAGTCTCACTCTGTCGCCAGGCTGGAGTACAGTGGTGCAATCTCGACTCACTGCAACCTCCACCTCCCGGGTTCAAGCAGTTCTCCTGCCTCAGCCTCCCAAGTAGCTGGGACTATAGGCGTGTGCCACCACGCCCAGCTAATTTTTGTCATTTTAATAGAGATGGGGTTTCACCATGTTGGCCAGGCTGGCCTTGGTCTCTAGACCTTGTGATCCACCTGCCTTGGCCTCCCAAAGTGCTGGGATTACAGAGATGAGCCACCATGCCTGGCCAAACATGTTTTGAAGTATGTATACATTGTCAAATGATTAATTCTTAATTGCTTTACCTCACATAGTTAACATTTTTCTAGTGAGAGAATCTTGTCTTCACATTTTTCAAAAATACGTTATTATGAATTAAAGTCACCAGCCTGCAAAATAAATCTCTTAAACTCATTCCTCCTAACAAACTATAATTATGTATTCTTTAACAGATAACTTTCCAACCCCTTTTTTCTAAATATCTTAGCATCTGGTTGTCACCATGTTACTCTCTACTTCAATGAGATTAAGTTATTTAGAATCTATGTCTAAGTGAAATCATGAGATATTTATCCTTCTGTGCCTGGCTAATTTCAGCTAATATACTGTCTGCCAGGTTTAGCCATGTGATTGAAAATAACAAAATTGTATTCTCTTAGAGCCCACATAGCCAAAGCAAGACTAAGCAAAAAGAACAAATCTGGAGGCATCACATTACCTTACTTCAAACTATAAGGCTATTGTCTATATTGACTATAAGGCTATTGTCACCAAAACAGCATGGTGCGGATATACAAATAGGCACATAGACAATAAACGTGTGTGTAAGTATTTTTTTTCATATAATGACTTCTTTTCCTCTGGATAGATACCTAGTAGTGGGATTGCTGGATCAAACAGAAGATCTACTTTAAGTTCTTTAAAAAATTTTCACACTGTTTTTCATAGTAGTTGGGCTAGTTTACATTCACACCAAAAGTGTAAAATCATTCCTTTTTCACCACATCCCTGGCAACATGTCCTATTTTTTTATTTTTTGATTATGATCATTATTGCAGGAGTGAGGTGGTATCACATTGTGGTTTTGATTTGCACTTCTCTGATAATTAGGTATATTGAGCATGTTTCCATATGCCTGTTGGCCATTTGTATATCTTCTTTTGAGAATTGTCTGTTTATGTTCTTAGCCCACTTTTTCATGGATTTTTTTTTTTTTTTTTTTTTTTTGCGGATTCGTATGAGTTTTCTGTAGATTCTGGATATTAGTCTTTTGTCAGATGTATAGATATTAGTCTTTTGTCAGATGTATAGATTGTGAAGATTTTCTCTCACTCTGTGGGTTATCTGTTAACTCGGCTGATTATTTATTTTGCTTTTCAGAAGGTGTTCAGTTTAATTAAGCCCCATCTATTTATCTTTGTTTTTGTTGCATTTTCTTTTAGATTCTTGGTCATAAAGTCTTTGAGTAAGCCAATGTCTAGAAAAATTTTTCAATGTTATCTTCTAGAATTTTTATAGTTTCACGTCTTAGATTTATGTCTTTTGTCCCTCTTGAGTTGATTTTTGTATAAGGTGAGAGATGAGTTTTCAGTTTTATTCTTCTACATGTGGCTTGCCAATTATCCCAGCATTATTTCTTGAATAGGGTGTCCTTTCCGCACTTTATGTTTTTGTTTGCCTTGTCAAAAATCAGTTTACTGTAAGTATTTGGGTTTATTTCTGGGTTCTTTATTCTGTTCTATTGGTCTGTGTGCCTATTTTTATAACAGTACAGTGCTGTTTTGGTGACTATGGGTTTATAGTATAGTTTGCTGTCAGGCAATATGATGCCTCCAGATTGTTCTTTTTGTTCAGTCTTGCTTTCACTATGTGAGCTCCTTTTTGGTTCTGTATGAATTTTATGATTGTTCTAGTTCTGTGAAGAATGATGTTGATATTTTCATGGGAACTGCATTGAATTTTTATATTGCTTTTGGCAGTATAGTCATTTTCACAATATTGATTCTACCCATCCATGAGAATGGGATGTGTTGTCATTTGTTTGTGTCATCTGTGATTTCTCTCAGCAGGGTTTTGTAATTTTTCTTGTAAGGTATTTCATGTTTTTGTTTAGGTATATTTCTAAGTTTTTTTTGTTTGTTTTTTTGCAGCTATTATAAAAAGTGTCGCATTCTTGATTTGATTCTCAGTTTGGTCGCTGTTGGTATATAGCAGAGCTACTAATTTGTGTACATTAATTTTGTATCCTGAAACTTCATTGAATTCATTTATCACTTCTAGAAACTTTTTGGAAGAGTCTTTAGGGTTCTCTAGGTATCTGACCATATCATCAGCAAACAGCAACAGTTTAACTTTCTCTTTGCTGCTTTGGATACCTTTTATTTCTTCTTCCTGTCTGCTCTGGCTAGGACTTCCAGTACTATGTTAAAGAGAAATGGTGAGAGTAGACATCCTTGTCTTGTTCCAGTTCTCAAAGAATGTTTTCAACTTTTTCTCATTCAGTATTATGTTGAGTGTGTGGTTGTCATAAATGGCTTTTATTACATTGAGGTATGTCCCATGTATGCCAGTTTTGCTGAAGGTTTTAATTATAAAGTGATGCTAAATTTTGTCAAATGATTTTTCTGCATCTATTAATTATGTGATTTTTGTTTTTAATTCTGTTGATGTGGTGTATCACATTTATTGACTTGCATATGTTAAATAATACCTGCGTTTCTGATATAAAACCTTCATGATTATGGTGGATTATCTTTTTGATATGCTGTTGAATTAAGTTAGCTAATATTTTGTTAAGAATTTTTGTGTCTACATTCATCAAGAATATTGGTCTGTAGTTTGCTTATTTGGTTATGTTCTTTTCTGGTTTTGGTATTGGGGTGATATGGGCTTCATAGAATGACTTAGAAAATTCCCTCTTTCTCTATCTTTTGAAATATTGTCAAAAGAATTTATATCAATTCTTCTTTGAATGTCTGGTAGAATTCAGCTGTGAATTCATCTGATCCTGTACTATTTTTTTGTTGGTAATTGTTTAATTACCATCAATCTTGTTGCTTGTTATTGGTCTCTTCAGGGTTTCTAATTCTTCCTGATTAAATCTAGGAGGGTTGTATTTTTCCAGGCATTTATCCATTTCCCCTAGATTTTCTAGTTTATGTATGTAAAGGTGTTCATAGTAGCCTTGAATAATCTTTTGCATTTTTATGGTGTCAGTTGTAATGTCTCCTTTTTCATTTCTGATTGCACTTATTTGGATTTTTATCTCTTCTTGGTTAATCTTGCTAATGTCCTATTAATTTTACTTATCTTTTCAAAGAACCAGCTTTTTGTTTCTTTTTTTTTTTTTTTTTTTTTCGAGACAGAGTCTTGCTCTGTCACCTAGGCTGGAGTGCAGTGGCGTGATCTCTGCTCACCGCAAGCTCCGCCTCCCAGGTTCACGCCATTCTCCTGCCTCAGCCTCCCAAGTAGCCGGGACCACAGGCGCCCAACACCACGCCCGGCTATTTTTTTTTTTTTTTTTTTTTTTTTTTTTGTATTTTTAGTAGAGACAGGGTTTCATCGTATTAGCCGGGATGGTCCCGATCTCCTGACCTCGTGATCTGCCTGCCTCTGCCTTCCAAAGTGCCGGGATTACAGGCATGAGCCACCGCGCCTGGCCTTCATTTATCTTTTGAATTTTTTTTGTTTCAGTTTTATTTAGTTCTGCTCTGATCGTGGTTATTTTCTTTCTTTTGTTGAGTTTGGGTTTGGTTTGTTCTCGTTTCTCTGATTTCTTGAGATGTGACCTTAGATTGTCTATTTAGTATCCAGTTTCTTCAATAGCCTGACAGGCCGAAAATTCCTCTAAGTTGTTTCTTAGTGATGGACATTGGGAAAACTAAAATTCCTCTCACTCTGTCAGGTTAATAATCAGTCCTTTGACCGAGATTATATGCCCCAAATATTTAACTTGCCATAAGCATAGCTAAAGTTTGTCTTCAGGCACTTTGTGTTCCTTGGTGGCTAACTCTTTGAGTAAATATAGGCTATCTTCCTGGGAGAAAGATAGTGTGTCTGAACAAAGGAGAAGGTCTTCTACTGAATGAGTGTTGAGCCCTGGGTCTTTCCAAGTAAAGGCAACAAATACTGGCTGTCTGGATCTACAGGAATACTGAAAAAGGCACTACAGCGATCCACACTGAGAAACACTGGCTGGTAGTGGGTATAACTGATAGAAAGTATGTGGTTGCAGACTGTTGGGTGCCTGGGTAATACGACATTGTTTATTGACCTCTAGTCCTGCACAAATCTCCATCCTCTCCCACTTTTTTTTTTTTTATTGGGAATATAGGGTTGTTGCAGGGGCTTGTGCAGGGAATAATGAGCCCCTATTTCAGATAATCGTGTATTATAGGGGCATGTCCATCTATGGCTTCTTTTCATAGAGGATACTGTTTAAGGTTGGGTAGGGGTTTTGGGGGGTTTATCTCTACCTTTATTGGAGTGGCTGAGTATACTTTTTTCTTTATCTGTATTTGACTGAGACCATAAGTGGGAGGGGACATCCTTGAGCAAGTGTTCCACTTCTGGGGTTAACAGAAAAATTAGAGAAGCTGAAAGGAGTTTTATTGTTTCCTGCTCTTTATTCCCATATTTTCTCTTCTCCCCTAGTATTTTCTCCTCTGTCTCCATTTTATTTGCCTGGTCACAAGATGATGTTTTAACATTACTAGTACTAAATTGTGGTACATTGTCAGGACATTTTTTAATTTGATATTTTTGGTCCCCTGGCTCCAATTATAAAAAAAGTTTACCTTTTGATGAAAAAGAGATATAGGCATCATGGGTGTTGAGAAGATCATAGCCCAAAAGATTGACAGAGGCCGCAGGGCATATAAGAAACATATGGGACCTACTGAGCACGTCACACTTAGAGCCTGCTGTAAGGAATCTGAACCCCATGAAATGATAAGGTATAGGTTTCGACTTAAAACATAAGATCCTTTTATTAGACATACCTACCATGTTAATTCTTTCATTATCCAAGGAATGGGGTTTTTAAATAAGGTGGGATTTATCAGAGATATAGTCATGCCAGTGTCAATTAAGGCAGTTGTGTCAAAGGCCTGTGAACCAGAACAACTTCATCTTTAATAGGAGCTGGGTAAAATGAGGCTGAAACCTACTGGGCTGCATTCCCAGGTGGCTAAGGCATTCTAAGTCACTGGATGAGATAGGAGGTCACCACAAAATACAGGTCATACATACCTTGCTGGTAAAACAGATTGCAGTAAAGGAGCCAGCCATAATTCACCAAAACCAAAATAGCGACAAGAGTGACCTCTGGTCCTCACAGCTACACTCCCACCAGTGCCATGACAGTTTACAAATGCCATGGCAACATCAGGAAGTTACCCTATATGGTCTAAAAAGGGGAGGCATGAATAATCCACCCCTAGTTTAGCATATCATCAAGAAATAACCATAAAAATGGACAACCACCAGTCCTCGGGGCTGCTCTGTCTATGGAGTAGCCATTCTTTTATTCCTTTACTTTCTTAACAAACTTGCTTTCACTTTGCACTGTGGACTCTCCCTGAATTCTTTATTGTGCAAGATCCAAGAGTTCTCTCTTGGGATCTGGATTGCGACTTTTTTCCTGTAACATATTTCTGGTGACCACAGAACAGACTATATTGCAGAAACCCTGACCCAATGGCTACCTTTAGGTAAGTGTTGGGGTCCTGTAACATCTTTCTGGCAAACCTGGAAGGGACAATACTGAAGGAACTCTTTGGGTTGGGAAGGAAATAGACTGCAGCACTGATTGGATGACTTTGGGTTACCCGCATAAAGAATGGGATTGGGTTAGAGGCCCAACTTAGGGGAGTTAGAGTCTCCCCTAATACACAGTGGGTTAGAGGACCCTCTTAATAAAAGGCAAGGACGCTTGACTGACCTCAGGTTAGAGGCCTGACTTAGGAGGGTTAGAGTCCCTTCTAAGATTTAGGGAGTTAGAGGTCCCTTTCAGTAAAGTAAGAACAGGTAAGAACAGGTTTGGCAACTGCTATTCTCTTTGGATTAAACTTTCTTGCAGTCTTTGCTGATGGCTGTGGGTGACAGGGTTAGGCATGTACAGGATTGTGGGACATAGGGAGCTTTTTCGTCCCTAAAAGGGGAAACTTGAGAGCTGATGGGACTGCTGGAAAACATCCCCTTGCTACCAACAAGCGGCTGCCTGAACTTTTCATTGTCGACCCACATGAGTGGGTCTTTTCTCTGGCCTCCCTAAGCATTTCACCTTCCCCACCCTGCCACAGGCAATACTTTCCTTCTCTACTTTTCCTTTTTTATCTTTTCTGTTACTCAGGGCAACCTTATTGCCCAGAGACCACATGTTGAAACTCCAAGTTGGAGGTTGAATTAAAGATGATGAAGCCCATCTGGAGGCAAATTTAAGCCTTGTCAGTTGATATTGGGCACTAAGCAGAGTAGCTTATGTCTGTGTTTTATCACACGTATTTTGCTCTGGCCAGAATGAAAAAAAAAAATTTTCCTTTATGATGTGACTTGGCCCCCAGGGCAATGGTGCCACAAGCCTGATCACTGGGGCCACTCAGGGTAAAGGAACCCAGAAGCCTGGCATGCCGTCAAAAGGGTAAAAATTTCTTAGTAGTCAGATTTCTGGCTTCTCTCTCTCTCTGCGCAAATGGTTGAATGAATGGTTAAAAATAAAAATTAAAAATAAGTGTGGCCAGGTGCGGTGGCTCATGCCTGTAATCCCAGCACTTAGGGAGGTTAAGGCCGGCGGATCACCTGAGGTTGGGAGTTCAAGACCAGCCTGATCAACATGGAGAAACCCTGTCTCTACTAAAAATACAAAATTAGCCAGGCGTGGTGGCGCATGCCTGTAATCCCAGCTATTCGGGAGGCTGAGGCAGGAGAATAACTTGAACCCACAGGCAGAGGTTGCAGTGAGCCGAGATTGCGCCATTGCACTCCAGCCTGGGCAACAAGAGCAAAACTCCGTCTCAAAAAAATAAATAAATAAAATAAGTGTTTATCTTCTCTGTAAAGCTTTGACTAATGCAAAAAAGAATTCTAAGGGTAGTCTTAAGCTGGTATATTTTGTGCTACAGATTCATTTTTCTGTGTCAAGGGGTACTTCAGGATAAAACAGGCTTAGAACACCTGGAAGCTGCCTTTTTTTTTTTTTTTTCTTTTTGAGATGGAGTCTCACTCTGTCTCCCAGGCTGGAGTGCAGTGGCACAATCTCAGCTCACTGCATCCTCCACCTCCTGGGTTCAAGCAATTCTCCTGCCTTAGCCTCCTGAGTAGCTGGGATTACAGGCGCCCGCCACCATGCCCAGCTAATTTTTTTTTTTTTAGTAGAGATGGAGTTTCACCACCTTGGCCAGGCTGGTCTTGAACTTCTGACCTCGTGATCCACCTGCCTCGGCCTTTCAAAGTCCGTGAGCCACCACGCCTGGACTGTAAGCTGCTTCTCAAGACATCCCAGCAAGCTGGTTAGTAACAAACTTGGCTGCAGGTCCCTGAAACAAACAAAAAACTGGATGAAGTCTCCAACTTGTTTTATGTCCTTGGGAGCTTGACCTTTTAATCACGTGGTGGTACTTTCTCTTGATCTCAACCTTCCAGGGAACAGGAATTTTAGGGTTCATGTCATAGTTAGCTCTAAAAATCATATTAAATAGTTAAAAAGCCTTTGCAAGCTCAAAATTAACTACTCTAGGCTCCTAGGAAAGGAAATGAAGACTGTCTTATGCTGTAGCTCAGTAGCTAAGGTTTTTGCACTTTCACAGTGGCGGTCCAGGTTTGATTCCCCACTTAGGAAGTAAGTCGTTTTTGGTTTAATATCTGCGTGACCTTGTCTATTCTCTTCTTCTCTGCAGACTGTCTTAAATTTTTCTTTCTCTAAGCACCTGGGCAGTTATCTTTGGTTAAGTTTAAAAAGCCAGAAATATCAGCCATTTGGCATAAAAAATCCTAAAAGGACTTTATTAAAGAGTGCTATGATTAAAATCAGTTTAATTAAAAGTGAATGTTCAAGCTTTAACAGCCTGGACTCCTTGGGAAAAACAGGAGGCACCAGAGACCCCTTTCCTGGCCCTGTTCTTCCAAGGGCTCCACCCTAAAGTCAGTAATCCAATTAAGACTTAAAAACTGGCAAATGAAAAATCTTACAACTACTGTAGTAATCTTCTTCTGTCCTTCTGTGTAGCTATAGATGTGTTGTGTATAATGTTTATATAAAAGGGCTCTAATTAATTGGTTGAAACAAAAATAAGTGCTTAAATGCAATATTATAAAAGCAAAATAAAAACTGTAATGCCTTTTAGTTCATGTAACTTTAGTAATCTTTGGGAAATAAAAATTTCCCAAATTTTTGTTTTTGTTTTTTTTTTTTTTTTTGAGACAGAGTTTCATTCTTGTTGCCCAGGCTGGAGTGCAATGGAGCGATCTCCACTCACTGCAACCTACACCTCCCTGGTTCAAGCAATTCTCCTGCCTCAGCCTCCTGAGTAGTTGGGACTACAGGCATGCACCACCACGCCCAGCTGATTTTTGGGATTTTAGTAGAGACAGAGTTTCACCATGTTGGCCAGGCTGGTCTCAAACTCCTGACCTCAGGTGATCCACCCACCTCAGCCTCCCAAAGTGCTGGGATTACAGGCGTGAACCACCATGCCTGGCCTCAAATTTTTCTGGGGAAAAAAATTATTGATAAATAAAAGTTATTGATAAGATAAAAACATTTAGACTAAATTATGCCGGTCAGATATTAAGTTTGTTAAATGCTTTAAGGTTATCAACTGCTTCTTTAACTTTTAAAAATTGTTCAATTTACTTACCCTAAAGCCATTAGATTCTAGATAAGGCCTGGGAACATGTTCTAGATAAGGCCTGGGAACATGTGGAATTACCCATTCCTCCTAGCTATACAAAGAAGATTATAAAGAAAGAGATTTTATAAGAAAGGATCTTGTATAGTAAATTCTTGTCCTAAAGTAAAATGACTGGTTGTTTAAAAGGAGGGATGTTTAGGGCAAGTCAAAAAATCCAAGAATGCCTCAAATAGTCTGTGTAACTCATGAAAGGATTTGTGAAAGGGAATTTATGCAAAAAAATGTTGTACAATTCAAAGGTTGTTAGGCCTCCTAAATGCTTCATAAAATGCCAGTATAACTCTTACTGTACAACTTGCCTGCTTAATTGAGATAAGGCCTAGGGACATGTGGAGTTAGCCACGCCCCCTAGCTATGCTGGAGAGTCAACCCTTATTTGCACTTCTGCCTGGTGTGTCCTAGGCTAGGATCCACACCTAGTACACAATTAAAATCCCTTACTTACCAAGGTTTTCACCAAAAATAAAAGTTCCTAAGAGTTAACATTATAACATGTAATTGAAACTACTAAAGAAACAATTCTACATGCAAGGTGTTTTTTGGTGAAAGTTTATAAGAGGTCATGGAAATGTGGATTTTTTTCTGCCTAGATTGAAGTGTTAAAAGATTGTTTTAAGTAAGAAAAAAATCTAAAGGTTTAAACAAGTTGTGGAAGGTTTATAAAATTAATTGTAAGAGATCCTGTGTGTGGACATATTGGCTAAAGTTAAAGGGGTATTATTCAGTTTTCCATAAATTAAACATTGGAATAAAAGCACAATAGGTTTTTCTAAAAGTACTGATCTGCTCTTTCACACCAATCAATGTAAAAGTTTATAAAAGGTTTATAAGAATCTTACCTTATGGTTAAACATTAAAATTGGGTAAATATGTCTATTAGGTTTTATTGGGTTTGACATTAATAGTACATTAATGTAAAGATGAAATTTGGCTTATGTGGTATAAAAATCTTACAGGACGCATCAAATTTGAAATGATGTTTTCCTTTTTTTGGACTATATTTGCATAAATTTGTTATTGGTATATGTTCCAAAGTTATGGGAAACTTCTATTATTCTAATATGACAGTGTATGTTATTAATAATTATCATTGTTATGTAAAATTTTGTGTGCCACAGAGGTAACCAAATTTCCTTATCAGTTGTGGCTTTAATAGTGGCTATCCTAAAACTTTTTATTATCCATAGATAGTTGTTTAATCCTCTTTAGAAGATGGCTTATAATCAACTATAGAACTAGCAGGTGTTCTTAAATGCAGGTTTCTAATAACTTTGGAAATTGTAACATTGGAATAAAGGAAACAACTTTTAGAACTCTCATTAAGAGGTGGAGTGTTCATGAATGGAATGTTCAGTTAACAGGAGTTAACTGAATTAACTGAACCAATAGAAAACTGAAGTAATCTTTTTAACTTTGATTAAAACACTTCTGATCTTTTGTTTTGTTTTTCAGAGTCAAGGAAACTTTTCTTTTGAGCTAGTTACAGCTTTTAACAGTTGAGGTACTCCTATGAACAAAATTTGGAACATATTTATTTCTCTCTACCTGATTTCTTCAGAATTTGGAAACTAGTTTTGAATGTTCTTAACTTACAGCAATATAGTTATCTGCATAAGGGCAATAAGAATCTGTTTTCTTTTACAACAGGACACAATTGGAGAAACTGGTTATTTTACCAAGGCTTTGACTGGAATGATGTGCTTTCCTTTAAGGAATCAAACTTGACTTGTAGAGCCAGTAAAAGCCCTTTGGGGAACTGGGCTCATACCTTGCCTACAACAGTCCCTGTACATGGTTTCTTATCTGTGGTAAGTAAATAATGTCACTTTCTGACAGGTCCAGAAGCCCCAAGTTATCTTGGGACCCCAAGAGGAGAAGAATTTACTCAACTCATAGTTATTGGAGGGTACAAACTGATGGCTGAGCTTGGCTTTAAAAAGTCTTATATAAGATTCCTTCTATGGAACAGAATTCCATCAAAGCCAATTTAAAAAGAGCCGATGTGAAAAATAATTATTCTTACTGCACTTTATACAAATAATCAGGCCAAGTATAATAAAGAAATTTGTCTTACCATGATTTGCCATTAGTAAAAATGGGAAACTGGAGAGAGGGATATTATGTTTCAAAAACTACAGTATACTTGTTATTAGATTCTAGTCTCATTAGTTGTTTTTAAGTTTGTTTCTGCAATTTAGGCTAACCCTGCTTATTCCTGTGAACCAACCAGTGATCTCTGACTGCTGCTCAGAAGAAACAAGAGGGATAGGTAATATAAAAATCTGGATCAATATTCTTATTCTGGGCACATTGCAATCAGCTAGCAACCCCATATCATCTTGGTTTCAACAGTTGCCCAGTTCACAGAAAGCCTTCTAATTTAGTTTACTTTGAATAACTTTACTTATTTTGTCTCACTGTTGTGAAATGTATTGCTGTTATACTCTGTGTAGAAATACAGGACAAGCTTACTGAATGTTTCCTTAAACTAAACACTCCTTAATGTTCCAGATACCACCTTTTGTTGAAACTCAAGAGTTATAAAGGGACCTTACCATACTGATACCTTCTTACTGAGCTCCTCTCTACCCTGAATGCAAGAGACCCTCATAGCTAGGCAGGAATATTATCACCCCTATTCATCATGAAGAAGTTACAGAAGATGGCTCTTCATCCCTCTGAAACCCTTAGGGCTAATGGTTCTCTTATAAAAGGGAGGGGGGAAATATCAGAGGTGTGTGAACCAGAGCAACTCCATCTTGAATAGGAGCTGGGTAAAATGAGGCTGAAACCTACTGGGCTGTATTCCCAGATGGTTAAGGCATTCTAAGTCACAGGATGAGATAGGAGGTCACCACAAAATACGGGTCATACATACCTTGCTGGTAAAACAGATTGCAGTAAAGGAGCCAGCCATAATTCACCAAAACCAAAATAGCGACAAGAGTGACCTCTGGTCCTCACTGCTACACTCCCACCAGTGCCATGACAGTTTACAAATGCCATGGCAACATCAGGAAGTTACCCTATATGGTCTAAAAAGGGGAGGCATGAATAATCCACCCCTTGTTTAGCATATCATCAAGAAATAACCATAAAAATGGACAACCAGCAGCCCTCAGGGCTGCTCTATGGAGTAGCCATTCTTTTATTCCTTTACCTTTTTAATAAACTTGCTTTCACTTTGCATTGCAGACTCTCCCTTAATCCTTTCTTGCGCAAGATCCAAGAACCCTGTTTCAGGATCTGGATCAGGACACCTTTCCTGTAACAGTTTTAAGCTCATGGTTTATTATATTAATCTCTCTCAATTTGTTCATCAGGATAGAATATTTGGAGAGGTGAAACTTCTGTACTTCCTCAGAGCACCCCTAGTCTTCCTGAATTGCATTTTCCTGCCTTTTCTTTCATTTCAGCCTAAGAGAATCCCTTTTAAGGTGTCCTGATCCTTTACAGTAGTAACAGACTGGGAGGGAAAGAGTTCTCAGACCAAGGGAGCTTAAAATCTTTCTACAGCTGACAGGTTTGAGAACTTAATTGCTTTAGCTGTAAGTGGGCACTCTTCTGCTTTTCTTTTTTTATCATAGTGTAGGATAATTGGTCAGCTAAGTTAACTAGTTTACTAGTTCTTACTGTGGCCCAGTTTGTTATGTGGCATTTTACAAGGCTGGCTAAATCATCATCTACTCCATTTAAGAAATTCACATTTAATAATGTATCATTTTATTGTTTTCAAAGCAATCAGCTCACATCCCACAATATTGTCTTAAAAGTTTTATCAAAATGTGTGAAATAATCTAAAACTGATTTATTTGGGTTCTGGTGGCATTGTTGGATTTTTTTCCAATCCACAACCCTTTGGAACACTGAAGGAATAACATTTAACAGAGCAATCGCTCATTCCCATGCATCTTTACACCTGTCTTCTGGATTTTGGGGGCTGGTTGTTGTGGCTCTATTGGACCTTCAGGGGCTAAATCAGCTATAGGGTCTGACCATTGTGCTTTTTTCCAGCCATTCGTTATCTTTAGCTTCTGAGACCAACATGTGAACTAGCAGATAAAGGTCTGAATGACCTGGGTCATAGGTTCTGATAATGAGCTCAAATTCTTGGGTACACCTGATTGGAACTTTATGGGAGTCAGGACTTTTTTTTTTTTTTTGAGATGGAGTCTTACTCTATAGCCCAAGCGGGAGTGCAGTGGAGCGATCTCAGCTCACTGCCACCTCCACCTCCTGGGCTCAAGCGATTCTCATGCCTCAGCCTCCTGAGCAGCTGGGACTACAGGCACACGCCACCAAGCCCAGCTAATTTTTTGTATTTTAGTAGAGATAAGATTTCACCATGTTGCCCAGGGTGGTCTCGAACTCCCGAGCTCAGGTGATCCACCCACCTCAGCCTCCCAAAGTGCTGGGATTACAGGCATGAACCACCGCACCCTAGCAGGAATTTTTTAAATTATGCTTCATAATTCAGTCTTTGACCAAGGTTAGTAGAAAATAACCTGGGTTCCCCTACCTGTTACTTTTTGTTCCTGAAATGGGGCAATCATGAGAGATGGTCCTTCTTTTTTACATCTTCCAGATGAGACACTGCCATTGGGGCTTTAAGGGAACTGTCAGTGGGTGAGGCCTTTTTTAAGTCAGATTCTGGACTGCCTTCTGTTGAGCGAGTGTGAAAGGGCACAGGTCTGGTCTGGGAAGTTCAGAGAGGACAGGGTAGAGTGGTGCTGTAGGTGGAGGTGAGGGTGGTGCGAAGGGGGAAGTAAGGGATTTTGAGTGTTTTTTGAGAGACATAAGATTAGAGAGTTCCTGATTAGTAGTTCTAAGTTGCTTGTTCGCCTCCTGTAGGGAGGTGAGGCAGTCTTTGCCCCGTTTGCTACTCTCCAAATACCACTAAAAATAACTCTCCCATTCTGGCCGCTTAGATTTGTGCCTGAATTTTTCATCCTGGTTCACAGGTACACTAATTTAGGCATCTCAAAAGATCCCAATTTAGGCCATTGGAATTTAGAATCTGCTTTAGTTACAGTGGCCCACTTAGTTAAATGTTTGCATGATGATTTACCATAAGCATTTTGCATATACCCAGCGGAGTTTCCAAAGGCAGAACCTTATTTTCTGCAGCACGCGGGGTCTTAGAGGCCTTGTTCCCCATAATTTAGAGCTCCTCTTCAGATTTGATCAAGTAGGGACATGTGTCAAACCCAAAATGTGCTGCTTTCAGACCTAGCTTTTCAGGGCCGTTACCCCCTGAACCGGTTCAGTCCACCTGTGTCGAAGCTACTTGGCACAAATGTGTCAGGGGCTCAAGGTGCAGTAGGGTTTGGCTCGTTATATGCCCCTGCTAGATGAGATTGGATTCTAAATATGTTCTTCTGAAAGGGGAAACCTATTTAGAACATCTGCACGTTTTAGGGAGCATTTCTCCTAGACACCCTCACATGATTCCCAGTCATCTGAGAATGCCCCAAAAGGCTGAGGGGAGCAAGGTGCTG
This sequence comes from Homo sapiens, assembly GCF_000001405.40. NCBI lineage: Eukaryota > Metazoa > Chordata > Mammalia > Primates > Hominidae > Homo > Homo sapiens. Next base: position 64,490,998 of record NC_000007.14, read on the forward strand.
TATTTCTTCAGAGTGGAAGATTACAAACTCATGAGCTAGAGGGTTCAAAGTTGGTCAAATCTGATAAGGGAAAGGACCAAAACACACACATACACAACACACACACGCACCAAAAAACAAAAACAAAAACGTTAAGCATAACAACAATCACACAAAATATACAGTTTCTGAGTGCTCTAAGTGTAGGCAGGAAATTAACAACAGCTAGTTGTTAATGCTATTATGCTATTTCAGTCATTTAAAAGAATTTGCACCTGGGTGTGGTGGCTCATGCCTGTAATCCCAGCACTTTGGGAGGCTGAGGTGGGCAGATTACGAGGTCAAGAGATTGAGACCATCCTGGTCAACATGGTGAAACCCCGTCTCTACTAAAAATACAAAAATTAGGCCGGGTGCAGTGGCTTACGCCTGTAATCCCAGCACTTTGAGAGGCTGAGGCGGGCAGATCACAGGGTCGGGAGTTTGAGACCAGCTTGACCAACATGGTGAAACCCGTCTCTACTAAAAAAAAATACAAAAATTATCCGGGCATGGTGTTGTGTGCCTGTAATCCCAGCTACTCGGGAGGCTGAAGCAGGAGAATTGCTTGAACCTGGGAGGCGGAGGTTGCAGTTAGCCGAGATTGCACCACTGCACTCCAGGCTGGGCAACAGAGCGAGACTCCGTCTCAAAAAAAAAAAAAGAAAGAAAAATTAGCCAGGCGTGGTGGCATGCACCTGTAATTCCAGCTACTGGGGGGGTTGAGGCAGGAGAATCGCTTGAACCTGGGAGGCGGAGATTGCAGTGAGCCCGGATTGCCCCACTGCACTCAAGCCTGGGCAATAGAGTGAGACTCAGTCTCAAAAACAAGAACAACAACAACAACAAAAAAAAAAAAGGAAAGAGAACGAGAGAAAGAAGAATTTGCAAGGCAGAATCCCAAACCAGTTTCTTACCTACTTATGGGGCCCATGCTGGAGAAGACTCTCTGCCGATGCAGAAGCAAAAGAGTCTTTTTAACAGCAAATAAACCTCCGACCCCCAGCTGAAAAACGCGGAAAATCAGGGATCCCTGGAGAAAAGGGGTCCCAGACTTCCGTAAATTTCCTGTCGGTTCAGGCCATAAGGTGCCCAAGCCGGTACCAAGCACTGAAAGGTGAACTGCCACAAGCCAGGTAAGTCACTTTCAGTCAGGATCCCTCTGTGGTTACCAGATGTCAGTCGAAGTAAACAACGAAACACATCTCAGTCATTTTAGGAAATTTATTTGCCAAAGTTAAGGACACACCCAGGAGACAGGTCTATGCCTTTTTCTGAAGATGATTTTGAGGGCTCCAAATTTAAAGGGGAAAGGGTGGGATATTGAGAAGCACACAGTTTTTACATAAAAGGGGGCAGAAGAAAAATGTGGGGAATCTGCATTTTACATAACAGACAAAATGGGGTAGGAAAAAAATCAGATATGCATTTGTGTCCGGCGGGCCAGGGTGACTGCACCTGTAAAGATAAGCTATCAAGTTGCATTGCCATGGTGAAGTTTTAACATCTCACCAGGAATTTTCTTGTGTGCAAAATATGGGGGAGGTGTGTAGCCTTTCATCTTGTAACCATCTTATTTAGGAACCAAAAGGGGGAGACAGATTTGTGAGACCCAGTTTCCATGACTAAGATTATCTCAGGAGTACAGGATAAGTTGAACACTAAAATCTATACATGTATATAAAATAGGCACAGAAAAGAGCTCGGTAAAAGCCTTCCAGCAAACTAGAAATAAAAGATGTGATTTTATATTGTAAATATACAAGGTATCTAAAATAAACTACAGCAAATATACATAATAAACTATTAAAAGCTTGTTTTTTAATGTCATAAACATGATAATGATGCTGCTGTAAACATTTTTGTTAACTATTGCATCTGTGGTTCCAGTCAACAGATTAAAATGAGAAATGAGTTATACAATTATACTTGCAAAGAAGAATTAGTCAATAAACTAGTACCTAAACAATTGGTTCTACCTAGGTAGACTGGATACCTGAAAAGCAACTCACACAAAAAACTTGTTCACATAGATTAAGGAATTAAAACTTTTAGGAGAAAATACAGGAAAATATTATAACTGGGGTAAAAATTTTCTAAACATGGCACAAGATAAAAATAATGCATAAAAATATTTATAAATTAGACTATCAATTTTAAACTTGATTATTAATAATGTATAAAAACATGTTTTACTACAGATAATGCAAAGGCAAAGCAAAATTGGGAGAAAATATTTTTAAAAGACATACTACAAAAGATTGATATTTAAAAATATATATATTACAGACCGGCGCTGTGGCTTACACCTGTAATCCCAGCACTTTGGGAGGCTGAGGCGAGTGGATCACCTGAAATCAGGAGTTCAAGACCAGCTGGCCAACGTGTTGAAACCCCATCTCTACTAAAAATACAAAAAAATTAGCCAGGTGTGGTGGTGCGTGTCTGTAATCCCAGCTACTTGGGAGGCTGAGGCAGAAGAATCACTTGAACCCAGGAGGCTGAGGTTGCAGTGAGCCAAGATCACACCATTGCACTCCAGCCTGGGCAACAGGAGAGAAACTTCATCTCAAAAAAAAAAAAAGTTTTTTATATATATTTTTATATATATATATATAACTATTATTTATTAGACTATTATGAATAAGAAAAAGACATTAAATATAGGAGAGATGGCAAGTCTTAGATCTTATTAGATCAATAAACATGAAAAATTCCAACTTCATTAGTAACTATGAAAATGCTAATTAAAACTATAAATGATACACTTTTCTAATTCACCATTTTGTCAAAAATTATGTCTAGTAATTCTAAGTTGGTAAAAATATGGAGTAATTGGAATTCACAAATATCCACTGGCAATAAGATTGATTTATAAATTGATGTATATTTACACTATGCAGCAGTGAAAATGGACAACTACAGCTATGCTAAGCAACATGAAATAATAAAAAAATTATAAATAAAAAAGCAAGTCCCAAATATAAAATGGTAAAATGTATATAAACGCAAAAAACAGGCAACACTAAAATGTATATGGTTTATAGATAAAAATGCATAAATTAAAGAATAACACAAAATTCACATGGTGGTTACTTTGGGTAGGAGGTTAATAAGAGACTTCAGAGGTATCCACTTCTCAGGAGTGTGTGAGAGTTTCATGAAGCCAGCCTGAAAGTTTTATGAGAGTAGAGACCAATACTTTCTTTTCTTCATTTTATTTCCTAAGCCTAGCAAAAAGTATGGCACATTGTGTATGCTCAACACACATTTATTGGTTAAATGAATAAATGCATGCCCTTTGTAAACTGTCAAGGTATGCAAATTGAGACTTTATTATTAGTTACTATAGCTTAGTTAATAGAATCAAATAAAAGGTAATAAACTGTAGCATTCAGAAAGCACTATTAAAAGTTTAATGTTAACCCAGCACTGTTGGGTAAAATAAATTAAAATTTTTCTGTAATCCTAGCACTTTGGGAGGCCAAGCTGGGCGGATCACTTGAGGCCAGGAATTTGAGACCAGCCTGAACAACATTGCAAAACCCCATCTCTACTAAAAATACAAAAATTAGCCAGGCGTGGTGGCGCATGCCTGTAATCCCAGCTACTCAGGAGGCTGAAGCCTGAGAATTGCTTGAACCCGGGAGTCGGAGGTTGCAGTGAGCTGAGATCGCGACACTGTACACCAGGCTGGGCGACAGTGTGAGACTCCGTCTCCAAATTAAAAAAACAAAAAAAGTTTTTAAAGTTGTGACCATTATGATTACATGTAAATTGCCACATGAAGATGGAACATGAAATCTGACTTCAGGTGAGCATAATTTGAAAGGAAAAGGCAAAACAAGAGAAAAGAGTTAAAAAGGACGAAAACTTAATTGGGTCAGATCTGCAGGTTCTACCCTGTGCTGCTTTTTAGGAAAGTTGTCTCCTCTCCTGGCACAGAGGAAGGCTGGCTGGGGGAGCCTGGGCCCCTCTGTCCTCCCCGCGGTGACAGTGGCTGATGTTTGCTCAGGCATGAGGCGCGCCGCAATGCCCTGGGCCTGAGGCTGACGGGCCCCGCCCCTCCTCCTTCCCCTGGACTCTTCCACGATGTCTCTGTGCCCCTGTGCCTTCCTGTGCGTCCCTCTAATGAAAGGGGGCAGTGGCAGCATGAAGCTGGTGGCAGGAACTGGCTCCGCAGGCTGAGGAGGGCTCGCCCAGCTGTGGGAAATGCTCCACTTGACATCGGCTTTCTGTGCACCGATCTGGGCCTCGACCCAGGGTTAGAGCCGTGGCGTCCCTGGCCTGGGCGACCCCGGGGGCTGGCACTCCGGCTGCTGCTGCGGTTGCCGCTGTGCTTGGCTGGGCCGCGGCTGGGACTAGCGCCCACTAGACGTGCAGGAGCCACCCCGCAGGAGGGAGGAGGTGGTATCCATGTTCCCTGAAAAACAGGCTCTGCTGACAAATCTCAGACGCCAGGAACAGAAGAACCGAAAGAAACTGCAAGAGTTTGAGCCAAAAGGATGGACTGTTGGAGTAGCTGAGGGTGAAGCTGCCGGAACTCCTCAAAGTGGAACAGCAAAGCCAGCACCAGAGATGGACAAGAAAAACAAACTATCAACGAAAATTCGCAGAAATCAAAGTTAGATGCTAAAGCAGCGAAAAACCGTTCACGCCACGATAGAAACAGAGTTGATGATGGAGTCTGAGAAACGAATCTTAGGGAGAGAAAGGACAGCAGTGAACATGGTCAGGTGCTGAGGATTCTGGTCCACTGGACCCCACCATCCCTAGGATAGTAAATACCATCCCAGTCATCACCCAGCAAGTTACCACCACAGCATTTCCTGTGTGTTTCAAAAAAATAAATAAAGGTGATTCTTAACATAAGTGCAAATAAAAAGTCATTCATCATAATCTAAACTGTCATAGTTTAGTTTACATTTTAACGTTCTTTATCGTGCTAAAACCTTTGGTTTTTTAAATTTAATTTAATTTGGGATGGAGTTGTTGCCCTACTGCCCTGGCTGGACTGCAGTGACGCGATCTCGGCTCACTGCAACCTCGCCTCTCGGGTTCAAGCGATTCTCCTGCCTCAGCCTTCCGAGTAGGTGGGATTACTGGTGCCTGCCACCACTCCCAGCTAATTTTTGTACTTTTAGTAGACACAGGGTTTCATCATGTTGGCCAGGCTGGTCTCAAACTACTGACCTCAAGTGATCCGCCTGCCTCGGCCTTCCAAAGTGTTGGGCTTACAGGCATGAGCCACCATGGCCAGACAAACATTGTTTTTTAAAGTGGCAGCCACAATTTTTGTCTGTCTGGATATATTTTGGACTTTTGTATATTAAATATAACGTAAAATAGAAACTTTATTATGTTTTAGGTAATCTAACATTGATGTACACAAACAAACTTTACAGATTACTGTAGGATTCAGTAAACGATGTATACGACATTTATGTCTCTAGTTTTTGATGTATTAATTTTATTTTAGAAAAGATTGGCTTCTTTAAAAATGTCTCCAAAAATGTAGGCTTATTTTATAAAATGCCAAAATAGTCAAAAAATGTAAAATACCATTTTGCATTTTACAAAAAGTAAAATACTATTTTGCCGTTTTATACAATAAGCCTGAATTTGCCATACTGTATGAATACTGGTACTCAATTAAAACACCAAATATTTTAATCAAAATTATTTAAACTATGTTTATATAATATCTCAATTTTTAACTACAGCGATAGACATAAACAAATATTTCATAAATCAAACCTATTAGTATTAGGTTTATTTAGAAGTAATATATAAAAAAGATCTGTTCAAAATGAATATTTTTCATAATAATTTGGTGTTTTCAAATATGCCGAAGTCTTATTTTGATCAGAGTAAGCCTGGGGATAGTTGACTTATTTCATTTTTTTTGGATAGTGTGTTCCAAATTTTCTAGTTTAACTTAATATCGACTGATGATGGGTAAACATTTTTTTAAATATTATAGGCCTATTATATTGTCAATGTTTTTAATTTAAAAATTCTGTCTTTTAATATTGTTTCAGGGATTTAGGTCTAGTTGAATCCGCACAACCTGTTAATCATTGTCACCTGCCAGATTACAATTCACTGTCAGTGTGCCTGTATGACTCTTCTTTCCATATTCTTTGAATTTGTATTACTTATTTGAAAGTTATATAATACAGCTCATACATTTCAAATCAAATCACCAGGTAAAATGAATTCGGGCTTAGTGTAAAGGAGCTGTTAGAATCTTAGTGTTACATATATAGATGGATGTGGCTCAACGATTTAAACAAAAATATTGAACTATAACATGTGTTGCCATGAGTCAGCCTCTAATGAGTTTATAGATAAATCCAGATTTCACCACATTTATCCAGTGTGTTCAATACCTCTAAAGGTGGTATATCAACAATTCTTATGCTACTGTCTGAGAAAACAGATTCTGCTGTTACCTAAGAAATCAGCTGGGAGGCATTTTTATAATCTTGCACCACATAAGGAAAAACTGAAAGGTAGTACTAATAAATGCAAACTACATCACCTGGAAAATGGGAATCCAGAATGTCACTTTAAATATTTAAGTGTTGTAACTTTGGGTAAAAAATAAATATGATAAAATAAATCTTTTGGTAAGCTTTGTGTAGCTTAACATCAGCATAAAGTAGAAAAAAAATCTTAAAAACAATAGCCTACACTAAAAAACAAAACAAAACTAACATCCAATTCATATATATTGATCTTTGCATTGGGAGAGTCTAAAGCAGAACATTTGATGGACTTGATACAGTTATTTTTACCATATGGGCATACTGATAAAATCATCTATATTTAATTTGAATAAAACATGTTGGCAGGGCACGGTGGCTCACGCCTATAATATCAGCACTTTGGGAGACCGAGGTGGGCGGATCACCTGAGGTCAGGAGTTCAAGAACAGCCTGGCTAACATGGTGAAAACCTGTCTCTACTAAAAAAAAAAAAAATACAAAAATTAGCCAGGCATGGTGGTGCGCGCCTGTAATCCCAGCTAGTCTACTCGGGAGACTGAGGCAGGAGAATCGCTGGAACCCAGGAGGCAAAGGCTGCAGTGAGCCGAGATCATGCCAATGCACTCCAGCGTGGGCGACAGAGCAAGACTCCGCCTCAAAAAAACAAAAACAACATGTCTGCATCTTAAAAATTCTACTTTGTACTATGAGTAATAAATGTCAAGTCTTTATCCTCAAGAGGATCCTGATTCTCAACCCAACATATATAGCAACCCATTCCCTGGTTTCTCCAAACTGAGGCCTCATTAAGGCTCAAATATGGAGTGAGAGAAACACAACAACAGAGCACGTGAAATAAGGATGAGGTAGGATGGTCAGCTCTAAGGCTCAGGAATTGCCTGGGGCATCCCAGTATAATGATGCCAACTGTGAAGTTTACTATGTAAAAATAAACATAAAATGAACATTGGTGAAAGTCTCTGGAATTATAAACAGTTGTGCCAAAAGGACTGAGCCAGAATGACCTGTATTTAAGAAGTAAGGCAAATGTTTACTAGCACATAAATATTTGTTCCAAAGTTTATTACAGTAGCAATATTCTTTTCAGTAATGTCAGCTTTCTCAAGCTAAGGATGCCACAGACAAACTAAGTGCCTAATATATTGTAGGCAATTAGTTTCTAAATTCAACAAACTTGCAATAATTTTATAAATTTCACTGAACTCTGTTGCATGTATATATCTCACTGAAAGGCACTATCCGGTAGCTGTGTCCTTCACTTTTTTCTGGGATTTTCTGTTGCTGGATTCCAAACCAACTTTATTTGAATCCTAGTAATTTCTAAAATTCCAGATTTAATAACAGAAAGAAAGCAGAAATTAAGCCCAGAAATTAGGTTACCCCAAACAGTCCATATCAAATATATTTGATTCCCCAAAAGAAACAAATATTACACAAAGTAAACAACAGTGGGTTTAAAATTCAACCTAAATTCAAAGGTAGCAGTTAACACCATATGCAAAAATTAGCAAAGTCACAATGTAGAAACTCTTAGTCTGTTATTCCAGAAAAAATAATAACATTTTTATTTTGGCATTTTTTGGAAAGAATAAATACATTAAATATAACAAAATACACCCACTAAACTATAATAAAGGATCTTTGAAATATAAATGATTTTGTTCTTATTTTTAAATATTTACTGTACTATATTCAGACAAGGCTTTCAGTGAAAAATACTTACAGCTACCATGTATGAATTAAAACAGCCCTGGGGGAAATAGTATTTTTTATTAATAATGAAGATTGAAGCTCCAAGTGATAGAGCAGGAGCACCATCAACTCAGACAAACACTGCCACTTTAAGTTCTAGCTCCCTTTCTAGCCTCATGCATTTCAAGGAAATCACTTCTCTTCTAATTACAAGCATCCAGAAAGAGCAGACAGTAAAATACAGGTAAGACAGCTCAGGTGGGCACGGTGGCTGACGCCTGTAATCCCAACATTTTGGGAGGCCGAAGCGGGCAGATCACGAGGTCAGGAGTTCGAGACCAGCCTGGCCATCATAGCGAAACCCCATCTCTACCAAAAACACAAAAAATTAACCGGGTGTGGTGTGCGCGCCTGCTCGGGAGGCTGAGGCAGGGGAATTGCTTGAACCAAGGAGGTGGAGGTTGCAGTGAGCGGAGACCACGCCATTGCACTCCGGCCTGGGTGACACAGCGAGACTCCGTCTCAAAAAAACAAAACAAACAAAAAACAGCCAGCTCGGGCACAGAGGGAGGTGGAAGGAAAGTCTCTTGAGTAACTGCCAATCTTCACCCTCATACAATGGGCCCCAGTAAAACAGTGGGCCTTAATAGGCACATTCTTTTCCCTTCGGGTGCACTAAGATTGGGAAGCTAAAAGCAGACTGGGGGGCTGTGCCTGCAGCTGCAGAAAGATGTATGGGAACAGACACACAACTCTCCCTCCCAGATAAGCACAACGAAGAGACACAGAAGCAGTCCAAGCCTCCGATAAACTCTCCCACCCTGAATCCTTAAAAATTTTTAGTCTGTAAAAGAGTGTGGCTCTGACCTAACTCGGCCAGCTGCCCCCCTAGGTTTATTCAAAATAAACCTGTCCCTGTTGACTGTCAAGCCACCCTTCGTGTTTCTCTTCTCTTTAATTCTTATACCAAGGATGTAAAATAATTTCCCCTGGGAACACAGCTAATGACCCAAATGAAGCTCAAATGAAGGCATTTAACATTCATAATTTATATTTTAAAAGTAAAATACTCCTGGATATAAAAAAAGGAAAAAAGATATAAAAACAAATGAGAGAAAAGGAAGGAAATGGATTACTCACAATATCTAAGGTATGGAAGCAACCTAAGTGTCCATCAACAGGTTAATAAATAAAGAAAATGTGATATATTTGCACAATGGAATGCTACTCAGCCCTATGGGGAAAAAAAAGGAACTCTTGTTATTTGCAACAACATTGATGAACCTGGAGGACATGATGCTAAATAAGACGGCACAGAAAAAAACTTTCATAATATCATTTCTATGTAGAGTATAAAAAGGTTTAAACTCATAGAAGCATAGGGTAGAATGATGATTGTCTGGGGCTGGGAGTGGAGGAGATGTTGGTCAGAAGTAATGGGGCTGATTTTGTGAAGAGACGAAGACTGAGCGGTTGTGGCCACGTTGCCGACCTCGAGCAGCAGTTGGCTTCTCCACGTAGAACCTGGGAGTAGGAGACTCAGAATCGAATCTCTTCTCCCTCCTTCCTCCTGTTTTTGGCTTTGTGGGAACCTTATCAAACACAATGGCCAGCAATGTTACCAACAGAACAGATCCTCGCTCCATGAACTCCCATGTGTTCACTGGAAATCTCAACACTCTTGTGGTCAAGAAGTGTGATGTGGAGGCAATCTTTTCGATGTGCAGCAAAATTGTGGGTTGCTCAGTTCATAAGGGCTTTGCCTTTGTTCAACAGGTGAATGAGAGAAATGCCCCGGCTGCTGTAGAAGAGAGAAGGGCAGAATAATTGCTGGCCAGGTTTTAGATATTAACCTGGCTGCAGAGCCAAAAGTGAACGGAGGAAAAGCAGGTGTGAAATGATCTGCAGCGATGTATGGGTCAGTAACAGAACACCCTTCTCCATCGCCTCTATTCAGCTCCTCTCTTGACTTGGACTATGACTTTCAACGGGATTATTGTGAAAGGATGTACAGTTGCCCAGCACATTTTCCTCCTCCTCCTCCTATTGCTTAGGCTGTAGTGCCCTCGAAACGTCAGCATGTTTCAGAAAACACCTCATGAAGGGGCAAAAGTGGCTTCAATTCTAAGAGTGGACAGCAGGGATCTTCCAAGTCTGGAAAGTTGAAAGGAGATGACCTTTAGGCCATTAAGAAGGAACTGACCCAGATAAAACAAAAGGTGGATTCACCCCTGGAAAACCTGGAAAAATTTAAAAGGAACAGAGCAAACAAGCAGTAGAGATGAAGAACGGTAAGTGAGAAGAGGAACAGAGCAGGAGCTCAGTGAAGAAAAATGAGATTAATGTGAAGTCTGAGGGGGGCGCAGATGACTCTGCTGAGGAGGGGGATCTACTGGATGATGATGATAATGAAGGTGGGGGATGGCCAGCTGGAGTTGACCAAGGATGAAAAAGAGGCTGAGGAAGGAGAGGATGACAGAGACAGCGCCAATGGCAAAAATGACTCTTAAGCACATAGTGGGGGTTAGAAATCTTATCCCAATATTTGTTTACCTAGGTGCTTCTCTAAGATCAAATTTTTTACCAGATCTTCTTCTCTAGTATCTTCAGCACATGCTCATTGTCCTTGTCTTTCCCATGTTAATTCATATTGCCCTGCACCTAGGTCCCATTTCACCTCCTTTGACACTCCTAGTAGTTTTGTTAAGTCTTACCCTGTAGTTTTTGCTTTTAATTTTGAAACCTCTTTATGACTTAACAATAAAAAGGACGTATTTCTTTTTTTTTTTTTTTTTTTTTTCCTGAGATGGAGTCTTGCTCTGTTGCCCAGGCTGGAGTGCAGTGGTGCAATCTTGCTTCACTGCAACCTCCACTTCCTGGATTAAGTAATTCTCCTGCCTCAGCCTCCGGAGTAGCTAGGATTGCAGGCGCGTGCTACCAAGCCCGGGTAATTTTATTTATTTTTGTATTTTAAGTAGAGACGGTGTTTCACCATGTTGGCCAGGCTGGTCTTGAACTTCTGACCTCGTGATCCACCCGCCTCGGCCTCTCAAAGTGCTTGGATTACAGGCATGAGCCACCTTGCCCGGCCGGATTTACGGTTTTTATCAACTGTCTCCAAAATTATCTCATTATGCAGAAAGTAGTTTTTTTCATTCATACAGTTTCAGTAGTCGCCTCCCTAACTGCAAAAGCAATCTCATTTAGTTGCATAGCTCCTAAAAGCAGCTGAGTTAGAAGTATGTGTGTTACACCCCCACATAGGTGTGATTTGTGGGGCAGTTCAACACAAATATAACAATGTATTTTTGTGAATGAGTTGCCATGTTAAATGCATCCTCTAGAAAAATAGTGTTATAGTGTTACGATTTGCTTTTTAAGGTTGATACTGTGGGTTATTTTGTTAACAGCCTGATGTTTGGGACCTATTTTTCTCAAAATAAACAAGTCTTTATTAAACCAGAAATTTGGGGGAAAAAAACAGTGTCTTCCCTACATTTCCTACCTTAACACGTAAGTTATTCTCCTCTCAGTTTTGATTCACCAGAGGATTGAATCATATATCCTGAAGAATCAAAACCGAATAATATATCTGTTAAGGCAATGCAGGTTGTACACTAAAATTTCACATGCTTAGAATAATATATTTTTTGCTCACATCCCCATCGTCTGTGAACTTTTTTTTTTTGAGATGGAGTCTCGCTCTGTCTCCCAGGCTGGAGTGCAGTGGCACTAGGTCTAGTTGAATCTGCTCAACCTGTTAATCAGTGTCAGGTGCCAGATTCCAATTCACTATCAGTGTGCCTGTATGACTCTTCTTTCCATAGTCATTGAATTAAATTATTACTTATTTGAATGTTATATAATACAGCTCATACATTTCAAATGAAACCACCAGGTAAAATGAGTTGTGGCTTAGTATAAAGAAGCTGTTAGCAACTTAGTATTATATATAGATGGATGCGGCTCAACAAGAATTTAGACAAAAATAATGAACTATAATGTGTTGCCATGACTTAGTCTCTAATGAGCTTATAAATAAATCCATATTTCAGCACACATATAGTTTTGTTCAGTACCTCTAAAGGTGGTAAATCAAGAATTCTTATGCTACAGAGAAAACAGATTCTGCTATTACCTAAGAAATCAACTGGAAGGCTTTTTTTTTTTTTTTTTTTTTTTTGAGGAGTTTCACCTGTCATCCAGGCTGGAGTGCAACAGCACGATTTCGGCTCACTGTAACCTCTGCCTCCTGGGTTCAAGCGATTCTCCTGCCTCAGCCTCCTGAGTAGCTGAGATTATAGGCACACGCTACCACACCCAGCTAATTTTTGTATTTTTAGGAGAGATGGGGTTTCACCATGTTGGTCAGGCTGGTCTCGAACTCCTGACCTCAGGCGATCCGCCCACCTTGCCTCGCAAAGTGCTGGGATTACAGGCGTGAGCCACTGCACCTGGCCATCTGTGAGTCTTTTGTCTGCTTAAGAAGACTTAATCTTTCAGGGATTGTATCTTCTTTCATTTTCTATCTGCATCCTCCTTTTTCTTTAGCCAATGGATGAAAACAAGATGCAGAGAAGACATATTTGCGTCTTATCCACACATCACTTCCACTCACTACTAGTCAATGTGGGTAGAGCTGAGAATAGCAGTTTCCTGGCAGGACAGCCACTTCCTAGCAATAAAAACACACTAAAAAAATCATAAATCTTCTTTAAAAAGCTAACATATTTTAAACAAAATAAGTATATGCATCAATAATAAAGTGCTTGTGGTAAAATATTACTTTTATTTCTATTGAGCTCGGGTAATATTTGGCCAAAAGATAGCAAATATACAGCAGAAAAATATTATTTTAAATAAGAATATTGTGAAGTTATTCTGTCAATAGAATACTATTATGACCTCATACTAATAGTCTCATCTATAGTTATGCAATACCAAATGCTTTTTATTAAAAGTTGCATTTTAAATAATTATTCCATTTATATTACCCTCTTTCACTATTTCAATGCCTTCTTCCGTTTATATCAGTGGAAAACAGGCTAGCTGGTGCCAGGAAAGAACGTGCTGCTATCGCTGTTTAACGATGATGATGAAGAGCACTTGTTTGGGTGGTATTCACGTGCCAAACACTGTTATTTGGCTTAAAGTACTGGTTTTCTATTTTTCCCTAAATTTATTGATAATATACAATTTTTTAGCTAAGAAGATTTTATCTCATTCATATGTTTTATGGAATTTGGTTTACGTTTAACTGTTTCTGATTTATCTGGAATGTGAAAATTTTCCATGAATCCAAATTACTATAAACAATCTTTTACTAAAAGCCTTTGTGAGGCAGAGTAGGATTCATACTTTTTATAATATGGAAGAAATGTATTAACCATGTTCACAGTAATGACTCTGAATACAGCATTCTCAGTGCCCAGTATTCACCCTGAGTCACTCAGAAAAAACTGGTATCTCTGCAAAGACACAGAAAAAGGTGCCAAGAGGAAGTGCACCACATTGCACATAAATGCTTTCCACATGCACCTATTAGGGTCTTAATTTAATCGGCTGTTATTTGCATGTCCAGATGCTTCCTGAATCTAGTCATACAAGTTTTTGGCAGCTAATGGCATCTTTTACCCATTAGTTTTATATGATGATTTGTGTGGCTGGGAAATAAATTTTTTGTCAATTTACTCTAAATTGAGAGACTAGATTTGCAATCTTCAATCTTTCAGTGTTAAGGCAAATCAGATAAGAGCAATGTGTTATGTAGCATGCATTTTTCTGCCTATCAAAATTCTTGTATTGCCTTGGAAACCCGAGGGAGCCATCTAAATAATACTCCCTTTGAAAATCCTTTAGCCAGAATTTTAGATTTTAAAAGGTCAAGAACATAATGATCGAGCAAAGCCAAAATCATGTCTTTGCTCCGTGTTAGTAATCAGGCCATTTCAAAAAGCATGGCAATTATGCCAAGCCATTGAAAAAATGTGGTTTTGATTAATTTTATTCTACTTCAAATGTTTCATCTAATTGTTACTTTTATCATGTTAAACTAAGAAAAACTACATATATAACTCCATGCATTCTAGACATAATCATACTGTTTAAAGCTCAATATTGTATTACAGTATAGTAAAACCCTCTGTAATTAGATGTCAATTATTAATAAATTTATTATGTCTTCAAGGTATTTCAATTGTAAAAACTATTTAAATAATTAGGTATGCTTTTTCATAATAAGTTCAATTCTAGGAGGGTACACACTAGTCTCCATGGTATTTTTGTAATGAGTAGTGTAAAACTGGGCTACCAGAATGGTGCAGACATGCTGATTTAATTATAGTAAGAATGAGATCCCTTGTTGGTAGGCTATTGATGTTCCAGAGGCTGATCATTCACTACGGCTTTCTAAATGTCATTCCATAGTGCCAGTGAGCCCTTTCATCCAGGTTGTTTCTTCCTCCCATTGACGTAATCAGTGTTGTCTCCTCTGTTTATCTTAGGCTATCTCAGATGAGAGGTGATTTTTTTTCTTTTTGCATAAATTAGACTCCTTTTTTTTTTTCCTCTGCCATGAGATCCTTCTGTCCTCTCTACTGGAAGCACCATGTGGGAGGCAGGAATGATGACAATATACAAATATATTTCCTGCCACGTGGCCACCATAAGCAGCTTACAGCATGGCCCACCTAGAAATCACTTACTTCCAGGCCAGCTGAAGTGTTTTTGTGTCCCTTTCTCTTAAAAGCACCTCTGATTCAGTTTAGCCCAATCAGGATAATCTCCCTTTTGATGGCCACAAAGGCAACACATTAGTGACCTAATTTTATGAGTAATTTCACACCACAGTTACAGTTTTTTTACACTCAAGAGGAAAGGATTACACAGCAGGTGTGAAACAGGCTTGGAATCTTGAGGATCATGTTAGAATTTTGCCCACCCACCTGAATAGACTTTTAAAATAGTCTTTTAGATTTTTTTTTTTTTTTTTTTTTGAGACGGAGTCTTGCTGTGTTGCCCAGGCTTGAGTGCAGGGGCGCCGGCGCCATCTCGGCTACTGCAAGCTCCGCCTCCCGGGTTCACGCCATTCTCCTGCCTCGACCTCCCCAGTAGCTGGGACTACAGGTGCCCAGCTATTTTTCGTATTTTTAGTAGAGACGGGGTTTCACCGTGTTAGCCAGGATGGTCTCGATCTCCTGACCTTGTGATCCACCTGCCTCGGCCTCCCAAAGTGCTGGGATTACAGGCGTGAGCCACCACACCCAGCCTAGTCTTTTAGTTTCTTTTGTTATCTAAGTAAACAAAGATAATACCTGCAAATAATAATTAATTACTTTCCAATTTTATTCACAACAAATATTAACTAATTTTTTTTCTGGCTTAAATTATTTCTCTTTAATATACCATTTTATACATTCATGCACAGATATAACAATGCAAATGTATCCAATTATTCAATTTCTAAAAATTTTTTATTTAAAATGAGTTTAAAATAATTATTTTCTGTTTGAAGTTTTTTATTGTTGTACTCAAGAGTGTTACCTCTGTGCAGACAAAGTTGCCTGTGGTTTAATATTGGCTCTGCTATTGTGAGCAAGTCATTTCTCTCAGTAGCTCTGTTTCTTCCTCTGGTAAAATGAGGGTAATAATGATACCTATGTTATTAAGTTACTGTGAGAATTAAATTTATTAACACATATATAGTGTTATGGTCAGTACTCAGTAGAAATTAGGTAATTTTAATAAGATAATTATATGCTGAATTACTTTAATACATGCTTTAACACAGAAATATTTTTCCCTAAGACATGACTTTTTCAACCAATAGACAAATACATATTTATATTAATTCTTTTAAAAATGTGGTATAAACAATGAAATACTATTCAGCGTCAAGAAAGGGTAAATCCCATTATTTGAAACAAGATAAATTTAGAAGACACTATGCTAGATGAAATAAGCCAGACACAGAAAAACAAATAGTGCATAATCTCGTGTATATGTAGAATTTAATAAAGTTTAACTCAAAAAAGTAGAAAGTGGAGTAATGGTTACCAGAGACTGGGGGTGGTTGGAAGGAAATAGAGAGTTGTTCATCAAAGGGTACAAAGTTTCAAATAGGGTAAATAGGTTTTGAGATCTATTGCACAGCAGGGACTATAGTAAACAATAATATATTGTGTATAGTAAACAACAATATACTGTGTATTTCAAAATAACAGAGTAAATTTCAAATGTCTCACCACAAAGGATAGGTAAGTGAGTTGATATACATATGTTATTCAACTCAATTATTCTATTTTTTTTTTTGAGACGGAGTTTCGCTCTTGTCACCCAGGCTGGAGTGCAATGGCTCACCGCAACCTCTGTCTCCCGGGTTCACGTGATTCTCCTGCCTCAGCCTCCCGAGTAGCTGGGATTACAGGTGTGAGCCATCCATATTATATAGGTATATTAAAATATCACATTGTACCCCATAAATGTATACAACTCTGATTTGCCATTTAAAAATACTATTAATACTTTTCTTAGAAAAAAGAGAGAAATAAACTTTAAGAATTGGGCCAGAGAAAAAAGTGTTTTTTTCATCTTAAAATTCCAGGAAACACACACACACACACACACACACACACACACACACACACACACACACACACACATTTTTTTATTTCGACTGGTTTGCTCATTTAGTGATGTAGGTTAGTAAACTTTTAATGTTATGAATAGTATGAACCCAACACTCAAGAATAAATTTTCTTGATTTTTAATGTTCAAAATAATAAAATACTTTAAAAGGCTCTAAAGCTACTGTTTTGAGTAAAATTCTCTCTAAATGTCTAAGTAAATTATTTCCTTCACTTGTTAGAGAAACAAGTTATTTGAATATATATATATTTTAAAATGTATATATATATATATATATACATAATTTTTTTTTTTTTTGAGACAGAGTCTTGCTCTGTTGCCCAGGCTGGAGTGCAGTCGTGCAATCTCAGCTCACTGCAAACTCTGCCTCCTGGGTTCAAGCATGAATATGTATTTTTAAACTACATTTAAATTTACTGGAGTGCTAAAGAACAGTACTCAATGAGAAATGTTACCATAATATTTATATTTATGCTGTATGTGAATCTGCCAAGGATAGTATTAAAAACATTTAACTACTATTATAGCCCCAGATTGACTGATTAGAATTAACATGGGTTACGAACTACTGATGTGGCCAGCTTGTTTTCAGGCTTAACACTAATCATGATCTAACAGAATAAAAAATGAGAGCTAATAAATTTCCTGTACACTCGCTACGTGACTAAAAATGAAACAGACGGGAATTACTAATCAGTCACTTACAACGTGGTTTAACTTTAACCCTTTACTTTCATTTTTAGGACTTCTTGTCTATTCCAATCTAGCTACTTTTCACAGGGGACCTAAGCCATCACATGGAATTAAAAGGGGGTCCTAGGGCAACTAAAATTTTCTGGCTTGGGCTATACCTCAGTGTTATCTAAAGGCCTTTGGACTAACTCTAGTCCCCACTATTGCATTTTCCTTTTCTATGGTGGCTATTATGCCTCCTATCCCTTCTTTGTATACAATGTCGTGGATGTTTCTGCAACCTAAAGATATAATCTTGTTGGGTAGAGTTAGTCAGTGTCTTAGGAATGTAACTTTAAAAAATTGCCATTTTTGTGATTCCTTGAGATAGGGGGACTTTGGGATTTCAGTCTAAATTTTCTAGTAAGGGCGTTTTGTCCCCAGTAATAGACATTTATGGCACTGTATAGGGGAAGGTCACCTCATGTAAATACCCTCCCCCTCTCCATTTGTTTCTTCCCTCCATGTAAAAGTTCAGCATTGTCCAATGAGTTTGAACAGTTGATTTTCTTATGCTGGGGGGCATACTATAATAATAGCCTATCCAACCCCAAACCTAACTTTTGCCTAAAAAGAATTTGGAGTCAGAGTTTTTACCTAACACTTCTAATCCTGCAGTGCCACATAATGGAATAGAATTTTTCTCCATGGGGAGCCTTGTCAGCCCTTTGCCCAAAACCTCTCATCTTCCATTGTTTTCCCTTTTATGTCTATCAGTAATCAGGCCCCACATCCTATGTGTAAACAGAAAAACTCCACTTTCAACAGCCAGGAGGAAGCCATCCTAATAAGACAAATCTTAGCTTCAATACTGTCCCCAACAAAGAAAGGCAGCCATTCAATTTTTACACTTTTAAGGCATCTGTTCTGCATTCAATTACATTGGCATTCAAACGAGACAGAAATTTTATGTATAAAAGTTAATCAGTCTTACTTTGTGCTTTTTTAATTCTTCACTGGGGCCATAGCAAGGAAAGCCAAAAATAGTATTAAAACATTCCCTTCATTAAAAAATCTTGCCCAAATCCAACTACTACATACTTTCTTCCAACATCTGGGGTACCCTGGGAGCCTTTTGGGCTGAGTGGGTCTAGAAATCCAGCAGGGCAAAAGGCTAGAATTTTAAGCAGGTAAGTGTAACTAAATCCTGCCGACTAGCTTCTCCAGGAACATGGGTAAAGGTCACGCTTGTATCCATGTTGCAGCACCTATCATGGTAGCCTGAACCCAAAGGAGAGAGAGAAGGAGGAGAAAGAGGATGCCCCTTCTCTCTTGCTCTCCACCCTGGGTCACACAAAAGGGAGAAAAGGAACTAAGGAAAGCTTTGTTTCTCCCTCTTGTTCTAGATGAGCAACAGACCATCTGCAGTCTATACTCCCCTCAAGTGTATTCTAAATTACTAAAGCTCCTTTAACCGTAAAACTCTAAAAAAAAAAAAAAAAAAAGACTTATATTCTCTTGCATAAGGGCACAGCCATCTTACAAATTGGAGACCTAGCCAGTCAAAAAACAACAATAACAAAAAAGCCCCAAGGAAAAAAGGGTAGAACAAGATCCCCATTCCCAATTAAAATAAAACAATGCCCCTTAAAAACCTAATTAAAGTCTTGGTGATCCCATAAATACGTAATAAAAAAAAAAAAAACTTTCTAATATGCATTTTAAAAAGCTTGCAAAAAACCAAAACCAAACCTCGTAGTAACTCTAAACTGTCCTTGCTAAATCAAAAACCAAATAACGCACCCCCACCCCGCCACCTTTTTAAATAGCCTAAAAAAAGCTTTAGTAAAAACACCTACCTGTATCCCAACTCAATAAAAAAAACAGGTTTATTATTCAGGCAGCCCTTAATATTAAAAAAAAATTAGTTGCAAAAACAGGCTGTTTCCAAAAATCTAATTTTGCTCAGCCTCAATTTAAAACTTTGCAGTATGTAAATAACACTTTCCTCTGTGCCCCAACTGAGGGGGTCTTTCAAAAAGGCACTAAGGTTCTTTTTAATTTTCTAGCAGGTAAAAAATATAAAATATCGGCCGGGCGCGGTGGTTCACGCCTGTAATCCCAGCACTTTGGGAGGCCAAGGCGGGCGGATCACGAGGTCAGGAGATCGAGACCATCCCGGCTAAAATGGTGAAACCCCGTCTCTACTAAAAATACAAAAAATTAGCCGGGCGTAGTGGCGGGCGCCTGTAGTCCCAGCTACTCGGGAGGCTGAGGCAGGAGAATGGCGTGAACCCGGGAGGCGGAGCTTGCAGTGAGCCGAGATCCCGCCACTGCACTCCAGCCTGGGCGACAGAGCGAGACTCCGTCTCAAAAAAAAAAAATAAAAAATAAAAAATAAAAATAAAAATAAAAATAAAACTCACTTCCTAACTTAAAAACCTAAAACACAGGCCAGGCACGGTGGCTCATGCCTGTAATCCCAGCACTTTGGGAGGCCAAGGCGGGTGGATCACGAGGTCAGGAGTTCGAGACCAGCCTGGTCAACGCAGTGAAACCCCATCTCTACTAAAAATACAAAAATTACCTAGGCACTGTGGCAGGTGCCTGTAATCCCAGCTACTTGGGAGGCTAAGGCAGGAGAATTGCTGAAACGCAGGAGGCAGAGGTTGCAGTGAGCCAAGATTGGGCCACTGCACTCTAGCCTGGGTGACAGAGCAAGACACCGTCTCAAAAAAATAAAATAAAATAAAACCTAAAACACAAAAACTTTTAACCAGCTAAAGCACAGTCTCTATGGGAAGACTGAGGGCTGATGCCCTCAGGTATTTAATTTCTATGTATCAAAAGAAAAAAGAAAATAGCCCTAAAAGTTTTGGCTAAGGCTCAAGCTCTGACTCAACAGCAAGTGGGCTAACCATGGAAAATAACTTAACTGTTTACACCTCACACAGTACTGCAAAACTGTTGTCCTCTAAAAAATAGTCTCTGGCCATCACCGCCTCAAATATCAAGCTTTGCTGCTAAAAAAAATCTTCAGTAAAACAAACAAACAAACAAAAAAAAACCTTGCCCTTGCCCAAACCCAGACACTTTCTTTAAAAAAAACCCTCTAAAAAAACCTAAACATAATTGTAAACAGGTAGTGGTGCAAACTAGGAAAAAAATGGTAAAATTACTGTTTATATTCTCTGTGAAGTTTTAATTAATAAAAAAAAAAATTCTTAAAAAGCATTATTGGCTAGGCACAGCAGCTCATGCCTGTAATCCCAGCACTTTGGGAGGCCAAGGCAGGCAGATCACCTGAGGTCAGTAGTTTGAGACCAGCCTGGCCAACATGGTGAAACCCCGTCTCTACTAAAAATACAAAAATTAGCCGGGCATGGTGGTGGGCACCTGTAATCCCAGCTACTCGGGAGGCTGAGGCAGGAGAATCACTTGACCCTGGGAGGCGGAGGTTGCAGTGAGCCAAGATCGTGCCATTGCACTTCAGCCCAGAAGACAAGAGCAAGACTTGGTCTCCAAAAAAAAAAAAGCACTATTAAAAATAAATATCCAAGCCATAAATATATTTTAAAAGGTTTCATGTTTTTCTCTTCATAAATCTTTTCTAAAAAAAGTTTCTTAAGGGGCTGGGCACAGTGGCTCATGCCTGTAATCCCAGCACTTTGGGAGGTCAAGGCAGGTGGATCACAAGGTCAAGAGATCGAGATCATCCTGGCCAAGATGGTGAAACCCCTTCTCTACTAAAAAAAAAATACAAAAATTAGCTGGGCTTGGTGGCGTGCGCCTGTAGTCCCAGCTACTCAGGAGGCTGAGGCAGGAAAATCGTTTGAACCCGGGAGGCAGAGGTTGCAGTGAGCCAAGATCGCACCATTGCACTCCAGCCTGGGCAACAAGAGCAAAACTCCGTCTCCAGCAAAAAAAAAAAAAAAAAAAAAAAATTTCTTCTCAGTCAACTAAATGACTTTTCTCCACTGTGCCTTGCCATTCTTGGTCCATTCATAAAAGGTCCTAAAATAATTTCTGGTGGCCCAAAACTTCTTAAAAACAAGAACACCACAAATCTCATTTAAAAAAAATTTTTCTCATAAAATCCCTAAAAACTGTATTCCTAGCCCTGTAAATAAAAACTGTATTTCTAGCCTTGTTCCTAAAGGGCTTTACCCAGAGGCCAATAATCCAGTTAAAAACTGGCAAGTAAAAAATCTTGTAACTACTAAATCTTTTTTTTTTCTGTGTGGTTATACATGTGTTGTGTGTGTAATGTCTATTTAAAAAAGCTCTAATTAAAAATAAGTGCTTAAATCAATTTTTTTAAAATGAAGGCTGTGGTACCTTTCAGTTTATGTAACTTTAATCTTTAAAAAATAAAATCAGCCTTAAAACTTATTAATAAAGTATAAATGTCTTCAAAATGTAAATAGGTAATCAAAATTATTCTGGCCAAATATTAAATTTGCTAAATGTTTTAAGGTTGTAAACTGCTCCTTTGGCCTTTAAAAACTGTTCTATTTGCCTGCTTCACAATGAGTAAGGCCAAAAAGCGTATGTGCCCCTAACTATGCTAAAAAAAGTCAAAATTCATCTGCACCTAGAACATAACTAAAACAATTTACCAGGTTTTACATTCAAGTTAAAAATTGCTGAAAGTTATCATTATAACATATAATTAAAACTACTAAAAAAAATTTACATGCAAGGTATGCAAAAGCAGTAAAATGTGTTTTTAGTAAAATCTTTTTTAAAAGTACGTTTTGCCTAAAAATAAAAAAAGTCTTAAAGCAAAAGCTTTAAGCAAATTGTAAAAAAAAAAGAATTGTAAAAATTAATCTTGCAAAAAAATTCTGTATGTAAACATATCAACTAAAATTCAAAAGGATATTATATAGTTTTTCAAATTAAGCATTAAAATACAAACACAAGGTTTTATTAAAGCACTAATCAACTCTTAGCAAAATTTGTAAAGGGTTATAAAAGGTTTATAAAACTCTCACCTCATGGTCTAATTAGTTAAAATTGAAGAAAATTGTTTATAAGGTTTCATTAAAATTGGGGTTAACATTAACAGTATGCAAAAGTAAAATTTAGCTTTCTTTCTTTTAATTAAAAATTTTTTTTTTTTTAAGATAGATTCTCGCTCTGTCACCCAGGCTGGAGTGCAGTGGCGTGATCTCAGCTCACTGCAACCTCTGCCTCCTGGGTTCAAGCTATTCTCCTGCCTCAGCCTCCTGGGTAGCTGGGACTACAGGTGCTTGCCACCACACCCAGCTACTTTTTTTATTTTTAGTAGAGACGGGATTTCACCATGTTGGCTAGGATGGTCTTGATTTCCTGACCTCATGATCCACCCTCCTAGGCCTCCCAAAGTGCTGGGATTACAGGCGTGAGCCACCACACCTGGCCAATCAAAATTTTTATGTAATAATAAGAGCTAGTAAAAGGTTTTGCTTTTTCAAATTTTAAATCATCATTTTAGCAAAACAAATAACTTACGGTAATTTAAAATTTTATTTCAGAATATCAAGTGTTTTAAACCTCCAACATCTTCAACAAACTTCACAAGATCAAATTTCAGTTTCAAAGTTGTCTTTTCTAATGTCTAGCTCTTGAGTTCTGCAAGGGGCTCCTGGGGCATCCAAAACAGAGGTTAACAAAATTATTTAACAAGTTTAGGTATATAAAATTGCCAAATTAATATCTAATCTTCTTCAGGTTATATTTTAGTAAGTATCATTAACATATGTTCCAAAACCATATAAAATATCTAAGATTCTAATGTCTAAATGTGCACCATCAATCACAATTAAGGTTATGTTATTATAAGCCACAAAAATAACCACATTTCTTTGTCAATTGTGCTGCTAACTGTAACCACCCTAAACATTTTGTCATTTATAAACAATTGTTATTTTAATTTTCTTCAAAAAATGGTTTACAATTAGCTGTAAAACTTTAACAAATGTTCTCCAATGCAGGTTTCTCATAACAAAACAAAACTCATAAATAGCTCATAATAAAAAAATTCTATAATAATAAAACTCATAATAAAAACTCATATTTATAAATGTCAATAAAATAAACTCACCACTCATTAATAAAACTCATAATAAAAACTTATAATATTTATAAATATCAAGCAAAACAAAAGTTAACAAAATAAACTAAACTAATAAAAAACAAAAGCAATGTTTTTAACTTTTGCTTAAACCATTGCTAATCTTGGCTGGGTGTGGTGGCTCATGCCTATAATCCCAGCACTTTGGGAGGCCATGGCAGATGGATCACCTGAGGTCGGGAATTCAAGACCATCCTGACCAACATGGAGAAACCCAGTTTCTACTAAAAATACAAAATTAGCCGGGCGTGGTCGCGCATGCTTGTAATCCCAGCTACTTGGGAGGTTGAGGCAGGAGAATCGCTTGAACCCAGGAGGCGGAGGTTGCAGTGAGCCAAGATCGCGCCATTGCACTCCAGCCTGGGCAACAAGAGCAAAACTCTGTCACACACACACACACACACACACACACACACACAGACACACCCACACACAAATTGCTAATCTTTATTTTGCTTTTCAAAGTAAGTAAGAATTTCTTAAAACCTTTTAACAAGCAAGGTACACTCCTGTAAATAAAATTTAAAATGCATTTCTTTCTCTCAGCCTAGCTCCTCTAAAATCTAAAAACTAGTTAAATTATTCTTGACTTACAACAATATAGTTGTTTGCATCAGTGCAACACACACACATACACACACACATAAATGTGCACCTCTTCCAAAAACCCTTAAACTAGCACCCCCCCCTAAAAAATCCTAGCTACTGTTCCCTACACAATGCCCCTTTCAAGCAAAAAGCAGTCCAAAAAAATCCAATGCCTAATCTCTATAAAAATAGTTAGGGTTTCCACTCCTGAGTGGAGACTGAAAGAAGTTTGCTTGCCTTAGGTAAATAGCAACAGAAAGGTCTCTGAAAAGTCCCCAGCCCATGAGTCATTGCCTCCACCCCATATAATGTAAAATGCAGCCTGGAAAAAAAAATTCAAGCTGCAGGCACCAATAAAAAAACAGGCACAAAGTATTGTGCCTAAAAACATGCCCACAACTGCACAAATAAAAAAACCCTCCAGCCTATTTACATAAAAACTTGCACAAACCTCTAGCTCACTCAAATAAAAAACAAGGCCTGGTATAAAATGCCTTTATCCTTTATATAATCAGAGGGCTCCACAAAAAGTTTCTTCTCCTTTTGTGGGCATAAACACAGTGGGCTCCAGTGGGCACTCACCTTTATTTAAACTATACAGCGGCTCCTATAAATCATCATTTCAGACCCTAATTGGTCCCAGGCCAAGGTCCCAGGCCAAGCTTTCACTTCAGCTTCTAATAGGTCCTGGGCCAAGCTAAGCAGCATCTATATATCATCATTTCAGCTTCTAATTGGTCCTGGGCCAAGATCTCAGCCCAAGCTTTCTAATTAGTCCCAGGCCAAGCTAAGTCACAAGATCTCCAAAACAGCCCACAAACTAAGCACATTTCTTTTTATTCCTAGTCCATAATAACCCTGAACCCCAGCCTCACAGGGGGAACTCCTACTCAGAAACCCCTCTCTGCTAGCAAAAAGCTTTCTTCTTTTGCTTATTAAACTTTCACTCCAACCTCACTTTTGTGTTCGTACTTTTTAATTTTCATAAAAATAAAACAAAAAACTCTAAGTGTTATCTCAAACAAAAGAAAACCTGTTAAATCTTGTTGCATTGCTAAAACTACATAGAACTACTCTAGGAATATACCAGGAAAGGCAGGATAATTCACAGTCCCTTTAAAGGAAGCAAATAGCTCCTGTAGGACCTGGGAGACAGCCCAAATATTCTGAGTGCCCAAACTGTAAAAATGGAAAATGGGGCTTTATAAGCTCCCAAATTTATAAAACAATAACTATTAGACCTAAGAAATTAAATAGACAGAAACATAATAATAGTGGGGGACTTCAATACTCCACTGACAGTACTAGACAGGTCATCAAGATAGAAAGTCAATAAAGAAAAAACGGATTTAAACTACACCCTGGAACAAATGGGCTTAACAGCTGTTTACAGAACATTCTAGCCAAAAACCACAAACTATGCATTTTATTAATCAGGACGTGAAACTTTCTCCAAGACAGAACATATGATAGGCCAAAAAACAAGTCTCAATAAATTTAAGAAAATTGAAATGATATCAAGTACTTTCTCTGACCACAGTGGAATAAAATTGAAAGTTAACAACAAAAACCTTTAAAACCATTCAAATACATGGAAATTAAATAAACTGCTTCTGAATGATCATTGGGTCAGCAATAAAATCAAGACAAAAAATATTTAAAAATTTTAATGGAATGATATAGTGACAAAACCTATCAAAACCTCTGAGATACAGCAAAGGCCGTGCTAAGAGGAAAGTCCATAGCTTTAAATGTCTACATCAAAAAGTCTGAAAGAGCACAATATACTAAGGTCACACCTCAAGGAACTAGAGAAACAAGAACAAACCAAACCCAAACCCAGCAGAAGAAAGGAAACAACCTAGCTCAGTGCAGAACTAAATAAGATTAAAAAGAAAAAAAGACAAATGAAACATAAACCTGGTTTTTTAAAGGATAAATAACATTGATGGACCATTAGCAAGATTAAGAAAAAAAGAGAGAATATTCAATTAAGCTTAATTAGAAACAAAACAGGAAATATTACAACTGACATCACAGAAATACAAAAGATCATTCAAGGCTACTATGAACACCTTTACACACATAAACACAAAAATCTAGAGGAGATAAATTAATTCCTGCAAATGTACAACCCTCCTAGCTTAAATCGGGAAAAATCAGAAACCCTGAACAGACCAATAACAAGCAGTGAGATTAAAATCGTAATTTAAAAAATTAACAACAAAAGAAGTCCAAGACCAGACAGACTCACAGCAGAATTCTACCCAACATTAAAAGGAAAATTGGTACCAATCCTATTGACACTATTCCACACGACACGGTAAGAGGGAACCTCCATAATTCATTGTATGAAGCCAGCATCACCCTAATACCAAAACCAGAAAAGGACATAGCCAAAAAAGAAGACTACAGACTGACCTAATGAACACAGAGGCTAAAATCCTTTAAAAAAAAAAATCTAACTGAATCCAACAACATATCAAAAAGGTAATCCACTATGATCAAGTGGGTTTTGTATCAGGGATGCAGGGATGATTTAACATATACAAGTCAATAAATGTGATACACCAATAAACAGAATTATGAACAATGATCATCTCAATAAACACAGAAAAAGCATTTGACACAATCCGGCATTCCTTTATAATTAAAACCCTCAGCAAAATCTGCATACAAAGGACATATCTCAATGTAATAAAAGCCATCTATGTCAAACACACAGCCTACATAACACTGAACAGGGTAAAGTTGAAAGCATTCTCTCTGAAAACAGGAACAACACCAGGATGTGTACTTTCACCATTTTTATTTAACATAGCACTGAAGTCCTAGCCAGAGCACTCAAATAGGAGAAAGAAATAAAGGGCATCCAAAGAGGAATTTAAGCTGTCACTATTTGTTGATGATATGATTGTATACCTAAAGAACCATAAAGACTCCTCCAAAAATCTCCCAGAACTGACAAGTGAATTCAGCAAAATTTCTAGATACAAAATTTATGTACACAAATCAGTCACTCTGCTATACACCAACAGTGACTGGGTTGAGAATTAAATCAAGAATGCAACTTTTTTTTACAATAGCTGGAAAAAAAATACTTAAAAATATACCTAAACAATGACATGAAAGACCTCTACAAGGAAAACCACAAAACACTGCTAAAAGAAATCACGGACGACACAAACGAATGGAAACACATCCCATACTCATGGATTGGTAGAATCACTATTGTGAAAATGACTACATTGCCAAAAGCAATCTAGAAATACAATGTAGCTCCCATCAAAATAGCAACATCATTCTTCACAGAATGAGAAAAGACAATCCTAAAGTTTACATAACTTTATACTATAAAGCCATAGTCACAAAAACAGCATGGTACTGATATAAAAATAGGCATATAGACCAATGGAACAGAATAGAGAACCCAGAAATAAAACCAAATACTTACAGCCAACAGATTTTTGACAAAGCAAACAAAAACATGAAGTGGGGAAAGGAAACCCTATTGAACAAATAATGGAGGGATGTTTAGCAAGCCACATGTAGAAGAATAAAACTGGAAACTCATCTCACAACTTATACAAAAATAAACTCAAGATAGACATAAGACATAAATCTAAGACCTAAAACAGTAAAAATTCTAGAAGATAACATTGGAAAAACGTTTCTAGACATTTGCTTAGGCAAAGACTTCATGAATAAGAACCCAAAAGTAAATGCAACGAAAACAAATATAAACAGATGGGGCTTAATTAAACTACAAAGCTTCTGCAGAGCAAAAATAATCAGCAGAGTTAACAGACAACCCACAGAGTGAGATAAAATATTCACAATCTATACATCTGTCAAAGGACTAAGATCCAGAATCTACAAAAAACTCATATAAACCAGCAAGAAATAAAAACAATCTCATTTAAAAGTAGGCTAAGGATATGAATAGACAATTCTCAAAAGAAGATATACGAATGGCCAAGAAACATATGGAAACTTGCTCAACATCTCTAATTATCAGAGTAATGCAAATGAAAATCACAATATGATACCACCTCACTCCTGCAAGAATGGCCATAATTAAAAAATAAAAAAATATAGTGTTGGTGGGGATGTGGTGCAAAGGGAACAATTTTACACTTCTGGTGTGAATGTAAATTAGCACCATTATGAAAAATAGTGTGGAGATTTTTTTAAAGAACTAAAAGTTGATCTATCATTTGATCTAGCAATCCCACTACTGGGTATCTATCCAGAGGAAAAAAAGGCATTATATGAAAAAAGATACTTGCACACACGTTTATAGTCTATGTGCCTATTTGTATACCAGCACCATGCTGTTTCGATGACTAAAGCTTTATAGTATAGTTTAAAGTCAGGTAATGTGATGCCTCCAGATTTGTTCTTTTCTCTTACTCTTGCTTTTGCTATGTGGAATCTAAAAGAAAATTTTATTATTTTTGATCACATCAGTTAATCTGGAGGACAGCATATTAGTTGAAATAAGCCAGGCACAGAAAGATTAACATCTCATGACCAAATAACATATTGTTACTCTCTTTTACCTCCCTCCTTGAGTAAAGTGAAAAAGGTTAAAGTTAATGGCATAATAACGCTTCATTGAATGCACAATAGTCTTAACATGTTAAAGAAATGTTTAATTATAAAATTAAGCTTATACATAATCTAAAAATTTTCAAATGTACTGCATTTATAGCATAAAAGTACAATTAGTAAAATGATTCACTAGTAATTTAATTACATTTAATTTAAAGTAAAATTAAAAATGCTTTTCTCTATGATGCAGAATATTACTCCAAACACCTACCTCATGCATCACTCAATATGAAAAGTAAACTAACAGGGCCTCTCCACTTAGATTTTCATCATAAACCTTACATTTTAATGCCCATACTCTTC
The DNA here is from genome assembly GCF_000001405.40 of Homo sapiens. NCBI lineage: Eukaryota > Metazoa > Chordata > Mammalia > Primates > Hominidae > Homo > Homo sapiens. The sequence goes on from NC_000007.14 coordinate 64,520,161, forward strand.
CACAGAAAAAACCATAAATAATGCCCATCTAATAAAAAAGAATCTCTCCTATATCTGACACAGCAACAATTTATCACATGCTTTCACATGTGAATACAATAGGAATGAAATAAAGTAATTTGAGAGTTGAATTTCATCATTATTTACTTTTCAAATAAGCCATAATTTTTTCAAGAAAAAAAGTATACTTTCAATGTAATTATAACTCTCCAAAGAATCTTCTACTCCTTTTAAAGTTATTTACAAATAATCTAACAACTTATAGATTTTTTTATACTCAACACTCTGTTTTAGTGTAATGTCTAAAGTGTCAGTGCCTTAGTTATTTCTACTGTAAATTATTTAATATTTACATAGACTCAATTTTGGATTAAATATTTTTCATACTTACTGCATCTGCAAAAACACATTTCAATATAAATTCATGTTTTCTACGCCGTAGTTTTTGAAAAAAAATGTTTTTCCAAATTCATTACATTTGCAGGATTTTTCTCCAATATAAATTCCCTGATGTTGAACAAAGTTTGAGCAACTGCTTCAGTGTTTTTCTCTAGTACAAAATGCGTACAATAAGATTTGTAATACAAGTAAAGGTACTACAACCCTCCTATGCTCCTTATATTTGTTATGTTTGTCTTCAAAATAAACACGCTTCTTCACTTTAAAGTGTTATGTTTTCTGAAATTTCTTTTGACAGTAATTGCATTTATAATGCTTTTAATAAGTATAAACTCTGGTGTTGAGTAAGATGTGAAAAGATATCAATGACTTTTTCACATTCTTTATACTTGTACAATCTTTCTCAAGTAAAAATGCTTTCCTGTGCAATAAGATGTGAGTATTGGTTAAGTTTTGTCACATTCTTTACACTTATAAAGTTTTCTCCAATATAAATTATCTTACCTACAAGCAAGTGTAACAATCATTGGAAGGCTTTGTCAAATTCTTCACATTTTTAGGGTTTCTCAACAGGATGGTGTCTTTTATGTTTAGAAAAGTTTTAGGTGTTATCAAAATTATTGTCACATTTTTCAGGTTTGTAGAGTTTCTCACCAGTATGAATTTTCTTATGTCTAGTAAGGTGTGAGGACCGGTTAAAAGCTTTGCCACATTCTTCACATTTGTAGGGTTTCTCTCTAGCATGAATTCTCTTATGATTAGCAAGAGTTGCAGGCCAGTTAAAAACATTGCCACATTCATCACATTTGTAGGATTTCTCTCCAGTATGAATTACTTTATGGTTAGTAAGGGTTGAAAATAAAGTAAAGCCTTTGCCACATTCTTCACATTTGTAGGTATTCTCTCTAGTGTGAATTCTCTTATGTCGAGTAAGGCTGGAGCACCCATTAAAAGCTTTGCCACATTCTTCACATTTGTAGGGTTTCTCTCCAGTATGAATTCTCATATGTTCAGTAAGGTTTGAGGACTGTATAAAAGCTTTGCCGCATTCTTCACATTTGTAGGATTTCTCTCCAGTATGAATTTTCTTATGTCTAGTAAGGTTTGCAAACTGGTTAAAAGCTTTGCCACATTCTTCACATTTGTAGGGTTTCTCTCCAGTATGAATTTTCTTATGTTTAGTAAGGTTTGAAAACTGGTTAAAGTCTTTGCCACATTCTTCACATTTGAAGGGTTTCTCTCCAGTATGAATTCTCTTATGGTTAGTAAGGGTTGCAAACCAGTTAAAGGCTTTGTGACATTCATCACATTTGTAAGGTTTGTCTCCAGTATGAATTATCTTATGTTTACTAAGGATTGAGAATAAACTAAAGGCTTTGCCACATTCTTCACATTTGAAGGGTTTCTCTTCAATATGAATTTTCTTATGTTTAATAAGGGTTGAGGATTGGTTAAAGGCTTTGCCACATTCCTCACATTTGTAGGGTTTCTCTCCCATATGAATTCCCTTATGTTTAATAAGCTCTGAGAACCAGTTAAGAACTTTGCCACATTCCTCACATTTGTAAGAATTCTCTCTAGTGTGAATTCTTATATGTTGTGTTAGATGTGAAAGCATGCAAAATGATTTGCCACATTCTTTACATTTGAAAACCTTCTTTCCAGTATTTCTTTTCTTATGACTGTTTGAATTTGAAAATTTATGAAAGACTTTCACGTATTTATCACATTGAAATATTTTGCTCTGGGTAGTTCTCAAACATTGGTTAAGTTCATTATAACCTTCTTTGAACACCTTAGACTCATCCACACTTTTACAACTTATTCTTAATTGTAAATTCTCATGTCCACATTTTCCATATCCTCTCAGTATCACTTTTTGAAAAGAATCTTTTATGCTATGCTCTGGCCAAAGGTCTTCAGTGAAATGAGAATATATAACTGAAAGACATAAAAGTAACAAATTACACCACTTCCTAGACTCAGATGAATATATTTTACATATCAAATTTATAAAATTACACAAACTACATAAGCAAAATACAAAAATAAATAACTAAAAAATCCTAAAAGTTAAAAAAAAAAAAAGTTATGTACAAATGAAGAAGCTCAACAAATTAGGATACACACAATGATATTTATAACAAACACATATATAAACACAATTTCAAAAGTCACAGACAAGAAGAGAATCTTGTGAGTTGCAGTATAAAAATGATATGTCATTTACAAGCATAGTCTTTTTAAATAACCAGTGAATTTGTCAAGAAAATTTTGCAGGCAAGAAAAGAAGTGTGTGATATAGTCAAAGTCATGAAAAAAATAGATATCAAATGAGAATAATACCATCAGCAAATCTGTCCTACAAAATGGAAAAAAAAAAGAAAAAACTTCCAAAATAACCAAATTCTGAAAAAGTATATTGGCACTGCAAATTCCCTACATATAAAAGATGCTGAAAGCAGTTTCTTCCACTGAAAATAACATGACAGAAAACAACACATTATTATATAAAAATACATAACTTTATGAAAAAGATATGCACATACAAATAGAATTCCTTAACATTATTATAATGGTGCACAAAATGTTAATTATTCTCTAAAATTTGAAAGATAAAGTCATAGAAAGTATTATAAATGTCTATTAATATACAACATAAAACGAAATAATTAGCAACATTAATAACAAAGTTCAGGGCAGATGTAATGAAATAGAACTTTTATATGCAAGGGAAGTTAATTTTTCTACCAGATTATAATGTATATTGTATCCTTTAGAGGTTTTATGTAATCCCCAAGGTACCACAAAGAAAGTATTTTGTATATCTGTATAGATATACAAAAGAAAATAGGAAGGAAGTGAAAGCATTTCAATACAAAAATCAACAAGACACCAAGGATGACAGAGAGAAAATCAGAGACAAAAAAGAATCAAATAAAACAATAAAATAACATTCTTTCTCTTTCAGAAAATTATCCAAATATATACATATGTAAAATATATATGTAAAATTAACTTTCCAATCAAGAGATATACTTTCATTAAAGGGATTTATTAAAAGAATTTTAAGGCCGGGCGTGGTGGCTCACACCTATAATCCCAGCACTTTGGGAGGCCGAGGCGGGCGGATCACGAGGTCAGAAGATTGAGACCATCCTGGCTAACATGGTGAAACCCTGTCTCTACTAAAAATACAAAAAATTAGCTGGGCATGGTGGTGGGCGCCTGTAGTCCCAGCTACTTGGGAGGCTGAGGCGGGAGAATGGTGTGAACCCAAGAGGCGGAGCTGGCAGTGAGCTGAGATCGCGCCACTGCACTCCAGCCTGGGCGACAGAGCGAGACTCCATCTCAAAAAAAAAAAAAGAATTTTAAAAACCAAGATCCAACATGCCTTTTTACAAGGGCCAGGATAGATCTAATGATAAACAGACTGAAAGTAGCAAGACAAAAGTACACATTTCATGTAAATATTAATCAAATGAGAGAAGAAGAGGTCAAAATATTACACAAAATACATCTTAAGTCAAAAACTGTCATATTTTATGAAATATACTTGAAGTCAAACTCCAAAGAGACAAAGAAGAATTTTTTTTTTTTTTTTTGAGATGGAGTTTCGCTCTTGTTGCCTAGGCTGGAGTGCAATGGTGAGATGTCAGCTCACTGCAACCTCTGCCTTCCGGGTTCAAGCGATTCTCCTGCCTCAGCCTCCCTAGTAGCTGGGATTACAGGCACCCACCACCATACCCAGCTAATTTTTTGTATTTTTAGTAGAGACGAGGTTTCACTCAAACTCCTGACCTCAGGCAATCCACCCACCTCAGCCTCCCTAAGTGCTGGGATTATAGGCATGAGCCACCACGCCTGGCTCACAAAGAAGAATATTAAACAGTAATAGATTCATTTACTGGGAACCAATGACAAATTTGTATATAGCAGTGTGTGTATCTCACATTAAGTTTCCAAATATATAAAGCAAATACAGTCAGAATGAAAGAAACACATACAGAGCAATATAATTATAGTAGAATATTTTAATGCTTCACTTTCTGTAATAAAGATTTTAAAAAGACAAAATATTGGTAAAGAAACCGGACTTGAAGGGAGTATAAAACAATTATTAATAACAGAGGCATAAAGAACACTCAACAACATAATGATAAACAGCCTTCTCAATACCTCATACGAAATTCTCCTTGATAGAAAACCTGGTAAACCAAAAAAGAAGTCTTAACAAATTATTTAAAACTAAATTTTTATGGATTACTTTCTATGACCAAAATGAAATGAGTATAGAACAGTAAGAAGAAAAAACTGAAAAATTCACAAATACATAGAAATTAAAACAATACACTCTTGAGCATGCTTGTTGAAATGTTAAAATAATTAATCTTGTGAAGATGTCCATCCTGCTCAATGTAATTTACAGATTTAATGCAATGTTGTTCAAATTTCTCATGCATTTTTGAAGAAATAGAAACAGCAACCCCCAAAGTATATAAAGTCTTAAGAGATAATAAAGTACCCAAAAATCTGCAATAAAATAAACAATTTTGAAGGCATTACAGTTTCTGATTTTGAAACACATTACAGAGCTACAGAATTGTAACAATTTGGTATGAGTACAAAGGTAAAAACGTACACTAGTAGAACAGAATGCGGCACATATATAAACTTACACATATATGATCATATAGGTCATTTGCATACCTGTAATTATTGCAGCATTGTTACTGAAAGCCAATAGGTAAAAGCAGTGCAAATTTGTCACCAAATTACTCAGTAGATATAATCTAAAATACAAAATACTTAAATATCACCCAGTATTTAAAAAGCAGAAAATATTCTAACAACTATAAAGCTTGATGATATTGTGCAAAATAAAATGAGCCAGTCACAAAAAGACAGAGATTGTATGAGATATATGAAGCAGTTACACTCTTAGAGAAAACAGAGTGGTGTTTGAAAAGTGCCAGGAAATGGGTAAAATTCATAGTTTTTTAATGGGTATTGATATTTAGCTTTGCAAGATAAAAACATTTTAGGAATATGTTGCATAACAATGTCAATATAATAGGACTAAAATAAACATTTAAAAATATTCTATTGTAAATGTTATGTGTTTTTGACAAGTAAAAATAGACATACCTAAAAGAGATTATGATCGTTTGTAAATTATCTTTAAATAGAAAAGTTTTTCTCCCACACAAAAATAATATAGATCCATGAATAAATAGATGTTGAAATTAGGAGAATTTCTATGACTTCTCACCTAGTCAAGATTAAATAACCATTTGCAACAAACCTATACCAGAAATATACAAGTCATAAAAAGAACAGGGAAAATATTTATACAGGTAAACACAGAGATCGTTATATTGGTAGTAGACATATGGCTGATTCATATTTGACTTTGTTCCACACTGTCTTAAATTTTACAGAGTTAAATACTGGCATACTCAATTATAATATAAACTAAAAAACCAAAACAATTAACTCATGTGAGGTGGCATATCCTAAAATATATAAAACAAAAATATAAAATTCCAAAAGAAAATTAAAACATGAAATGTAAAACTTATTGGACACCATCAAGTACATCAATATATTCATTAAAAAACTCTTAGAAGAAGAATGTAGGGAAAAAGTAATGTAGAGGTTACTTGTAGATGAAAAAGGCTAAGAACTTCCCAAATTTTGATGCAGTAATAAAATTCCTAACCAAGAATACTTGATTCAAGATTAGTGTACTTTAAAAACAGATAAAAATAAAGACTTTTCAAAATAAAAGGTGACAGTGTTATGATTCATTATGACTAGCACAGTTCTACATGAAGGGCTACATAGTAGCCTGGCAAAGTGGATTATTTCTGTAATCCCACATCTTTAGGGAGGCCAAGGCAGTAAGATAACTTGAGACCAGGAGTTCAAGATCAGCCTGAGCAACACAGTAAGACTCTGCATATAAACAAACAGAAATGCTAAAATGAGTCCATTATTTAAAAAAAAAAAATGATGCTGGACAGCATCATAAAACTATATATAAATATAAAGCTATTAAATGTAAATATACACACACACATACAATTCTTTACTCTCATAATGATGGAGCATAAAACCTTTAAAGTTATTCTATATGAGAAACTAAAAATAAGTCTGCATAAATCTGTCGATACCCAATAAAAAATAATAGTTTTTAACATCAACAAAAAACTGGAAAACATATTAGTTTTTGCATTAAATTGAAGTTGTTATGAAATTAAAATATATTGTTTTAACTTTAAGATGTTTTATGTAATCTCCACTTTTCAAGATAATTACATTGTATTTCCAGAAAGTATGTGAAACAAATTTTAAAATAATCAAAGTATGTCACAACAAACTTAACCAAAAATTGGCAGGGCAAGGTGGCTCACACCTGTAATCCCTGCATTTTGGGAGGCCGAGGTGGGCCGATCACCTGAGGTCGGGAGTTCGAGGCCATCCTGGCCAACATGGCGAAACCCCTTCTCTACTAAAAGTACAAAAATTAACTGGGTGTGGTGGCAGGTGCCGGTAATTCCAGCTACTCAGGAGGATGGGGCAGGAGAATCACTTGAACCCAGGAGGCGGAGGCTGCAGTGAGCCGAGATCACGCCATTGCACTCCAGCCTGGGCAATAAGAGCAAGATTCTGTCTCAAATAAATAAATAAATAAATAAACAAACAAAAATAAGCACTAAAATGAACAATGAAAAAGAAAACATATCTACAAGAAACACATAAAACAATAACAATAAACTGATAATAGTAACTTTATTTCTTTAAGCAATCATTTTAAAAATACATTAATTAAACTAATTAATAAAAAAAGGTGCTGGGCACAGTGGCTCACGCCTGTAATCCCAGCAGTTTGGGAGGCCGAGGAGGGTGGATCACCCAAGGTCAGAAGTTCGAGACCAGCCTGACCAACATGGAGAATCCCCGTCTCTACTAAAAATACAAAATTAGCCGGGCATGGTGGCACAGGCCTATAATCCCAGCTACCAGGGCAGCTGAGGCAGGAGAATCACTTGAACCCGGGAGGCAGAGGTTGTGGTGAGCCGAGATGGCGCCATTGCACTCCGGCCTGAGCAACAACAGCAAAACTCTGTCTCCAAAAAAAAAAAAAGTGATCCCAGGACTTTGAGAAGCCAAGGTGGGCTGATCAGTTGATCTCAAGAATTTGAGGACAAATCTGGGGGCATCATGGTGGATGGGAGGCAGGACTAGACTGCAGCTCCAACTCAGGCGAACAAAGCAGTGTGTGAAGGCTTGCGTCATAAATTTTAGCTTCAGAATAACTGCAGGAATAAATCAGGAAACCTGAAATGACCCACAGATCCTCTGAATGAAGCAGACTGCTCCTACAGGACTCAGGAGACACCCCAAATACTGTGAGTATACAAACTGCAGAAGTGGAAAAGGGAGATCCTTCACCGCTGAACATGCACCCCCACTGGGGAAACTGAAGGTCTAGTTTGTGGGAGAAGATGCCGACCTTACCTGGAGGTGAGTCAATTGAGAGCCAAGTGAAATATGGGGGGTGGAAGAAGCAGCAGAAAAGGCCCTAGGAGCTCACTGGGTCCCCAAGCAGGCCATTCCTTCCTGGCATCACAAGGATCTTTTTGGAGGGCAGCCACAGGCACGAGAAAAACACCACAGGGAGAAGAAAACCTCCAGCTGAACTTTGTGACAATTTGAACCAGCTGAGAAGCCTCCGGGCCAGAACTCGGCAAAGGGCGAGAATCCATCAAATCCATCCTGCAGACTCCACAGGTCACAGGTCACAGGGCCGGGGAAGAACTAATGCCCTTTTCTTTCACAGCTAGGAGGTGGGTAGCCTGGGGCAAGTTCTTAGCCCAGCTTGCTAACTGCGTGAAAACAGTCTTGGTGCTGTTAGGTGGGGCACAGTAGGAGTAAGACCAGCCCTTTGGATTGTGTAGAAGTTGGGTGAGGCAGGTGACTGCCAGCTTTTCCCCACTTCCCTGACAACCTGCATGACTTGGCAGAAGCAGCCATTATCCTCCTAGGTACATAAATCCATTGACCTGGGAACTTCACCCCCATCCTCAAAAGCAGCCAAAGCAGTATGTACCCAAGGAGAGTCTGAGTTCAGACACACCTAGCCCTGCCCCTACCCAGTGGTCCTTCCCTACCCACACTCGTATCTGAACACAAAGGGCATATACTCTAAGAAGTTGTAAGGCCCCACCCACTGGGTTCCTCTCCACCCTACCACAGCTGATGCTCTCTGGAAAGCACCACTTCCCAGAAGGAGGCAAATCAGCACAATAAGAGAGCATTAAATCACCAGTGCTAAGAACACTGGAAGAGTCCATTTCACCCCCGCTACCACCTCCACTGAAACAGGTGCTGGTATCCACAGCTGAGAAACCCATAAACAGTTCACAACACAGAACTCCGGGCAGACAACCCTTAGTTCCAGCCCAAAGTTTGGTAGATTTGCTGGGTGGCTATACCTAGAAGGGAGATAACAATCAATACAGCTCGGCTCTCAGGAAGCCACATCCACAGGAAAAGGGTAGAATACCAAATAAAGGGAACAAAAGAATCTGAAAAACAGCCTTCAGCCCTAGACCTTCCTTCTGACAGAGCCTACGCCACTGCAAAGGAACCAAAAAACCAACTCTGGTAATATGACAAAACAAGGCTCTTTAACGCCCCCAAATTATCACACTAGCTAACCAGCAATAAATCCAAACCAAGAAGGAATCCCTGTTTTACCTGAAAAAGAATTCAGGAGGTTAGTTATTAGGCTAATAAGAAAGGCATCAGAGAAAGGCGAAGCCCAGTGCAAGGAAATTCAAAGAACAATACACAAAACAAAGGGAGAAATATTCAAGAAAATAGATAACATAAAGAAAAAACAATCAAAACTTCAGGAAACACTGGACACACTTACAGTAAAGTCTCAGCAATAGAATTGAATGAATAGAAGAAAGAAATTCAGAGCTCAAAGACAAGGTCTTCAAATTAACCCAATCCAACAAAGACAAAGAAAAAATAATAAGAAAATATGAACAAAGCCTCCAAGAAGTCTGGGATTATGTTAAATGACCACACCTAAGAATAATTGGCATTTGTGAGAAAGAAGAGAAATCTAAAAGTTTGGAAAACACACTTGGGTTGATAACCGAGAAAAGCTTCCTCAGCCTTACTAGAGACCTAGACATCCAAATACAAGATGCACAAAGAACACCTGAGAAATTTATCACAAAAAGAGTATCACCTAGGCACACTGCCATCAGGTTATCTAAAGTTAAGACAAGGAAAAACATCTTAAGAGTTGTCAGACAAAAGCACCAGGTAACCTATAAAGTAAAAACTATCAGATTAACAGCAGATTTCTCAGCAGAAATCCTACAAGCTAGAAGGGACTGGGGCCCTATCTATCTTCAGCCTCCTCAAACAAAACAATTATCAGCCAAGAATTCTGTATCCAGTGAAACTAAGCATCACATATGAAGGAAAGATATAGTCTTTTTCAGACAAACAAATTCTGTGATAATTCATCATTACCAAGCCACTACTACAAGAACTGCTAAAAGAGCTCTAAATCTTGAAACAAATTTTGGAAATATACCAAAACAGAACCTCTTTAAAGCATAAATCTCACAGGACCTATAGAACAAAAATACAATTTAAAAAGCAAAAACAAAAAAACAAAAACCAAGGTACACAGGCAACAAATGGCACGATAAATGAAATGGTATCTCACATCTAAATACTAACATTGAATGTAAGTGGCCTAAATCTGCCACTTAAAAGATACAGAATGGATAAGAATTAACCAACCATCTGATGCCTTCAAGAGACTAACTTAACACATAAGAACTCACATAAAATTAAAGTAAAGGGGTGGAAAAAAACATTTCATGCAAATGGACACCAAAAGTGAGCAGGAGTAGCTATTCTTGTATCAGACAAAACAAACTTTAAAGCAGCTGCAGTTTAAAAAGACAAAGAGGGACATTATAGAACAATAAAAGGCCTTGGCTGGTTCAATCCCAGCACTTTGGGAGGCTGAGGCAGGTGGATCACAAGATCAGGAGTTCAAGACCAGCCTGGCCAAAATGGAGAAACTCCATCTCTACTAAAAATACAAAAATTAGCCGGGTGTGGTGGCAGGCACCTGTAATCCCAGCTACTCGGGAGGCTGAGGAGGAGAACTGCTTGAACCCAGGAGGCGGAGGTTGCAGTGAGCCAAGATTGTGCCACTGCACTCCAGCCTGGGCAACAGAGCGAGACTCCATCTCAAAAAAAAAAATTTAAAAATAATAATAATAATAATAGTAATAATAATAATAATAAAAGGCCTTGTCCAACAGAAAAACATCACAAACCTAAACATTCATGCACCTAACATTGGAGCTTCTAAATTTATAAAACAATTACTAATAGACCTAAAAAATGTGATAAACACAGTAAGAGTGGGGAATTTCAATAGTCCACTGACAGAACTAGACAGATCAAGACAGAAAATTAACAAAGAAACAACGGACTTAAACTATACCTTGAAACAAATGGACTTAACAGATATATACAAAACATTCCATCCAACAACCGCAGAATACACATTCTACTCAACAGCGGGTGAAACTTTCTCCAAGATAGACCATATGATAGGCCACAAAACAAGCCTCAATAAGTTAAAGAATATTGAAATTATATCAAACACTCTCTCAGACTACAGTGGAATAAAACTAGAAATCAGCCGGGCGCAGTGACTCACGCCTGTAATCCCAGCACTTTGGAAGGCTGAGGTGGGCAGATCACGAGGTCAGGAGATCAAGACCACCCTGGCTAACATGGGGAAACCCCGTCCCTACTAAAAAATACAAAAAAATTAGCCAGGCATGGTGGCGGGTGCCTGTAGTCCCAGCTACTCGGGTGGTTGAGGCAGGAGAATGGCGTGAACTCAGGAGGTGGAGCTTGCAGTGAGCCAAGATCGTGCCACTGCACTCCAGCCTGGGCAACACAGTGAGACTCCGTCTCAAAAAAAAAAAAAAAAAAACCTAGAAATCAACTCCAAAAAAACCTTCAAAACCATGCAAATACATGGAAATTAAATAACCTGCTTCTGAATGATCATTGGGTCAAAAATGAAACCAAGATGAAAATTTAAAAATTTGTCTAACTGAATGACAATAATGACCCAACCTATGAAAACCTCTGGGATACAGCAAAGGTAGTGCTAAGAGGAAAGTTCATAGCCCTAAATGCCTACATCAAAAAGACTGATAGAGCACAAACTGAGACTGTAAGGTCACACTTCAAGAAACTAGAGAAACAAGAAAAAAACAAATCCAAATGCAACAGAAGAAAGGAAATAATCAAGATTAGAGCAAAACTAAATGAAACTGAAGCAAAAAAATACAAAAGATAAATGAAACAAAAAGCTGTTTCTTTGAAAACATAAATAGGCCAGGCACGGTGGCTCACGCCTGTAATCCCAGTACTTTGGGAGGCCCAGGGGGGCAGATTACAAGGTCAGGCGACTGAGACCATCCTAGCTAACACGGGGAAACCCCATCTCTACTAAAAATACAAAAAATTAGCCGGGCATGGTGGTGGGCACCTGTCGTCCCAGCTACTCGGGAGGCTGAGGCAGGAGAATGGCCTGAACCTGGGAGGCAGAGCTTGCAGTGAGCCGAGATCGTACCACTGCACTCCAGCCTGGGCAACAGAGAGAGACTCCATCTCAAAAAAAAAAAAGAAAAGAAGAGAGAAAATCTAAATAACCTCAATAAGAAACAAAATGGGAGATATTACAACTGATACCACATTAATACAAAAGATCATTCAAGGCTACGATGAATACCTTTACACACATAAACTCGAAAACCTAGAAGAGATGAATAAATTCCTGTAAAAATAAAACCCTCCTACCCTGAACAGACCAAAAGCAAGTAGCTTTTAAAATGGTAATTTTAGAATTACCAACAAAAAAAGTCCAAGACCAGACAGATTCACAGCAGAATTCTACCAGACACTCAAAGAAGAATTGGTACCAATCCTATTGACACTATTCCAGAAGACAGAGTAAGAGGGAACCCTCCCTAATTCATTCTATGAAGCCAACATCATGCTAATATCAAAACCAGAAAAGGACATGATCAAAAAAGAAAACTACAGACTTATATCCCTGATGAACATAGATGCTAAAATCCTTAACAAAATACCAGCTAACTGAATCCAACAACATATCAAAAAGATAATCCATCATGATCAAGTGAGTTTCATACCAGGGATGCAGAGATGGTTTAATATATGCAAGTCAATAAGTGTGATACACCACATAAACAGAGTTAAAACTTACATGATCATCTCAATAGATGCAGAAAAAGCATTTGACAAAATCCAGCATCTCTTTATGATTAAAACTCTCAGCAAAATTGGCATACAAGGGACATACCTCCACGTAATAAAAGTCATCTATGACAAACCCACAGCCAACATAATACTGAATGGGAAAAAAGTTGAAAGCATTCCCTTTGAGAACTGGAACAAGACAAGGATACCCACTCTCACAACTCTTCTTCAACATAGCACTGGAAGTCCTAGCCAGAGCAATCAGACAAGAGAAATAAAGGGCATCCAAATCAGTAAAGAGAAAGTCAAACTGTCACTGTTTGCTGGTGATATGATCTTTTATCTTGAAAACCCCAAAGACTCCTCCAAAAAACTCCTAGAACTGATAAAAGAATTGAGCAAAGTTTCCAGGTATAAGATTAATGTACACAAACCAGTAGCTCTTCTATACACCAACAGTGACCTAGTGGAGAATCAAATCAAGAACTCAACCCCTTTTACAGTAGCTGCAAAAATAATAAAATACTTAGAAATATACCTAATCAATTACATGAAAGACCTCTACAAGGAAAACTACAAAACACTGCTGAAAAAAATCATAGACAACACAAACAAATGGAAACACATTTTATGCTTATGGATAGGTAGAATTAATCTTGTGGAAAATGACCATACTGCAAAAAGCAATAAACAAACTCAATACAATCCCCATCAAAATACTACCATAATTCTTCACAGAATTAGAAAAACCAATTCTAAAATGTATACAGAACGAAAAAAGAGCCCACATAGCCAAAGCAAGACTAAGCAAAAGAATAAATCTGGAGGCATCAGACTACCTGATTTCAAACTATACTATAAGCCATAGTTACCAGAACAGCATGTTACTATTATAAAAATCGGCACATAGAACAACGGAACAGAATAGCGAACCCAGAAATAAACTCAAATACTTACAGCCAACTGATCTTTCAGAAAGCAAACAAAAACATAAGTGGGAAAAGGAAACCCTTTTCAACAAAAGGTGCTGGGAAAATTGGCTAGCCACATGTAGGAGAATAAAACTGGATCTTTATCTCTCACCTTATACAAAAATAAACTCAAGATAGATTAAGGACTTAAATGTAAGACCTGAAACTATAAAAATTCTGTAAGATAACATTGGAAAAACCCTTCTAAACATTGGCTTAGGCAAGGATTTCATGACCAAGAACCCAAAAGCAAATGCAATAAAAACAAAGATAAATAGCTGGAACTTAATTAAACAAAAGAGCTTTTGCACAGCAAAAGGAACAGTCAGCAGAGTAAACAGACAACCCACAGAGTGGGAAAGGATCTTCACAATTTATACATCTGACAAAGGACTAATATCCAGAATCTACAATGAACTCAAATCAGCAAGAAAAAAACAAACAATCCCATCGAAAAGTGGGCTAAGGACACGAATAAACATTTCTCAAAAGAAGATATACAAATGGCCAACAAAAATATGAAAAAATGCTCCACATCACTAATGATCAGGGAAATGCATATCAAAACCATAATGCAGTACCACCTTACTTTTGCAAGAATGATCATATCAAAAAATCGTAAAACAGTAGATGCTGGCACAGATGCGGTGATCAGGGAACACTTCTACACTGCTGGTGGGAATGTAAACTAGTACAACCACTATGGAAAACAGTGTGGAGATTCCTTAAAGAACTAAAGGTAGAACTACCATTTGACCCAGCAATCCCACTATTGGGTATCTACCCACAGGAAAAGAAGTTACTATCTGAAAAAGATACTTGCACACGCATGTTTATAGCAGCACAATTTGCAATTGCAAAATCATGGAACCAACCCAAATGCCCATCAATCAACAATGGGATAAAGAAACTGTGGTATATATATAGGATACTACTCAGCCATAAGAAGGAATGAACCAATGGCATTTGCAGTGACCTGGATGAGATTGGAGACTATTATTCTAAGTGAAGTAACTCAGGAATGGAAAACCAAACATTGTATGTTCTCACTGATATGTGGGAGCTAAGCTATGAGGATGCAAAGGCATAAGAACGATACAATAAACTTTGGGGACTTGGGGGGGCTTGGGTGGGAGGGGGGCAAGAGATAAAAGGCTACAAATAGGGTGTAGTGAATACTGCTTACGTGATGAGTGCACCAAAATCTAAAAAATTACCACTAAAGAACTTACTCATGGAACCAAACACCCTATAGAAAAATAAAATTTAAAAAATAAAAGAGAATTTGAGACCAGTCTGGACAACATTGTCTCTATCAAAAATACAAAAAAACTAACTGGATGTGATGGTGCATATTTGTAACCCAGCTACTGGAGACGCTGAAGTTAGAGAATTTTCTAAGTTTAGAAAGTTGAGGATGCAGTGGGTCATTAATTATCACGCCACTGCAAACCAGCCTGGCTGACAGAGCGAGGCCACAAGAAAGAACAAAAGAAAGAAAAGAAGGAAGGAAGGAAAGAAGGAAAGAAGGAAGGGAGGGAGGGAGGGAGAGAGAGAGAGAGACAGAGAGAGAGAAAGAGAAAAAGAAATAAGACGCCTGAATGGCTTCAGTAAAAAAGCATACAATATGTTCTCTATACGAGACTCATTTTAGCATTGAGTCAAATAGGCTGAAAGTAACAAAATGAAAAAAATCTTATTTCATGCCAATAGTAACCACGATTGGGTGAGATGGTCATCATTATATTAGATATAATATACTTTAAGTGAAGTACTTGGCCAGGCACGGTGGCTCATGCCTGTAATCCCAGCACTTTGGGAGTCCGAAGCAGGTGAATCACTTGAGGTCAGGAGTTCGAGACCAGCCTGGACAAAATGATGAAACCCCATCTCTACCCAAAATACAAAAAGTAGCCAGGCATCGTAGCACACACCTGTAATCCCAGCTACTCGAGAGGCTGAGGCAAGAGAATTGCTTGAACTCGGGAGGCAGAGGTTGCAGTGAGTCGAGATCACACCACCGCACTCCAGCCTGGGCGACAGAATGAGATTCTGTCTCAAAAAAACAAAAACACAAACAAACAAATAAGTCAAGTAGTAGCATTAATCAAAGATTGATATTATATAATGGTAAGTAAAATGGGTCAATTTACCAGGAATCTATAACTATCATATTTATCTATCTATATGTATGTGTATTAATAACATCAGGTCTCCAAAATATATAAAGCAAATATTGACAAAGGTGAAGAAAGAAATACATAGCAACATAATAATTGTAGATATCAAGACCCCATTTTCAATAATAAAAAATTAAGAGAAAAGATTAATAAGAAAACAGAAAACTTAGACATTATAGACTGTATTGATTATTTTGCATATAGAGGAATAGCTAAGAGTGGATGATTTATAAAGAAACATGTTTATTTGGCTCACACTTTGGCAGACTGTACAAGAAGTGTGTGCCAGCATCTGCTTCTGGTGAGGGTCTCAGGAAGCTTACAATCATGATGGAAGGCAAAGAGTAACTGGACATATCACATGGTAAGAGACAGAGCAAGTGTGAGGTGAAGGAAACACGTTCTTTTAATGAAGCAGCTTTCATTTGAATTAATAGAGTGTAAACTTTCTGATTACCACGAGGATGGCGTCATGCCATTCATGAGGAATTTGCCCCCATGACCCAAACACCTCCCACCAGGTCCCACATCCAACATTAAGGATTACATTGCAACATGAGGTCTGGAGAACACGGACACCCACACCATAGCATAGAACAACTAGGCTTAACAGACTCATAAAAAACTTCTCAGTCAAAAGCAACAGAATATATGATATTCTTATTTGCACCTAGTGTATTCTGTTAAAACACATAATGGGTCTTATTAAATTTAACAATAACAACTGGGTGCAGTGGCTCATGCCTATAATTCCAACACTTTGGGAGACCAAGGTGGGAGTATCATTTGGCACAAGAAGTTTCAGGCCAGCCTAGGTAACACAGTGAGGCCCTGTCCCTACAAATAATCAAAAAAAATAGCTAGACATGATAGTGCATGTCTGTAGTTTCAGCTACACGGGGAGCTGAGGTGGAAGGATCACTTGAGCCCAGGAGGCTGAGGCTGCAGTGAGCCAAAATTATGCCACTGCACTCCAGCCTGAGTGACAGTAAAATCCTGTCTCAAAACAACAATGATGAATAAATCTAAGAACACCAAAATCATACACTGTGTGTTTTCTGACAAAAACTTAATAAAACTAGGAATTAAAAGCAAACGTAAAATTGGCAAATCCAAAAATATATGAAAATGAAACACACAGGCTGGGTGTAGTGGCTCAAATGTGTAAACTTAGAACTTCAGGAGGCCAAGGCAGAAGGATTACCTGTGCCTAGGAGTTTGAAAGTAGCCTGGGCAACAAGGTGAGACCCTGTCTTTAAATTTAATTTAATTTAAAATAAAATAAAACATACTCTTTGACATAGTTTTGCTCAAGGGTCAAAAAATTTAATTTTGTTAAGATGTCAATATAACCTAAAGTGGTAAAAAAATTCAATATGATCTCTATAAAAATCCCAATAGCACAGTTTTTTTTACAGAAATGTTTAAAATTTTTTAATTTGATTATGATCATAACTAGCTAAACAACCATGAAAAAAAAGCATTATACTTCCTGATTGAAAAACATATTAAAAGCTACAACAGCAAAAACAATGTGGTACTGACACAATGACATATAAAGAGATAAAAAACAGAATAGACGGCCAGGTGCGCTGGCTCACGCCTGTAATCCCAGCATTTTGGGAGGCCAAGGCGGGCAGATCACAAGGTCAGGAGATCGAGACCATCCTGGCTAACACAGTGAAACCCTGTCTCTACTAAAAATACAAAAAACAATTAGCCGGGCGTGGTGGCGGGCGCCTGTAGTCCCAGCTATTTGGGAGGCTGAGGCAGGAGAATGACGTGAACCCGGGAGGCAGAGCTTGCAGTGAGCTGAGATAGCACCACTGCACTCCAGACTGGGTGACACAGCAAGACTCCATCTCCAAAAAAAAACAAAAAAACAAACAAAAACAGAATAGAGAGCCCAGAAAAGAACGCTTTTGTGTATGATCAAATGATCTTTCACTAAGTCACCATTAACACATGATAGAGAAAAGATAATCTTTTCAAAAAAATAACGTTGAAATCAGGTTATCTACACTGATAAAGCTGAATCCTTTCCTTGAACTATATACAAAGAATATTTGAAATAAAATATTTAGAAATTTAAAAAATAACAATCTCTTAGAAAAAATATAGGAAAAAAACATGACATTGGTATTGGCACCATTTTCTTAGATACAACATTAAATGCATGAGCAACAAAGAGAAGAACAGAATAACTGAACTACACAGTACTTCAAAATTTCTGCATATCAAAGAAAACATTCAAAAGAGTAATGATGCCTCCTAGGAAATGGGTGAAAATATTTGCAAATCACATGTGATAGGAGTTAATATTCAGAATATATAAACAACTATTAAAACTGAATTATAAAGTTGAATAACAACTTAGAAGTGGACAAATAATTGAACTAAATTTTCATCAAATTGATACAAATGCAAAAAAGCATTTGAAAGGATACACAAAATACTAATTTGTAGACAAATGCATGAAAATCACAATGAAAAACAGAATCCTCTTACACCCATTATAATAGCCACTATAAGTTTTCTAGAAAACATCAAATCAGTTGATGATGCAATGAAAATTTGCAACAAAAACACGTTAATTGTTGGTGCAAAACAAGGATGCAACCATTATTTACAAATGTTATAAATGTTCCTCAAATAATTAAAAATGGAATTATTAAATACAGCAATCCCACTTATGGATCTACATCCAAACTATGCAACGCAGGACCTGGAAGACATATTTGAACATTTATGTTTCTTGTACCAGCATCACAAAAGCCAAAACGCGGCCAGGCACAGTGGCTCACACCTGTAATCCCAGCACTTTGGAAGGCGGAGGCGGGTGGATCACCTGAGGTCAGCAGTTTGAGACCAGCTTTGCCAACATGGTGAAACCTTGTCTCTACTAAATATACAAAATTTAGCCAGGTGTGGTGGTGGGTGCCTGTAATCCCAGCTACTCAGGAGGCTGAGGCAGGAGAATCACTTGAACCTGGGAGGCGGAGACTGCAGTGAGCCAAGATTGTGCCATTGCACTCTAGCCTGGGAGGCAGAGCAAGACTCCATCTCAAAAAAAAAAAAAAAAAAAAGCCAAAATGCTGAAGCAATCCAGATGTTGATTTATAAATACATAAAAAAAGTAACATATGTATACAATGGAATATTATTCAGCCTTAAAAAAAAATCTTGGGAAGCTGAGGGAGGAGAATTGTTTGAACCTGGGAGGTAGAGGTGAGCCAAGATGGCACCACTGCGCTCCAGCCTGGGCAACAAGAGCAAAACTTCGTCTCAAAAAAAAAAAAAAAAAAAAAAAAGAAAAGAAAATCTTGTCCCATTTTATTATAAATGTTGAGAATTATGTCACCTAAAATGAGCCAGTAACAAAATGATGGGTACTGTATGATTCCACTTATGAGATATCTTAAGTAGTCACACTCATAAAAACAGAAAGTGGAAGCGTGTCTGTCAAGGGCTGAAGAGAGGGTAAAATGGGCAGTTGTTACTTAATGTGTACTGAGTTTTAGTTTTACAAGATGTAAAACTTTTAGAAGTATTTTGCCTAACAGTGTGAATACACTTAACATGCTCGAAATGTACAACTTTTATTCAGACAGGATCTCACTCTGTCACCCAAGCTGGAGTGCAGTGGCACAATTATGGCTTACTATAGCCTTAACCAGGCTGAAGTAAATCCTCCCCCATCAATCTCCCAAGTAGCTGAAACCACAAGTGCACACCACCATGCCTGTCTTTAAAAATAGTTTTTTTTGTAGACTGGGTCTTTATATGTTGCCCAAGCTGGTCTCCAAATTTTGGGCTCAAGTGATACTCCTGTCTTGGCCTCTCAAAATCCCTGGATTACAGATGTAAGCCACCACCATGCCTGGCCCTGAAATGTACACTTCAATGAATTTAAGATGGTAAATTTTATGTTATATTTTCACAATTAATTTTTTAAAAGAAAAACTGAAAAAATAAAGATTTATAAATCTTTTCAAAAATTATCTTCAAATCACAAACGTGTTTCTCTCATGCAAAAGAAATATATATTCATCATTAAACACATGGTGAAAAGAAGGCGATTTCCATGACTACTCATTTAGATATGATCGGACAACCATTGAAAATCAGCTAAGAAAGAATACCTACAAAATAAGCCATAACCAAAATGGAGGTCATATTTGTAGATAAAAGCACACACATATACAAACTGATTGTGATAGACATATGGCTGATTTATCCTTTTTTTTTTTTTTTTTTTGAGATGGAGGCTCGCTCTGTCGCCCAGGCTGGAGTACAGTAGTGCAATCTCAGCTCACTGTAACCTCTGCCTCCCAGGTTCAAGAGATTCCCCTGCCTCAGCCTCCCAAGTAGCTGGGACTACAGGCACCCGCTACCACACCAGGCTAATTTTTGTATTTTTAGTAGAGATGGGGCTTCACCATATTGGCCAGGCTGGTCTCGAACTCCTGACCTTCTGATCCACCTGCCTCGGGCTCCCAAAGTGCTGGGATTACAGGCATGAGCCACTGAGCCCGGCTGATTTATCTTTTAATTAAACCCCATGTTGACTTAAAGTTTACAAACAGAATTGCAAAATGTCTAAATATATAAGTAAAACAAAAAATCACAATAAACTGATGTTTAAAAAGTACACTAAATAAAACACTAATATGGAACTGCAAAACAATAACTAAAGAAGTTTACTCACAAAATCTGCTTTGCAATATTTATGTGCCATTAAAAAATTTGTCTAGATAATTACAATATTTGACTATGTGTACTCATGGAAAGCAGGTATTTCAAATCATTGGCATGCGCTGTGTTGCAATAAAATTTCAGGAAAAAAACAGTATAATTATAAATAAAAGATTCTAACAATAAATTTATAATAAACAAAAATTTACAAGAAATTAGTATTTATGTTTTAAATATATGCTATTCTTACACAAAATAAAACTACTGTAATCCAACTTTAGAAGCAAAACAATAGTCTTGCATTGCTAAATTTAAAAATTATATATTTTGCAGAATATGGTTAGCACTTCTTATATATAAAACAAATATTTAGAAATTAGTTATGTTGTTATTTAGATATATGCTTAAGTGGGTGAAAATCCTGTAATTCCTGTTTGCCTGAAGCAAACTTAAATTTATAAGTAACATCAACCATATCATGTAAATTCTAGCATATTGTCCTAAATGTCTGAACCTAAAGTACAGAAAAATTTGAAATAGAAAATAGAAAGTAAAAATGTATAGGGAGAGTGACATCAGTAAGATGGAAAAATAAAAGGTTCCTTATTTGCTTATCATCCCACAGCAAGAAAATTTATCAGCCATCCCTGTCAAAAATGCATTTATGTGAGCCATGGCTCACACCTGTAATGACAGCTACATGGTACATTCAGGTTGGGGAACTGCTTCAGGCCAGGATTTCAAGACCAACCTGGGTTATGAAGCCAAAACCCATCTCAAAAATAAGTGCCTTTAAGAGAGCTTTGAGATCCAGAGAGGGTGTTGTGAAACTGCTACAGTCTAAGATTAAGGAGTGTTCTTTTCAGAAGGCAGGCCCTCATTCAGGTGGAAAAATACAGGACCCCTGTTCTAGGCTGCAGACCAGGAAATGGCCCACCAAATTTGGTCCCACTGAGAATTCTGAACTTACTCTCTAATCATCCCAAACTCCTCCCAGCCACAGTCTGGGAGAGACCGTGCCCTTCCAGAGGCCTGGAGGAAGACAGCCATTTATAGCCACGCAGGCAGGCCTGCAGACCTTGTCCTTTACTGTGGTTTCTGAAGCAGTTCGATGACTCAGTTCCAGCTCCCTGAGCCACAGTTCACGGCCAGTTCTGCCTATAAAGGAACCCACACAGTGACCTGAAAAAATTCTCTTTGATACTCAGTGAAAGCCATACTCATCCACATTCTGATATAAGGCCCACCATATATAGACCCAATTACAAAAACCTGCCCTACTGTCTGCCCTACAGAGCAACATCCAGAAAAATATTTAGTCTGTTCCAAAATATAATGAAAATTACAATTACCCAAGCCCCTGTTAAGCCAACTAAAGGTGAGCCCTAGTGCAGACCCAGCAGCCTTGTGACCAAGCTACGCCCCTCTCCACTACAAACCCAGAGGACATCCCATCACCCTGAGAACCCAACAAAAAAAATCTTTACCTTCTAAACCAGTTTATAAAAACTTAAAGAGGTGTTTGCTCCTTTAAATTCAGACACCAATGCAAAACTATATTGTACCCACTGTAAATACTTTATTTTAACATAGAACTGCAAGTATGTGGCAGAAAAATTAGTCAAAAAAAGTTTTTAAACTCACTGAAATTGAAGACAAATGAGTAAAAACTTGCTGCTTATCGATCATATGCTCTTATATATAAAAAATTATAAACAGTACACTAAAACCTGTTTAAATTAATAAATACATTCAGTAAATTAGCAAAATATAAAATTAACATACAAGTTTAAGTTATGGTTCCATACACTTAAAGCAAACTGATTATTAAGAAAACAATCTTATTTACAGTAGCATTAAAATAATTTCTGAGAACAAATTTAAACAAGGAGGTAAAAAAATCTTTACAATAAAAATATATTAATGAAATAAATTAGAGAAGAGGCAAATAATTATTTTTTGAGACAGAGTCTCTGTCACACAGGCTGGAGTGCAGTGGTACAATCTCAGCTCACTGCAGCCTCCACCTCCTGTGTTAAAGCAATTCTCCTGCCTCAGCCTTTTGGGTAGCTGGGATTATAGGAACCTGCCACCATGCCAGGCTAATTTTTGTATTTTTAGTTGAGATGGGATTTCACCCTGATGGCCAGGCTGGTCTCAAACTCCTGACCTCAAGTGATCTCCCTGCCTTGGCCTCCCAAAGTGCTGGGATTACAAGTGTGAGCTACTGTGCCTGGCCAACGCAAATAAATTTTAAAGTATTTTATGTCTATGGATTGAAAGCATAAATATTGTTAAAGTGCCATATTATCCAAAATAATCTATGGATTCAATGAACTCCCTATCGAAATTCCAGTGGCATTTTTTTACAGCAATGAAAAATAAAATCCTAAAATTTATATGAAACTACAATAAACTTTGAATAGTCAAAGCAATCTGGAGGAAAAAGAACAAAGAAGGACATTATACTTTATAATTTCGAACTATATTTCGACTATCAAAAAAGACTATAATAATAAAAATATGAAATGTGCAGAAAAATGAACCAAAAAAATGGAAAAGAAACCACTAATCACACACATTTCAGACGTGATGTAGAAAGAGAACTTAAAAAATAACAGTTTCTCAAAATTTTGCAGATATTTGTGTGTCCCTAAAACAATGGAACATCAGTCAGATTGTGCAGTCTCTTATAAGCCATAAAGAGGACTTTGGCTTACAGTAAACTTGAAGGAAGATCACTGATGGGAAAGTAGAATTTTTAGAGAATTTAAGAGCATAAAGAAGATGCCCCTATGTGAGAGCAAGAGAAAAGAAACTGAGCTTCCCAAAAACTATTTTCTCTGGAACATAGCTTCCCAAATCCCATGTCAAGAACTGACTTTCTCTTTGACATCTGGACCTCTCATCTGTGTCATCTGTTGTATTCACTATCACTCTCACCTACCTGGGGGTTTGGCTACCATCTCCTGTCTCTTCCTATTCCAGGGCTCTTTTCCTTGCTCCAAACAGGTTATCAGGTGAGGCTTAGAGACAGCAATACCTGTTTTATTAAAAATAAATAACATGAATCTTGCTCATATTCTCCAATTACCAAACTACTAATGTGCTCAGTAAAGAGAATGTCATAGCATATTCTAGTAAATTAATCCCAAATTACTAATTTATAACAGACATTTCTAAATATTTAGAAAATACTTTAAATTTTTAGGTCTTTAATTTCACTACCCAGTACTACTGAATCAAAAATTGGTGGGGGCAATTAAATTTTAAGGTGTGGGCAACAACATTTTATGCCATCAAATTTCTGTAATTACCACTAATCTAGAGTGAAGGACATAGATCAGCTCAGGAATGTGGAAAGTTCAGGTCAAGATGAAACGTACTGAAGGAATTTTTTTCTACATGGACAAAGCTCAAAGATTTTCTTGAAAACAGGGATCTGAAACTCATTTATGCAAAGCACAAATTACCACAAGTTATGCAAAAAAAGAGAAATAAAACCTTTAGGGCATATTAGGAATTGTGTGTTGAAGTTATCCTCACCCAGGAAGACCAGGTTTCTGTAGTTCTCAAACATCACTTTCCTATATAAATTCCGTTGTGCAGTGTCCAGGCATTGCCACTCCTCCAGAGAGAATTCTATGGCCACATCCCTAAATGTCAGTGGTCCCTGAAAAACACACACACACACACACACACACACACACACTTATATATTTACTAAATGACCATGGGCAGAATTTTTATTTTGGCTCAAGGCAAAGTAAGACAGTATAGAAAACTGATTCTGACTTACAGGAGTGAGTCAAATTATACAATAAAATAAATTTCAATGCAGAAATATTCTCTAATATATTCTTTAACTCAGATAAGAGAACAGCATAAGATCCACAACATCAGTGTATATATACTTTTTTGAAGAAAAACTATAACAGGACATGAATACAAACATGTAAATTTTTGAGTGCTATATTTACATCATACACAATGAGTTGTGTATATTTTTCAGATAGAAAAGACATGTTGAATTAGAAGGTACATCTCAAATTTTAATGTGTACAATAAACTGAAGATCTTATTATGCGGATTGTTTTTAGAAAATCTGGAATAAAGTTTGAATTTCTGAATTTCTAACAAGCTCACCAGTAATGCCAATGTTTTTGGCCCAAGAAGAGTATTTTGTCAAACATCCACTAAGTAAAAGAGCCTGTGTTGGCCAGGCATGGTGGCTCACGCCTGTAATCCCAGCACTCTGGGAGGCCGAGGCAGGCGGATCACCTGAGGTCACGAGTTCGAAATCAGCCTGGCCAACATGGCGAAACCCCATCTCTACTAAAAAAAAAATACAAAAATTAGCCGGGCACAATGATGTGCGTCTGTAATTCCAGCTACTTGGGAGGCTGAGGCAGGAGAATCGCTTGAACCTGGGAGGTGGAGGTTGCAGTGAACTGAGACTGCGCCAGTGCATTCTAGCCTGGGCAACAGAGTGAGACTCCATCTCAAAAAAAAAAAAAAAAAAAAAAAAAAAAAGATCCTGTGTTTTCCCAGTTTTTCTGTAAATAAAGATGAGAGCCTTCATCTTCCAAAGACATATATGCAAATAAAACCTAAGGAAGAAAGGCAGCTGCCAAATCAAATGTGATAATTTATGCACATCAGCTGCATAAAGATACTTACTAATGAAAAGTAATTAACTATAAAAAAAACTTGTCAGACAGCTCTTTAGCCAAGTGAATCATTAACATCAACTGCACTAGGAACAAATTTTTATGATGTGCTGATGCACAAAGAACACAGCATCACTGCTGGAAGACTGCCCCCAAAAAGTAAATTATAATCTAAATTTAACCATAAAGAAACATCAATTTTATGCAAAGTTCAAAATACAGGTATCTCCTATTTACTGTACTATTAAATAGTGATTTTAAGTAGTCTTTCTTCAGCACCCTAGAAAGCAGGAATCTCCTAAAATTTTTTTCAGAACTTCATGGGTGATAAATGCCATTCTGTTTAAATAAGCATTTTCTTGATCCTTTTCTGTATAGAGCTAATAGAGAACACAGATGGATCCTCAACATTACATGTTCTTTTTCTTTACTAAGGACCCCAGCTTTTCCCCAGTAGAAATCTTGAGTATCCACACGTTCCCATAATTCAACAGCTACAAAGGAAATATTTTTAATATTGCAGATTCTAAATTCATAATGAGAATTCTGCATGGCACATAAGAAGCCATGATGCAGAGAATGTAAAGAAGGCTCTGGTACACAGGAAAAATATTTTTCTGAGACCCTTGACTATTATAATGAATTTTTAAAGTAATTGAAACTAGCTCATTAGGGAGGAAAAGATTGAGTAGAGAAGTAAAGGTTTGCAAGTACTAAACACATGGCATTCCAGGAGGAAGAGTGGACACAGCTCTTGATCTGAGACAGGTTTAAGTAAAAAAAAGAACCAATTCTTCCTGTTTCTCCTTTTTTGGAATTCCTTCTCAGATGAGATTCTCTGGACAAATTACACTTGTATCTTGAGAATATGCCTCTAAAGGTGTCAGCACCCCCTGTTTACCTGCTACCACCACACCCACAGGCAGAAAAACCAAAACCTGGAGAAAAAGTCCACCCACTTCTGTCCTTTATACAAGAAGAGATTCGGGAACAATGAGACGCTCCATGAAGATAAAAATACAAGTTTCTCGGCCAGGCACAGTGGCTCAGGCCAATAATCCTAGCATACCGGGAGGCCGAGGCAGGTGGATTGCCCGAGCTCAGGAATTCGAGACCAGCCTGGGCAACATGGTGAAACCCCATCTCTATTAAAATACAAAAAAATTAGCCAGGCATGGCAGCATGAGCCTGTAATCCCAGCTATTCAGGAGGCAGAGGCAGGAGAATTGCTAGAACCTGGAAGGCAGAGGTTGCAGTGAGCCGAGATAGCACCACTGCACTCCAGTTTGGGCGACAGAGTGAGACTCCATCTCTTAAATATATGTTTCTCTTTTCCTGTTCTCAGGTGCCCTCCCCAGGCACAGACACCAGCAATTTCTGCTACAATAATGGCAATATGGGCCACACTGACCTGTCTCTACCAAACCCGAACAGAACAGGCCCTGTGACCAACCTTCAATGCAAAGGTGGAACTTAACTCTCATGAATGTATCCTGAACCCCTCATACTTGACTCTGTCCTCATTTTGAGTCACATGAGGCCCTTACTTAAAACAATACGGATGCTTCCACCAAGAACAATTAACAGAACCTGTGGAAAAGACACAAGTAAGATTTTTTAAATTGGCCATGTAATCCTAATTAGAAGACTGGGCTGATAACCACTTAGCTAAGCATTGTCTCTCAAGCTTTAATGAGCTTATAAATCACTTGATAATTTTGGTCTCACTCTATGTAATGTGATTCTGCAGGTTTGGAAAGGGTCCATGAATGGGTGTTTTAAACAAATCCTCTGTCAATGCTGATGTTGCTCTTCCTGGGCTCATTATTAGCATTAGTTGGAGAAAGCAGGCACAGCACAGACTCCCTTAAACTCAGCACTCTTGTCACAACACAAATAAAGACAACCAATCTCCATCCTCAAGTATCATATTCTTTGCTGGTCCTTTAAAGTCTACAGAGGAAACAAAAGGGAGCAATGTTTGAATGAGTCTGCATTTGGAAAACAACATGTACACATGTACTAGCGTAACGTTTATTAAGCAGGTACTATGTCCTCAAGTGTTACACAGCATTGTGCTGGGAAAAATACATTATTTGATTTAATCCTCATAACACCCTGGGAGTTGGTATGAGGTGTTCAATAAATCTCAGGATAAAGAGCCCAGGATTTTTATTTCTTCTGTTTCTCTGTCATTGATTTTTTCTTGAAGATGTATAAAATAAAAGCTAAATATAGACAGATGAGAGGGATACAGAAAAGCTTAATGTAATTTAGAAAAAATTTTTATTGTGTTTATATTTACTTTTTTGTGGCTTATGGAGCAACTACTAAATCTGCAGTAATAGAAAACAAGTTGCTACATGGAACATTTCAGCAAGTACTGGTTTTTATAAAAATAAAAAATTAAGGCCCTAAAATAAATATTTTTCCCATTAATCTGCTTCTGAGTTTCAAAGAATTATGGGCACCAGTTCTAAAAAGGCTGCAGGACTCACCAGCCAAAACTAATTTCTTCTAATCAGTTTGGTGAGGCAAGACTCCACAGTGGGGTCAGACCTAAGTAAGGCCTCCAAAAAGAGTGAATCTTAGCAGAACTGGGGCAGGGAGTGGACCCTATGTAGAATTCTGCTCTCTATGCCACTGAGGTATTTCCAGTTCTGATTTTTCTAAGCTTACCTAAGAGAAACTTACATTACAGAGTTTGTGTTAACTAATTTCTTTTAGCCACTGCCATGTCAATTTTATAATGTATACTAATAAATAATTTAAACAAATTCCTTAAGGTTTTCTAGGGTAATTTATTAGGACATAAATATGTATTAATAGGAAAGTAAAAAAGAATACAAACAATAACAACTCTTCTGTTCATAAATATCCTTTCAGGTGATGACATCAGAAGTCACAACAATGTAAAGAAAGTGGCCAAAGGCCAAGTTTTTTTCTTTTCCACACATCTATACATTGTACCAACCATATACTGCTTCAACCATTTATCCAGTTACTAGTCTAGACTTAAAGATCCTGCATGGTAGGAACCCTGACTGCTTCAACTATTTTCTAATGGCCACATAAAATGGAAGCAATTAGTTTATCTATTTGAGTCTCCAGACCCTTTCCTTTTTTTTCACCCAAGCACCAGGAAACTTAAGAAACTCTCATCTGGGTACCAACCAAGACATCTCTTGTATGAGGGGAGGAACAAATGCAGACTGACTCATTTGTCTTACACTGAGACAGAAGCATAATTAACCACTCTTGTCAGCCTGACACAGTTCTGCTCTGGACAACCTTAAATGTCTCAAAGATGCCTAGGTGATTGTGAGAGGGTTCCCAATGACCCTGGGCTGATGACCCGATGATGTGCCAAGCAGGAGAGACTCAGGGTGATCCTATATAAAAAATGAAACTGGCCGGGCGCGGTGGCTCATGCTTGTAATCCAAGCGCTTTGGGAGGCCGAGGTGGGCGGATCACGAGGTCAGGAGTTTGAGACCAGCCTGGCCAACATGGTGAAACCCCGTCTCTACTAAAAATACAAAAATTAGCCTGCGTGGTGGCATGTGCCTGTAATCCCAGCTACTCAGGAGGCTGAGGCAGGAGAATCGCTTGAACCCGGGAGGCAGAGGTTGCAGTGAGCTGAAATCACGCCATTGCACTCCAGCCTGGGCAATAGGGTGAGACTCCGCCTCAAAAAAAGAAAAAAAAAAAAAAAACAATGAAACTGCCCTGGTGGAGCTCCAGAATTTGGATCACCTGTCCTGATGAGCTAGCTCTTGGGTAAGAGGAAGGACAAGAATACTCCAGTACCACATTTTACAGGTAGATACAGCTGTGGTCATGGCTTTGGATACTCTGTGGCCTTGCTCTCTCACTCCTAAGATGCTTGTTTACACTTAGGGATTCTCCCATGAGATTCTATGTATACCTGGTGCCTCTCACATAACTGTAGCAGGTCACTGAACAAGATCTGAAAAGCTCAAGAAGCCATACTCTCAAAAGGGAACTTTAAGATGTCTATGTTGACATCTCACAATGCAGAACATGCCTCCTGTTGGTTTTCTGTACATTCTCAATCCTAAGTCTGGCCCTGTATTGTAAATCCCAGGCAGAGGCCAAACCTTATGTGCAGATTCTAGGTGGCATCAACCTAGCTCTGCATTCTTGGGTGTTACAGCAAATGAGGTACAACCAAAGGAGAGATCCCCTTATAGAGGATGCTCTAGCACATTCTAAATGATATGTCTACCTAAAAAAAAAAAAAACTGAGACACTGGACGCAGTGGCTCACACCTGTAATCCCAGCACTTTGGGAGGCCGAGGCAGGTAGATCACCTGAGGTCAGGAGTTTGAGACCAGCCTGGCCAACATAGTGAAACCCCATGTCTACTTACAGTGCAAAAAAATCAGCTGGGCGTGGTGGCACGTGCCTGTAATCCCAGATACTTGTGAGGCTAAGGCAGGAGAATCAGTTGAGCCCAGGAGGCAGAGGCTGCAGTGAGCAGAGATCGCACCATTGCACTCCAGCCTGGGCGACAAGAACAAGACTCCCTCTCAAAAAAAACAAAAACAAAAAACTGAGGCAACATGAATATAAGTAGACAGTTTATTTGGGTCAAGCTTGAGGATTGTTAACTTGAGAGCAAAGATTCAAATTGTCAAAAATCTACACTTTGCTTAGCAGCAGTTACAAGTGGATTTGTAAAGGCAAAAATAGAGGGACAGAGAGTGGACTGATACAAAGTTGTTAGAAATTCTTATTTATTTACAAAAATAAAATCGATTACTAATTGGCTATACATTGTTAAGCTATAGGGTGTGGGTTATAGTGTCCAGTGTGGAATTATTAGTTTAATTTATAGCTACTTATGGCTATAGTAAGCAGTTTTAAGAGATAAATCAATAGCTAAAAGAAGGAAGAAAGACATAACTGTGGTCTCATTTTAATGTCTCTTTGAGTCTTATAACTAAATGAACATGCATTTCTCAGATAAAATGTTTTATTTTTTCCCAAAATCTCAAGATCCCGATTCAGAATCTGGAGCTGCAGATTTAGGTCCTGAATAAATGGAGTAGTAGCAGGTGTCACCTGCAGATTTATGGACATTTTAGCAACACGAGGAAAGAGAAAGCAGAGATTCTCATTTCTACTCAATGCACACGTTACTCTAAGTTTGTGAGCCTCATGGTCTCTGAATCAGTTTCAGGTCTGAAAATACAAGAATCATTGCAAGAGGTAAAATGGTTGATTGCTGCCCTGTGAAATTTGGTCTAACCTCTTTAAAAGTGACTATAGAGGACTACAGATTATCAAACAAGCAGAGAAACAATTCTGCCTGCGTATTTAGGGGAGAGTATGCATTCTGCAGCACAATTGTGAGCTGACTGGAAGCCTAAGAGGGAAAGGCCCCTCTAGAGTAAAGCTTGGTTGGCGCCTTATATGTTTATGTCATGTCTGGTAATTCTAGACAGTTCTTGGGAAATATAATTAAAAGACAAATTTTCTCCAGCCCTAGAGCAACTCCACAATGACTGAACAGAAATAAAACTGTTATATTACACAATTAAACCAGAATTTGACATGCATCAAGGTCAATCTGCTTAACAGATTGCAAAGACAGAAAGATGGTCACCATAATTAGCCCATGAGTAGAAAAACTTACAGCACCATGTCATGCATAGTTCACTCTAAATTCACCTGGTAATTGGGGAGGCCATCCGTGTATGTTAATTTGTTATATATAATTACAAAATAAACTTTTAAGATCTTCATGACAGAGGGTAGTTGTGCAATATAAAACCAGGTGCCTGCTAAAGGTAGGCTCTCAGTCTCCTACAGAAACATTTGAATAGTGTGCTATCATTTTGGCTATTTACATTTTGAAGCAATGGCTCTCTACTCCCCAAGCGTTGGACTACAGCACTTCTGCTTGCCCTCTCCTGGTGGCTGGAGTTTTCTCTTGACTCCTACCTCCTGCCACTGAGGTACAGCCCACAATACAGGGTGAACAGCCAGGAGGTCACATCTCACATGAACCCCAATTGCCACAGCAGCACTCCAGCGCCACATCAGAGAGTGAAGCCTGAGCTGCAGGAGGAGAGCCTGCAGGCCTCCTGGGTAGGAATGCACCTTCACAATAATGAGAACGGGAACAGTTTTAGGCTCAGTTTCTATTTATAATGGTGACATGGAAAACATTCTGCTGGATTTCCAGCATGAGTCTGTAAAGAGACAGCTCCAAGAGTTCCATTGTGACAGCCCACCTCATTCACAGACACTGTGAAATGCTAAAATGGCTTCTGAAACAGACACTCAAAGCATTGGAGAGAAAAACAGCTCTCAGTCTCAGAAAGATTATACCGAGAGAAAAAATAAGTTAAATGTATCTTGAGAAAAAACTCAGATTACATGTAAGATTGATGAAGTCAGCCAGAAAATATTTCCCTATAAAATATTTCTCTCTAAATACCCAAATTACACAGCTACTCTCAGCATGAGAAACATGAGCATTACGAAAAAGGGAGCATATTCTCAGCAGAATTTTATAAGATTCCTCCATCTCTGCTGCTCTCTCATCTTTTAGCCATTGAAAGGGGGATTCTATTGGAATACATCACACTACATCCACCAGCACTTTTTTTCTGAAATGGAGTCTCGTTCTGTCACTCAGGTTAGAGTGCAGTGGCATGATCTCAGCTCACTGCACCCTCCGCCTCCCAGGTTAAAGCAATTCTCCTGCCTCAGCCTCCAGAGTAGATGGAATTACAGGCACCTGCCACCATATCCAGCTAATTTTTGTATTTTTAGTAGAGACAGGTTTCACTGTGTTGGCCATTCTGGTCTCCAACTCCTGACCTCAAGTGATCCACCCGCGTTGGCCTCCCTAAGTGCTGTGATTACAGGCGTGAGCCACTGTGCTCGGTCACCACCAGCACTTTTTGATGAAAAATTAGAATCTGATTTTGTTTATATGGTGGAACATATTTGAGCTTGCAACACAGCTAAGAGGAGAGCTATTATAGTTTTCTGGTGGTCACATCATTTGTGTTTATTTGTCCTTTAATAGCAGCATTCTAACTTACTGAAATGAAAGACACTAAACTCATGCTTACTTATAGTTATCCCTACCAGATAAGGTAATAAGTATGTAAGACTAGTATCTACTGTAACAATTTGGTAATAAGTTTTATTTGGATATTAGAGATAAGTATCTAAATATAAATAATTTTAATGTACTCGTCATAATGTATGTAGGATTTGTGAAAATTTTCTTTAACCATAATTCAGTTAAAACACTTTATATTTAAAAAGTAGAAATAACAATATTAAAATGACTAACGGTTTCATTCAAAGTAAATGTCGTGGCCTTATATTTATATTATTGTAGAAAATACTCTTTAATTTATATGAATGTTGACCAGGCACGGTGGCTCACGCCAGTAATCCCAGCACTTTGGGAGGTCAAGATGGGCAGATCACCTGAGGTCAGGAGTTCAAGACCAGCCTGGCCAACATGGCAAAATCCTGTCTCTACTAAAAATACAAAAACTAGCCAGGCGTGGTAGCACATGCCTGTAGTCCCAGCTACTCAGGAGGATGAGGCAGGAGAATTGCTTGAACCTGGGAAATGGAGTTGCAGTGAGCTGAGACTGCGCCACTGCACTCCAGCCTGGGGGACAAAGTAACACTCTATCTCAAAAAAAAAAAAAAAAAAGTATATGATTGTAGGTTGTCTACAAATGCTTCCTGTGACAATGCTAATTGTTCTGAAGTAATAAATAGAAACCAAGGTTCAACTCCAACTCCACTGTTATATACTGAATCGTTTATTTAGCTACACCTAGATTAATATGATTTATATGATTTACATATATTTCAATAAAGCAGAGAAAAAAAGTACACATAATCCAAATGCTTTAAGAAAAGAGAGATGAGGATAATAGCCTTAATAGCCTTCCTTATTTTCAGGTAGGAGAATAGAGCCTCTTATTTTTATTTTCTCCTATAACAGCCAAGTCTTTAGACATGCTCTTGAAGTCTTGGACATCTGAATTTCAGTAGACACTGGATTCAGGCATCCAAGGAGTGGCCTTGGGCACACTGTGTGCACTTGAAAGAATGTTTACAGAGAGAAAAAGCAGAATACAGAAAGGTGTTATAAAAAAAAATCTGTGCCCTCTCCCTCTCCTGTCTCCCTCTGATGCCAAGCCGAGGCTGGACTGTACTGCCGCCATCTCGGCTCACTGCAACCTCCCTGCCTGATTCTCCTGCCTCAGCCTGCCAAGTGCCTGGGATTGCAGGCGCGCGCCGCCACGCCAGACTGGTTTTCGCATTTTTTGGTGGAGACGGGGTTTCGCTGTGTTGGCCGGGCTGGTCTCCAGCTCCTGACCTCAAGTGATCTGCCCGCCACGGCCTCCCGAGGTGCCGGGATTGCAGACGGAGTCTCGCTCACTCAGTGCTCAATGTTGCCCAGGCTGGAGTGCAGTGGCGTGATCTCGGCTCGCTACAACCTCCACCTCCCAGCCGCCTGCCTTGGCCTCCCAAAGTGCCGAGATTGCAGCCTCTGCCCGGCCGCCACCCCGTCTAGGAAGTGAGGAGCGTCTCTGCCTGGCCGCCCATCCTCTGGGATGTGAGGAGCCCCTCTGCCCGGCCGCCCAGTCTGGGAAGTGAGGAGCGCCTCTTCCCGGCCGTCATCCCGTCTAGGAAGTGAGGAGCGTCTCTGCCCGGCCGCCCATCGTCTGGGATGTGGGGAGCGCCTCTGCCCCGCCGCCCCGTCTGAGATGTGAAGAGCGCCTCTGCCCGGCCGCGACCCCGTCTGGGAACTGAGGAGTGTCTCTGCCCTGCCGCCAACCCGTCTGGGAAGTGAGGAGCGTCTCTGACCGGCCACCCAGTCTGGGAAGTGAGGAGCTCCTCCGCCTGGCAGCCGCCCCGTCCGGGAGGTGGGGGGCAGCCCCAGCCCGGCCAGCTGCCCCGTCCAGGAGGTGGGGGGCAGCCCCCACCCGGCCGCTGCCCCGTCTGGGAGGTGGGGGGGCGCCTCTGACCGGCTGCCCCGTCTGGGAGGTGTACCCAACAGCTCATTGAGAACGGGCCATGATGACAATGGCGGTTTTTGTCGAATAGAAAAGGGGGAAATGTGGGGAAAAGAAAGAGAGATCGGATTGTTTCTGTGTGTGGAAAGAAGTGGACATGGGAGACTCCATTTTGTTCTGTACTGGCAAAGATTCTTCTGCCTTGGGATGCTGTTAATCTATAACCTTGCCCCCAACCCCGTGCTCTCTGAAACATGTGCTGTGTCCACTAAGGGTTAAATGGATTAAGGGCGGTGCAAGATGTGCTTTGTTAAACAGATGCTTGAAGGCGGCATACTCGTTAAGAGTCATCACCACTCCCTAATCTCAAGTACCCAGGGACACAAACACTGCGGAAGGCAGCGGGGCCCTCTGCCTAGGAAAACCAGAGACCTTTGTTCACATGTTTATCTGCTGACCTTCCCTCCACTATTGTCCTATGACCCTGCCAAATCCCCCTCTCCGAGAAACACCCAAGAATGATCAATAAATACTAAAAAAATTAAAAAAAAAATCTGTGGATGTACATGAATAAAGCAAGTTCTTAGAGACCTATGAAGAGACTTAGATTCTGACACAATAATAGTGGGATACAACACCCCACAGACCCTGTTAGATTATTAGGGCAGAAAATTTACAAATAACTCAGGATCTAAACTCAACACTTGGACAAACAGTCCTACAAAACTCTTAATCTAAAAACAACATACTATACATTCTTCTCATTACCATGTGGCACATACTCCAAAATTGACCACACAATCAGAAATAAAACAACCCTCAGCAAATTCCAAAATTACACCAACCACACACACAGAGCACAGCTTGATAAAAATATAATTCAATACCAAAAAAAAAAACACTTGAAGTGATACAAATACATGGAAATTATGCCACCTGAGTCTAAATGACTTTTGAGTAAATAATGAAATTAAAGCAGAAATCAAGTTCATTGCAAAAAATGAGAACAAAGATACAACATACCAGAATCTCTGCAACACAGCTAAGGCAGTGTTAAAGAGAAATTTATAGCACTAAAAGCTCACATCCAAAAGTTACAAAGATCTCAATTTAACAACCTAACATCATGAATAAAAGAATGAGAGAAAGCAAGAGCAAACCAACCCCTAAGCTAGGAAAAGACAAGAAATAACCAAAATCAGATCTGAACTGAAGATTTAAACAGAAAAAAAATACGAGACCAAAAAATCCAGGAATTAAACCTTTGTAAAAAAAAATATATATATATATATAAAATAAGATAAACCACTAGCTACAATAATAAAGAAATAAGAGAAGGTCCAAATAAACACAATTAGAAATGACTACCACTGACCCCACAGAAATACAAATAACTATTGAAGTCTACTATGAACACTTCTATGCACATGAACTAGAAAATCTATGCACACAAACTAGAAAATAGAAGTTTCAGGATACAAAATAAGTGTACAAAAATCAGTAACATCTCTGAACATCAACAACATTCAACCTAAGGCCAAATCAAAAAAAATCCCATTCACAATAACCACAAAAATAATAAAATGTCTAGGAATACACCTAATCAGGGAGGTGAAAAATCTCTAAAACAAAAATTACAAAATGCTTCTTAAAGAAGTCAGAGATGACACAAGCCAATGGGCAGCCATTTTATGCTCATGGATAGAAAAGACTGATATCATTAAAATGGCCATACTGCCAAATGAAATTTACAGAATTAATGCTATTTCTATCAAACTACCAATAACATTCTTCACGGAACTAAAAAAAAAAAAAAAAAAAAGTATTTTAAAATTTATATGAAACCGAAAAAAAACCAAAAACCTGAATAGCCAAGGCAATCACAAGCAAAAAGAACAAAGCAGGTGGCATTACATTACCTGACTTCAAATTATACAACAGAGTAACCAAAGCAGCATGATACTGGTACAAACACAGACTACAGAACAATGGAACAGAATAAGAGAGCCCAGAAATCATGCCACACACCTACAACCATCTGATCTTCCACAAAGGTCACAAGAGCAATGCAGGAAGAATTCCCTATTTAATAAATGGTGCTGGAATAACCAGCTAGCACTATGTAAAAGACTGAAACTGGATGCTTTCCTTACACCATATAAAAAAAAAATCAACTCCAGGTGATTAAAGACCTAAATGTAGAACATACAATTGTAAAAAACCCTGAAAGAAAATCTAAAAAATACCTATGTCAATTGGATAAAGAAAATATTATTGACATAGGAACTGGCAAAGATTTTATGATGAAGATGCCAAAAGCAATTGCAACAAAAGCAAAACTTGATAAATGGGACCTAAAGAAACTAAAGAGCTTCTTCACAGCAAAGCAAACTATCAATAGAGTAAACAAACAACCTACACAATAAAAAGAAAATATTTGTAAAATATGCTTCTGACAAAGGTCTATTATTCAAAATTTGTAAGGAATTTTAAAAATTTTACCATAAGGCGGGACGGGTACAGTGGCTCACGCCTGTAATCCGAGCACTTTGGGAGGCCAAGGCGGGCGGATCACGAGGCCAGGAGATTGAGACCATCCTGGCAAACATGGTAAAACCCCGTCTCTACTAAAAATACAAAAAAATTAGCCAGGCGTAGTGGCAGTCACCTGTAGTCCCAGCTACTCCGGAGGCTGAGGCAGGAGAATGGCATGAACCTGGGAGGTAGAGCTTGCAGTGAGCCAAGATCGCGCCACTGCACTCCAGACTGGGCGACAGAGCGAGACACTGTCTCAAAAAAAAAAAAAATTTACCATAAGGCCAGGCGCAGTGGTTCATACATGTAATCTCAGCACTTTGGGAGGCTGAGGCAGGCAGATCACAAGGTCAGGAATTCGAGACCAGCCTGACCAACATGGTGAAACCCCGTCTCTACTAAAAATACAAAAAGTAGCCACGTGTGTTGGCACGCACCTGTAATCCCAGCTACTCAGGAGGCTGAGGCTGGAGAATCGCTTGAATCCGGGAGGCAGAGGTTGCAGTGAGCCAAGATCGTGCCACTGCACTCCAGCCTGGGTGACAGAGCAAGGGTCCGTCTCAAAAAAACAAAAAAACAAAAAAAAACAAAACAAAAAAAAACTTACCAAAAAGGCCGGGTGCAATGGCTCATGCCTGCAATCCCAGCACTTTGGGAGGCTGAGGCAGGCAGATCACTTGAGGTCAGGAGTTTGAGACCAGCCTGGCCAATGTGGTGAAACCCCTGTCTCTACTAAGAATACAAAAATTAGCCGGCTGTGGTTGCATGCACCTGTAGTTCCAGTTACTCAGAAGGCTGAGGCAGAATTGCTTGAACCCCGGAGGCGGAGGACAAAGAGAGGAAAAACAGACACAGGCCTAGTTGAGGGTGGTGGGTAGGAGGACAGAAAGGACTAGAAAAAAATACCTGTTTATGCTATGCATAGTACCTCATTAACAAAATAATCTACACCAAACCCCTATGCCACAATTTTGCTTATATAACAACTCGCACGTTTACCCCCAACCCTGAAACAAAAATAAAAGTTAAAAGGAATAAAATCCACAGGTGGAGGATAGTGCAATGTAGGTGGAAGGACTTGTTTGCCCTACAGATAGTGGCCCAGGTGGGGCTGTACTTGTTTATTTCTGTGTCCGGGCAGGCAGATGAGATTATGAACAGGTGGTACAGAACCGTTGGTTGGTGGAGGAAAAAGGTTGCTGCTGCAGATTCAGTGTCTGGGGGTGGGGATATGCAGGAGACTATAAACACTTTTGTGGATTTTTGGCAAAAAAAAACACTAGGATCAAAAATGCTGTGGTGAAATTCCTGATGGTGGTGCCTAGTCCTGGGAGGAGTGTGGACACATCAATTTATGGGTATGTTTGTGAGTGGGTGGGAATCCTGGGGTGGCAGCTGTGGGAAAAGGGGGTCTGTTATCAGAGCTAATTTCCTGTAAGTTTTCAGTCCTCTCTCACCCTGGGAGGAGATTATTAAAGACCCAGCTCTTTCTAGGGAGCCTCCCCTGCAGATGTCTCAGGCTGCTCACCCCAGCCATGGAAGAAGCCTTTATACTGAGAAAAGCTACAGGGCCCTGGAAATCTGGGGACCCACAGGCAGATGTAGTTAAGGTTAAGACGGAAGGGGATTGGGAGGGTCTTACTGAAGATGAAGTTGTTACTGTTTTGAGGCAGTTTCTAGACTTTGTAAAATAAAACACAGATTTATGTAATAAAAATTTGAATTCCAAAGGAGGAAGCACCAACTATAAATCTTTAAAGATTGCAAAGTTTAGGCAGAAAAGGGGTTGCTTTTTTTTTTTTTCAATCAATTTTGAGATTTATTTTGTTAATGTTGAGGACACACCGGGGAGAAAGAAACACAAGTCGCAATAGGATCTGTGTCCTGTGTTTTTTCCAAAGAATGTTTTGGGAACTTCAGTATTTAAAGAGGAAAGAGCAAGTGGGAGGGGAAGAAAAAAGGCCGGGTGGGGGAAACAAGAGGGAGTGTAGGTGATGAGGCTATTGGCTACATTCCCATGAGGCTCTGATTAGCACTCAGTGAATCTATATTTTACATGTAGAAAGAAAGGGGTCGGAGAAGTCAATCATGCATTCCCCCTTCTCTCTCTCCCTCAGTAACTCTACATTTTATACAAGATAAAGTAAGCATGTGAAATTACAGCTGTTTGGGAATAAAAGGAAGCCAATCTTTGCATGACCCAGTTCCCAGCTTTACTTTTGGCATAGTGAGTTCAGGGTCCCAAGAGTTTATTTTCCTTCCACATATATCTGCAATTTTTGATATTACCGAAGTCAAGGGCAAAGTTTTCATTAGGAAGTTGGCAACTTCTAGGAAAGGCTTTATTCATTTGGGGGGCTGTAAGGTACATGGATATGCTTTGGTCAGAAACAGGCCGAGGCAGACAGCCGGGCCAGAGTGACTCAGCAAGTCTGGAGCACAGGCGTATAAATCCACTTTTTGTTTTATTTGTTTGTTTAGGTTTTTTTTTTTTGCTGTTGTTTTTGAGACAGAGTCTCGCCCTGTCACCCAGGCTGGAGTGCAGTGGTGTGATCTCAGCTCACTGCAA
Organism: Homo sapiens; assembly: GCF_000001405.40. Classification (NCBI taxonomy): domain Eukaryota; kingdom Metazoa; phylum Chordata; class Mammalia; order Primates; family Hominidae; genus Homo; species Homo sapiens. The sequence continues at coordinate 64,559,562 of NC_000007.14, forward strand.
CCTCTACCTCCTGGGTTCAAGCAATTCTCCTGCCTCAGCCTCCTGAGTAGCTGGGATTACAGGTGCCCACTACCACATGTGGCTAATTTTTTATATTTCTGGTAGAGACGGGGTTTCACCATGTTGTCCAGGCTGGTCTCAAACTCCTCACCTCAAGTGATCCACCCACCTTGGCCTCCCAAAGTGCTGGGATTACAGGCTTGAGCCACTGTGCCTGGCCAGGGAGGACTTTTTTGAAGATGCATAACATTTTACATCTCAATAAGAAAAGCAAAAGTATTCCTTTTAGATAATAAATGTATTATTTTATTATTTCCATTAAAAATTATGTAGTAAACAATTATTCATTTGGAAACACTTCTAGGAGGTACCAAGTTTCATCTCATAAAATTTAGCATAAAACTCAGAAATCAAGATAACAGGGTATAGACTAGAAATATTCACTGTCACAAATTTACCATGCAAAAAGAGGTACTAATGTTTTCAAGAATCTATGTAACTTCACCAATTACCTACCACATTTTCTGGTGGAAATGTATTCATTTTCTTTTCTGTTTTTTTTTTTTTTTTGAGATGAAGTTTCACTCTTTCGCCCAGGCTGGAATGAAGTGGCACAATCTTGGCTCACTGCAACCTCCACCCCCCGGGTTCAAGCAATTTTCCTGCTTCAGCCTCCCAAGTAGCTGGAATTACAGGCATGTACCACCACGCCCGGCTAATTTTTGTATTTTTAGTAGCGACAAGGCTTCACCATGTTGGCCAGGCTGGCCTCGAATTCCTGACCTCAGGTGATCCACCCCTCTTGGCATCCTAAAGTGCTAGGATTACAGGCGTGTGCCACTGCACTCGGCCGGAAATGTATTCATTTTCTAAAGCCAAAATGGAGAAGAGATTTTCTCTATTTTTTCCCTAGATAGCTAGCATTCTAAAAGTTAAGGCTTGGAATTCTGTTTGAAATTACCCAGCTAGGCTGGGTGCGGTGTCTCATGCCTGTAATCCCAATACTTTGGGAGGCCAAGGCGGGTGGATCACCTGAGATCAAGAGTTTGAGACCAGACTGGCCAACATGGTGAAACCTCATCCCTACTAAAAATACAAAAATTAGCTGAGTGTGGTGGCTAGCGCCTGTAGTCTCAGCTACTCAGGAGGCTGAGGGAGGAGAATCGCTTGAACCCAAGAGACAGAGGTTGCAGTGAGCCAAGATCATGTGACTGCACTCCAGCCTGGGTGACAGAATGAGACTGTCTCAAAAAAAAAAAAAATTACCCAGCCGTAAAAAAACTACCTGTGACAATTACTAAACTCAGTCTGGAAAACAAAATAGTAAATGAGAATTTTTAACAAATGGAATATATGTAGATATTAATTTTTTTCTGAAACTCACCTCTTTTACACCATTCGTAAATATTTTACCTTTTAATTTCCTTTACAAATTTTTCACTATTTGTCTTTCACTCTTTTTTCATCATTTTTTTTCACTATTTTTCTGCCCCCTTAGAGAATCCAGAAATTATTTCTATGTTTTTCCCTCAATACCAGCATCTGATTGACCAGCAATGTGTCCCAAGGAAACGGAAGCTGAGTTGGGTGAAGACAATCTTAATGTCTCAAGGTGTCAGCCTTTCCAAGGAAGAGTGCACCAGGAGATTTCTCTCAGCTCCAGGGCATCCACCTGCTCCCTCGAGAGGCTACACTTTGTACCTCAGGCAGTCCTGTGGGAGAAAATGACCCAGGAGCTGATATTCATTAGGCACTCTAGCAGACATAGTCATGGTGGGTATCATGGTTTATTCCCAGACAGTACTGAAACCCAGGACCAGGAAAAATCTGAAGGGTAGCCGAGGACACATCACCCCATAAAGTTTCCAAAGGGAAACTGTGACCCCCCAAAATTCTGATAAGATCTCTGTGCCTATGGAAGATAAAAGGAAAAGAGGCGCAGAGATTTTTTACAATAGTGTCCAGGGATTACTCTTTGCTTTCTTCTTACAGAAAATTTTTACAAACGGAAAACAAATCTTTTAAAAAGTACCATCCAATGATTTCTCAAAAAATGATTAATTAAAATATAGTATCAAAAATGTACACTAGGGCCGGGCGCGGTGGCTGACGCCTGTAATCCCAGCACTTTGGGAGGCCGAGGCGGGTGGATTACGAGGTCAGGAGATCAAGACCATCCTGGCTAACTTGGTGAAACCCTGTCCCTACTAAAAATACAAAAAAATTAGCCAGGCGTGGTGGCGGGCGCCTGTAGTCCCAGCTACTCAGGAGGCTGAGGCAGGAGAATGGCGTCAACCCAGGAGGCGGAGCTTGCAGTGAGCCGAGATCGCGCCACTGCACTCCAGCCTGGGCGACAGAGCAAGACTCCGTCTCAAAAAAAAAAAAAATTTACATTAGGCACAGTGGCTCACGCCTGTAATCCCAGCACTTTGAGAGGCCGAGGCGGGCAGATCACAAGGTCAGGAGTTCAAGACCAGCCTGTCCAACATGGTGAAACCCGTCTCTACTAAAAATACAAAAATTAGCCGGGCATGGTGGCGGGCGCCTGTAATCCCAGCTACTCGGGAGGCTGAGACAGGAGAATCACTTGAACCCGGGAGGCAGAGGTTGTAGTGAGCCGAGATCGTGCCACTGCACTTCAGCCTGGGCGACAGAGCGAGACTCCGTTTCAAAAAAAAAAAAAAAAAAATCTAACTCAAATACATTGTTTTTTGTAAAGTATTACATTGGGGGAAATAAAATTCTTGCTTAACCAACTATAAACTGCCAAGTACCCTCCGATTACATAACCAGAAAATTTCCACTTTGATCTTACAAATTAAGAAGTTATGTAACTGTACCTAACCGATTATTGAATTTGGTTTTATTCATCATACACCACTTAAAAGTCTTTCCTTCAAGCCCCTCCCATGGACCACAAATTACAAATCATAGCTGGGTGCTCTACGATTTTTGAACCACTCTTCTATTACATTTTTAAATATATTTGCAGTGACTTCCATGAATTTTTAATAGAAAAAAGGAGGGACTGGGACCCCATGGACCAAAGCGCTTCCCATTTATGAACCCTGCACCCCGAGTTATCGGCAGAGATGCGGCACTGCGGGTGCAGAGCTGCCCAGCGAGGGCTCCAGGCCAAGGCACAGTCACTGCGCAGGGAGGAGACATGACGCCCGGGGTCCGGCTGTCAGCCCAGCCGCCATCTTATGGCTGAAGGGGACTGAGGACCGAGCTGCGCCAAGGACAACTCGGGCCGCGGATTTTGGAGCCCAGTGCTTGGAGCCTGGAGTCCTGCCACAGCCACTTCCGACCGGTTCCAACCAGCCCCTCCCCCTCTCTCGGGGTGTCGGACCGCACTCTCACCATTTCTAGGCTTCCAGGTGGTCCTGGCATCTTAGCTGTGCATCTCCCAATACCTGCAGATAACGGAGTCACAGAGGCTGGGCCTCTAGGAGCAGAATACACAGAGCAGTAAAGACTAGACCTGGAGCTCCCGCAGCAGCTAGAGACAAAGGCCCCGCCAAATCCCGGAAGCCGTCCTGTCCGCTCCAGCTGCGTGCCTGATTGGACGGGTCCCAGCCCCGCGTCCCTGATTGGATAATGTTTAGGGCGCCACCCCCTAATGCCCTGAGTGACAGAATATGTGCTCAGCGGCTGGGCTGAACGTAGAAAGAGTGAAATCCAAGCTGCAGGGTTCTCAGGGAAGGGCTTCCTCCCTGAACGGACCAGGCTCACACCAGAGAGTATTTGCATATAACCCTGCGTATAAGGTCGTATGCCTTTATAAATAATATATTATGTGGCTATTCACACATGAAAATAATGCAATAACAATTATTTAAAATTTTCCAATTTTATGAGCTCCTGGCTTCTTGTCCTTTGAGCGGGTAGCCTGACATTTTTTTTTAAAAAGGCAGTCCTCTGAAATTGAATGTGAGCCACGTGAATTCTAAATTTTCTAGAAGGAAAATTTTAAAAAGAAAAAAAAACAGGAGGAATTCATTGTAGAAATTTAATTAACCCAATATATCCAAAATATTATCATTTTAATATGTGACCAGTATGTAATTATTAACAAAGTATATATATTTTGGAAAAAAAATTAAAACTATGTATTTTACCTTTCTACCACATCGCAGTTCAGACCAGCCACATTCCATGCACCCAGTAGCCACAGGTGGCCAATAGCTGCCACATTGAAGTGCAGCTCTGATGGCAGAAGATGAAATCCTGAACATCCCTTTTCTTTTTTCTTTTCTTTTCTTCCTTTCTTTTTATTTCCTTTCTCTTCTCTTCTTTTCTTTCTTTTCCTTTCTCTTCTCTTCTTTTCTTTTCAAACAGAGTCTTGCTCTTATGTCCAGGCTGGAGTGCAGTGGTGCAATCTCGGCTCACTGCAATCTCCACATTCCGGATTCAAGCAATTCTCCTGCCTTATTTTCCCCAGAGTAGCTGTGATTACAGGCATGTGCCACCATGCCTGGCTTATTTTTGTATTTTTAGTAGAAATGGAATTTTGCCATGTCAGCCAGGCTGGACTCAAACCCCTGACCTTAAGTAATCCTTCTGTCTCATCCTCCCAAAGTGCTGGGATTACAGCCATGAGCCACCACACTGGGCTTGAACATCCTTTTCCTGCCATAAATAAGGGGAAAGTCTTTCCCTACCAACATCTCTCTTCAGTTCCAAGGGTAGAACAGATAGTGGCCATAGAAAGAGCAGAGGACAGCAGGAATAAAATAACAACAGGAAGACCACCTGTTGCCCACCTTTCTTCCAGAGATCAGACAGTGAACAAAGGACGATGGGGCCACAGAAGAAGAATGCTCTATGTCTACAGATCCCTCCCTGGTCTTTCTTTTTCTTTTTTTCTTTTTTGAGACAGAGTTTTGCTCTTGTCACCCAGGCTGGAGTGCAATGGCGTGATCTCAACTCACTGCAACCTCTACCTCCCGGGTTCAAGTGATTCTAGTGCCTCAGCCTCCCGAATAGCTGGGATTACAGGCATGTGCCACCAAACCTGGCTAATTTTGTATTTTTAGTAGAGATGGGGTTTCTCCATGTTGGTCAGGGTTGTCTCAAACTCCCAACCTCAGGTGATCTGCCCACCTTGGCCTCCCAAAGTGCTGGGATTACAGGCATGAGCCACCACGCTCGGAAAACATTTTTATCTTCTAAACAAAACTCAATACCCCTGAAACAACTGCCCAATTTCCTATTATTTATCTTTTTCAAAATATCATTTTGGTTTCTGTTTCTAGCTATCTCATGTAAGTGGATTCGGACAGTATCTGTTTTTTGTGATTGTATACTTTATTTATGTTATTAAGATTCACCTCATTTTTTAATGTTACATTTCCTGATTTTGAAAAGTTGAGTTTAATATCTTCACTTATATCTTATTGTACACAGGAGAATTTATACTGGAGAGAAACCCTCAATCAGTTGTTGACACTTTCTTCAACTTTAGGAAATTTGTATTTTAGACAGACCCTATGAATAATATAATAAATAGAGAAAAACCATTTGTTCTAAGAAGTATACCTTAGAAAACACCAGAGTGTTCACATTAAATAATATTCTTCAAATTCAGTAAATGTAAAAAAAATTAGAAATCAAGTAGAAGTAATCATCAGGTAATTCGCAGTAGAAAACTCTAAGACACTAACATTTTAGACATTACTCTAAACAGTGTTTATTATACAGAGTAATCCAAAGTTAAAATATATCATTTACTTTTGTGTAAGACTAAAAGAAGCAAGGATTTATCTTTTGAGGCGTTATAGTTATATTTGACTTTTCTTGTTTTGCATGAAAAGAATTTTAAATTTTCAAAATATGAATGTTGAGGTAATTTAACTCTCAAATCACTTGATGTTATGCCTTCATTTGTAGCATTTATAGAAAAGCATTTGATCAATTGTTGGCTGCATTAAAACTATGAAAAATGCTTCTATGTTAGATTTGCTTTATTTATTTATTTATGAGATGGAGTCTTGCTCAGTCACCCAGGCTGGCGTGCAGTGGAGTAATCTAGACTCACTGCAACCTCTGCCTCCCAGATTCAAGCAATTCTCCTGCCTCAGCCCCCCGAGTAGCTGGGGCCACAAGCGCACACCACCATGCCCAGATAATTTTTGTATTTTCAGTACAGATTGGGTTTCACTATGTTGGCTAGGCTGGTCTTGAACTCCTGACCTCAGGTGATCCACCTGCCTCGGCCTCCCAAAGTGCTGGGATTACAGGTGTGAATCACCACGCCTGGCCTCATTTTTTTTTTTTTTTTTTTTTTGAGATGGAGTTTCGCTCTTGTCACCCAGGCTGGAGTGCAATCGCGCCATCTCAGCTCACTGCAACCTCCGCCTCCTGGGTTCAAGCGATTCTCCTGCTTCAGCCTCCTGAGTAGCTGGGATTACAGGCACCTGCCACCACGCCCGGCTAATTTTTCTATTTTTACTAGAGACAGGGTTTCACTACATTAGCCAGGCTTGTCTCAAACTCCTGACCTCAGGTGATCCACCAGCCTCAGCCTCCCAAAATGGTGGGATTACAGGCGTGAGCCACCATGCCCAGCCTCTCATATACTTTTTTATGGAGGATTATAGATACTGAAATTTAAGATGCAAGGAGAAAATTTAAGTGTAGACTCTCTTTGTGATTGACTCTATGGTAAGTCATAATACCCACAAAATGCATGAGGGAAATGTTTAGAGTCATAGTCTACTGCATTATAGTCAGAAAAATTTGAAGTTTAAAGAAGTAAATTGGTTTTACCAATTGCACATTAAGACAATAAAATACAGTTAATTCTAAGATGCTTGTTTTATTTTTTGCTTCAGTGAAAACTCAAACTTAATTGACAGTATTTTCAAAATTTCAGTCAAATTTTCAATGTGACATCATCTGTGTGTGTGTGTGTGTGTGTGTGTGTGTCTTCTTTTTTTTTTTTTTTTTTTTTTGGCGGAGTCTCACTCTGTCACCCAGGCTGGAGTGTGGTGGCACGATCTCGGCTCACTGCTACCTCCGCCTCACGGGTTTAAGCAATTCTCTGCCTCAGCCTCCCAAGTAGCTGGGATTACAGATGCTCGCCACCAAGCTGGGCTAATTTTTGTATTTTTAGTAGAGACTGGGTTTCACCATCTTGACCAGGCTGGTCTTGAACTCTTGACCTCGTGATCTACCCGCCTTGGTCCCCCAAAGTGCTGGGATTACAGGCGTGAGCCACTGCGACCAACCACTTCATCTTCTTTTTAATTTATGGCTGCCCATCTCCTGCTTCTATAATCTTAGCACGCTTCAGATTAGGTGGAGTCTTCTCTTTTACATCAGGGCCATCTTTGCACTTACTCCCAGTCTTTTCCAGATGCAATTTCCGGCAATCAGCTTCCAATTTACGTTGCTCAATCACAGGTGTTTATTCTTTCTCTTGTCCAGGTTTAATATCCTAATTCTCAGTTAGTGTTCTTTTTTTTTTTTTTTTTTGAGATTGAGTTTTGCTCTTGTTGCCCAGGCTGGAGTGCAATGGCATAATCTCAGCCCACTACAACCTCCGTCTACTGGGTTCAAGCAATTCTCCTGCCTCAGCCTCCCAAGTAGCTGGGATTACAGGCATGCACCACCACACCCGGATAATTTTTTTTTTATATTTTTAGTAGAGACAGGGTTTCTCTATGTTGGTCAGGCTGGTCTCGAACTCCTTACCTCAGGTGATCCACCCACCTCGGCCTCCCAAAGTGCTGGGATTACAGGCGTGAGCCACCACACCAACCAGTGGTTTCTTTTATTGAGATTCACGGTGCTTCTGGGAAGCCATGAATGCAACCAAATCAGATTCCTCTTGACCATCTCCTCTTCCTCTGAATCTTGATCTTACACATGCACTCATCACTGCAACTAGAAGACAGTGAACTGAAGACCACCAAGTCTCAGTCTCAGGTGAAAGAGTCTCAACCATTGGAATGCAAGCCACATCTAGCCTGTGTGAACATAATTTTTTTTTTTTTTTTGAGATGGAGTCTCCCTCTGTCGCCCAGGCTGGAGTGCAGTGGCGCAATCTCGGCTCACTGCAAGCTCTGCCTCCCGGGTTCCCACCATTCTCCTGCCTCAGCCTCCTGAGTAGCTGGGACTACAGGTGCCCGCCACCACGCCCGGCTAATTTTTTGTATTTTTAGTAGAGACGAGGTTTCACCGTGTTAGCCAGGATGGTCTCTATCCCCTGACCTCGTGATCTGCCCGTCTCGGCCTCCCAAAGTGCTGGGATTACAGGTGTGAGCCACCGCACCTGGCCGTGAACATAATTTTTTTTTTTTTTTTTGGAAAAAGGCATTTATTGGTGTGGTGGTCTCAACAATCCCCATGAATTGGAACACACAGCCCCCAGGGCCTCCCACCCCCTCCCTAGAATCCCTCCCCAGTCCCACCCCATCCCCTGGACCCTGGGAATGGAAGACAACGTGGGATGGGGCCCATGCCCCCGTCTGAGGTACAGTCACTGAGCCTTGCCCTCTCCTCTTCTCCACCAGACTCTGAGTGGTGTGGTTTGGGGTGGGTGTTTATATAGAGGGTCTCGTGGGAGTCGGAGTTGGTGACATGGCATCTTTATCTGGGCTCAGGATGTCTGTGTGATGCCTCTCTGTCCCCCACTTTGTGTGGTGTGGTGTACCAGGGCGGAGTATTCCTACAATCAGAGCTGAGGCTGCAGCCTCTCAGCGTCCCTTCCTGACAACAGATGCCTACCCAGGGGGAAATACAGCTAGTCACCAGCTACAGGACAGCTGGAGCCAGGGGGCTATTGCTGGTCACAGTCGCTGGTGTGTGTGTGTGTGGTGTGTCTGAGTGTGTGTGAGGGCGGTCAGGTAGCCTTTGGGAAGTACAGTTGGTGGAGAGGCCAGGAAGTGATAGACCAGCAAGCCCACACCTGTGGGCCAGCTGCAAAGGCCCCAGGGGCAGCTGGCTGGTTCCGCAGGTGGGGAAATCAAGGCCAAGGGGAGTGGTGGCAGGGGTAAGGCAAAGCACTGAAACAGACAGGTGACTCCTGCCACCAGTCTGACAGTTGGATGGAAGCACCGATTGGCCCAAGAGGGGGCCAGAAAATCCAGGGTGGGTAGGGACAGGAAAAGTGGGAAGGTCTCAGGCCACTGAGCCAGCGATGGAGCCTCTGGCTACAGGAAGCTGGTGGTTGACAGCAGGGAAGCCCAGAACCCAGATGGAGGTCCCCCACTTACTCGCAAAGGCTGAATGACAGCTTGACAGGTGAGTGCGATGCCCCTCCCCACTCCCAACCTGCCAGGAGTTGTCCTTTCGACAGGGGGAGGGGTCAGTGTGCCTGCATATATTGGGGAAGCAGGGAGCCTGGTAAGCCTCTCTTCACAGCTTCCACTGCAGAGCCTCATACCTACCTCCAGCCAGAGGTGAGAGGCAGTAGGGTTGGGGACAGTGGACATGGGGGTTTCGGGGGTGGGAGGACGGTTGAGTCCCTTCCCCCAGCCCACCCACACACACACACACAGAGACACAGACACCTACACACGCATGCAGGCTTACACTCACACACCCACACCCACACAAGCCTGTTGACAGCCTGAGCTAAGAGAGAGGGGTATGGGGTGGCGGGAGTGGGTCACAATCGGAAACGTGAACGGGTAGCGAGAATGGCTGTAGAAAGATACATAATTTTGCGTTACCCCTCACAGTGATGGGTTCTCTAAAGATCTTTCTTCCTCTGCCTCCTCCTCTTTCTCCTCTTCTCTTCTTCCTTGGTGGCCGAGAGCCCTTCTGCCCCCACGAGACCCAGGGCTCTTGCTCCCCCTTTTCTCTCACTCTTGGCCTGAGGCCCCCTGCAGGGGGAGGCGAGCTCCACTGGGTTGCGCCTACATTCTCCACCACAGCCAGCCCAGGGCGGAGAGGAGGGCCAGGGGCCCTGGGGGCCTCGGGGCTGAGTTCTCCAGGGATCCTGGGCACAGGAGCCGCATGGAGGCGCTGGACGCTCCCAGCCGGTTGGCGGCGCAACACGTATAGTTGCCGTAATGCCGGGCGCTCATGTTGGCAAAGAGAAGCATCGAGCGAGTGCGCTCCATCTGCACCTTCAGGCCCTCGGCCGTGCCGCTGCTCAGTAGTCTGTCATCCTTATACCACTGGAAATCCGCGGGGGAAACCGCCATGGCTTCGCAGCGCAGTAGGCGGCCCGGCCCAGCGCGGTGCGGGCGCTGGTCACGTCCGTGATGGTCGGAGGATAGTTGACTGTGACCAGCACGCGGCGGCTGTCGGGCGCCGAGTTAACCCCGTTGTGAGTCACGCACTCATACTCCCCGGCCTGGCCCCGCAGGATGTCAGAGATCTCCAGGATCTCTCCCTCCGAGGTGAAGCCGTCTCGGAGCTGTCTCCAGGTGACCGTGGGCTCTGGCCGCCCCACGGCCAGGCAAAGCAGGTTCACATTACCTCCCTCATTCACCATCACAGGCGACGAGATGTTCACAACGCGGGCAGGGACGTGGACAATGAGGTAGACCTGAGTGGTGTACGGCTGGTGGCGGGTCTGGAAGGAGCAGGTGTAGAGGCCCTCGTCGCCGAGCCCCACCTCGGTGACGAGGATGGAGAACTCCTCGGGGGTGTTGATGAGCAGCCGCACCCGCGGGTCCCTGGTCCTGCGGTCGTTGCCGGCGTACAGGATGTTGGAGCGGTTCAGCCAGGCCACGCGGGTCACATGCTCGTCCATGAAGCAGCTGAGGGTGGCGTTGTCACCTTCACACACTGTGTAGTTGTCGGCAGGAGAGTTGAACTCCAGCCTCTGGGAGAGCAGCCCCCGGCTGATGACGGCCAAGCCGGCCAGGGCGGCGGCGGCGAGAAGCCGGAGCCGGGCCCCGGGCGCAGCGGGGGGCATCGCGGCAGAGGCGGCACGGAGGGGGAGGGGAAAGGGGGGGCCGGTCCGGGGCGCGCGAGGCCTGGGGGGAGAGGGGCAAGGGGGAGGGGGAAGGGGGAGGGGGACCCCGCCTGCGGCTGCACCGGCCCGGGGTCGGGGGAGGGGGCTGGGGGGCGCGATCCATAATTTTTAAAATCAAACAAAAGTGGCTTTAGTGTGTTTAAATTGTTGTGCATTGAATGAAGTATATCCTGTCACCATCTGTAACCTATCCCACCTTAATCAAGGCTGCAGGTAACAAATGGTAATAATACATTATTGGGTAACATAGTAAAATGACATCTCTAGTAATCCCTTTTCCCAGTGCCTTTAAACTTCAAATAATTTGAAGAATGTTGTTCTCATAGATAACAACTTTATTTTTTCTATTATTTTTGTAGCTACAGGGCTATAATCTTAGTTATTATAAACACTTATTCAGAAGGATTTAATCATTCTTGGATCTTTCAAAGTTGAAAATACTTTAGTATATTTATGCTGATTGGAACCATTTACAATTAACATGTAATAAAGCATAAAGTCATTATCCAATTTTTCTAATTAATTAGCTTGTAGCAGATGACCATAAGAAATATTTATTTAATTCTGTTATGGCAATTGCTAATTGCCATAGTACATAGTACCATAGTAAACTGAACCTAACTGGATATATAAATAGACTGTAACCCATTCTTGTACCAACTACTGTGTTTATGCCAATAAAAGGACATCAACTTTTCGAACTATGTTCAAATAAGACATATCTCAAGCTGTAATCAATCTGGCTGTTTCTGTACCTCACTTTCTTTTTCTGTATGTTACTTTGCTGTTTCTGTCTATAAATCTTTTTTTACTATGTGGCTGTGTTGAAGTCTGAGCCTACTCTGGGCCCACAGATTGCCTGATTTGCAAATAATACTTTGCTCAATTAAACTCTGTAAAATTTAATTTCTCTAAAAGCTTTTTTCTTTGAAACGTTTTCAAATTTTTTTCTATGAAAAAAATAAGTAATGTGTTGTTGGACTTTGATTTCTAAACTCATCTCTCAGCTGTTTTCTCCACATTATTCTATGTCTTTTTTTTTTTTTTGAGATGGAGTCTCACTCTGTCGCCCAGGCTGGAGTACAGTGGCGCAATCTCGGCTCACTGCAAACTCCACCTCCTGGGTTCACGCCATTCTCCTGCCTCAGCCTCCCGAGTAGTTGGGACTACAGGCCCCCACCACCACACCCGGCTAATTTTTTGTATTTTTAGTAGAGACGGGGTTTCACCATCTTAGCCAGGATGGTCTTGATCTCCTGACCTTGTGATCTACCCGCCTCGGCCTCCCAAAGTACTGGGATTACAGGCATGAGCCACCACACCAGGCCAATTAATTTATTTGTTTTGAGACAGAGTTTTGCTCTTGTTGCCCAGGCTGGAGTGCAATGGTACGATCTCGGCTCACTGCAACCTCTGCCTCCCAGGTTCAAGCGATTCTCCTGCCCCAGCCTCCTGAGTAGTTGGGATTACGAACATGTGCCAACACTCCCAGCTAATTTTCTATTTTTAGTAGAGATGGGGTTTCTCCATGTTGGTCAGGCTGGTCTCAAACTCCCGACCTCAGGTGATCTGCCCACCTCAGCCTCCAAAAGTGCTGGGATTACAGTCGTGAGCCACCACGCCCAGCTATTTTATTTTCTTTTGAGACAAGGTCTCACTCCATCACCCAGGCTAAAGTGCAGTGGTGTAACCAATCATGGCTCACTGCAGTCTTAACCTTCCAGGCTCAAGCAGTCCTCCTGCCCCAGCCACCCGAGTAGCTGGGAATACAGGCATGCATTGTCATGCCTGGATAATGTCTTTTTCATGGAGACAGGATCTTACTATGTTACCCAGGCTGCACTTTAACTCCTGATATCAAATAATTCTCTCATCTCAGCCTGCCAAAGTGCTACGATTACAGGTATGAGCCACCATGTGCTTATGCAATTTATTGAGATTATTTCCAATAATAAACAGTACTATTTGGGCACAAATCTAAAAGGAATCTGGCTTCTATTTTAGAAGTGTTACTCTCCAGGATTTAGAGCCCTAGAGAGTGAGTCTCAGCCCAGTCACTTAATAGCTGTGGGTGTTTGGGCAATTTCTTGATGTGGAAGAGTTCTATAAGCCACATATATCCAAAAACAAAGCAAAACAAAACAAAAAGCTGAAAAACAGAATGATTCTGATTGCACAAATGGTAGCAATTTTTTGTTCTCCCTGTTCCATGCTCATTGCCAGGTGCTTTTACAGGTGTTCCCATGGAGATCCAGAATCTGTTTTCCAAACCCCAGATCTGGCTGGCCTTATTTGTTCGGGGTGGTAGACACCTGTGAACATGACAGTGTGCTAGTTTGAGGCCTAGGCTCAAGTGGTTTTAAATGCTTCTAATTGTTTTTTAGAATGCTGCCATCTCCATGAAAAAAGCCCATGTTCGCCAGCTGGAGGATAAGATACAACAGGGAGGAGAAGCAAGGTGCCCCTTGTTGACAATCCCAGAAGCAGAAGCTCATGCCCAGAAGCACAGCTGCCTAGTTGACAGGCTCAGCTGAGACCAGAAGAATGGCCCCACCAAGCCCAGCCTAAATGGCTGACCATCACAATTATGAGCTAAGAAGTTTTGGATGGTTTGTTATGCTGTAAGAGCTAACTAATACGTGCACCCAGTGCAGATAGGATGCCAAAAATTAATGGCAAGTTGATTACTAATTACGTTCTAACAGTGGGCACCCTAAAAGTGCTGACTTTTTTCCCCTGATTTAAAGTTAGATGTTTTGTAATACTGAGAAATGAATAAATACATGTAGACATGTGTGCATGTGATTGGTGCTTATACTCACACATTTCCATAAACCACAGGAGAAAACAGATAACCACAGCCTGACCATTAGGGCCAAGGCCAAATGGCAAAATAAGTTTACCTTTAATCTGTTTTCTCTATATTTATACACTGGAGGTCAAGACTGTGGACATATCTGAAGACATAGAGTTTTCTTCTCCTGTGGACCCATCATCCTTTGTTTACTGTCTGATCTCTGGAACAAAAATGGAAAACACGTTGGCAGCAGTGGTCTACCTGGGGTTATTTTATTTCTGCTGGCCTCTGTTCTTTCTTTTTTTTCTTTCTTTTTTTTGGAGACAGAGTCTTGCTCTGTTACCTGGGCTGGAGTGTAGTGGCATGATCTCGCTCACTAGAACCTCCACCTCCAGGGCTCAAGCAATTCTCCTGCCTCAGCCTCCCAAGTAATTGGGATTACAGGCACCTGCCACCATGCCCATCTAATTTTTGTACTTTTAGTAGAGATGGGGTTTCGCCGTGATAGCCAGGCTGGTCTCGAACTCCTGACCTCAAGTGATTCACCCGCCTCAGCCTCCCAAAGTGCTGGGATTATAGGCATGAGCTGCCGTGTCCGGCTGCCCTCTGCTCTTTCTATGGTCACTATCTTTTGCACCCTTGGAACGAAAGAGAGATGTTGGTAGGAAGAGGCTCTTCCTTTACCTCTGGCAGAAAAGGGATTTTCAGGCCGTTTGCCCACCCTGACATCACAGCTGCACTTCAATGTGACAGTTATTGGGTATATGTTGCTTCTGGGTGCTTGGAATGTGGCTGGTCTGAACTGCGATATGCTAGAAAGTTAGAGTAAAAATTATATATATTTCATTAATAATTACATATTGCTCACATATTAAAATGATAGTATGTTGGATATATTGGGTTAATTAAATGGTTACCGTTTATTCCACCTGTTGCTTCTTTCTTCTTAAAATTTGACTACTAGAAAATTTAGTATTCACATGTGGCCCACATTTTATTTCAGAGGATTGCCTTCTTTTTAAAATCTCAGGCTGCCTGCTCAAAGGACCAGAAGCCGGGAAGGTAATAAAATCTGGAATTTAAAAATAATTGTTATTACATTATCTTCACTTGTGAATAGCCATATAATATATTATTTATAAATGCACATATGATCTTTTACACATGGTTAAATGCAAATGCCCTCTGAGGCAGGCCTGGCTCAGCTCAGGGAGGAAGCCCTGCCTGAAAAAGCTGCAACTCTATTTTCATTCAGCCCTGCACCTGAGCACGTCTTCTGTCACTCAGGGCCTAAAGGGGTATGGTGTTAAACGTTATCCAATCAGGGACTCTGGGCTGGGATCCATCCAATCAGGCACGCAGCTGGAGTGGACAGGACGGCTTTCGAGATTTGGCGCGGCCTTTGTCTCTGGCTGCAGTCGTAGCTCCAGGTCTTTTCTTCTCTGTTCTGTGTCTTCTGCTCCTAGAGGCCCAGCTTCTGTGTCCCTGTGACCTGTAGGTATTGGGAGATCCACAGCTAAGATGCCAGGACCCCCTGGGAAGCCTAGAAAAATGGTGAGTCTGCTGGGTCAGACACCCCGAGAGAGGGGGAGGGGCTGGTTGGAACCAGTCTGAAGTGGCTGTGGCGGGACTCCGGCCTCCCCGCTGTCGGCTCCAAAATCCTTGGCCAGAGTTGTCCTTGGTACAGCTCGGCCCTCAGTCCCCTTCAGCCATAAGATGGCGGCTGAGCTGACAGCCAGGACCCCGGGCGTCCTGTCTCCTCCCTGCGCGGTGACTGTGCCATGGCCTGGAGCTCTCGCTGGGCAGCTCTGCACCGGCATCGCCGCATCTCTCCCCATTGTGCCGGGACCACGGGACGGTAGTCAAGGGAAAATCCTGACTCAGGGTGTGGGGTTCATGAATGAGAAGAGCTTTGGGCCGTGGTGTTTCCAGTGCCCCCGCCTTTTTTTTTTTTTTTTTTTTTTTTTTTTTGATTAAAAATTTATGGGAGTCGGGCCGGGCGCGGTGGCTCACGCGGTAATTCCAGCACTTTGGGAGGCCGAGGCGGGTGGATCACCTGAGGTCAGAAGTTCAAGACCAGCCTGGTCAACAGGGTGAAACCCCGTCTCTACTAAACATACAAAAATTAGCTGGGCGTTGTGGCAGGCGCCTGTAATCCCAGCTACCCTGGAGGCTGAGGCAGGAGAATAGCTTGAACCCGGGAGGCGAAGTTTGCAGTGAGTCGAGATCGCGCCATTGCGCTCCAGCCTGGGCAAGAAGAGCGAAACTCCGTCTCAAAAAAAAAGAAAAAAAAAGTATGGGAGTCAAGGTAAAAATATTAAAGAACAAAATCAAAGAGTAATTCAAGGGCCGGGCGCGGTGGCTTACGCCTGTAATCCCAGCACTTTGGGAGGCCGAGGCGGGCGGATCACGAGGTCAGGAGATCAAGACCATCCTGGCTAACACGGTG
Source organism: Homo sapiens (assembly GCF_000001405.40). Lineage (NCBI taxonomy): Eukaryota > Metazoa > Chordata > Mammalia > Primates > Hominidae > Homo > Homo sapiens. The sequence goes on from NC_000007.14 coordinate 64,575,744, forward strand.
AAACCCCGTCTCTACTAAAAATACAAAAAATTAGCCAGGCGTGGTGGCAGGCTCCTGTAGTCCCAGCTACTCAGGAGGCTGAGGCAGGAGAATGGCGTCAACCCAGGAGGCGGAGCTTGCAGTGAGCCGAGATTGCGCCACTGCACTCCAGCCTGGGCGACAGAGCGAGAATCCGTCTCAAAAAAAAAAAAAAAAAAAAAAAAAAGAGTAATTCAAGAATTGAAGAGCACCCAGCTAGCAGCTATGGTGTGTAGTTTGTGGTCCATGAAAAACTTTATATATAAAAGTTTATTTATTTTTATTTATAATGAGATTTTACTGCTTCTCTTATATCTCTACATAGTACTTTCTATAACGATTCCTTTTTTTATTTTTTTGGTTTTTTTTTTATACTTTAAGTTCTAGGGTACATGTGCACAACGTGTAGCTTTGTTACATATGTATACATGTGCCATGTTGGTGTGCTGCACCCGTTACCTTGTCATTTACATTAGGTGTATCTCCTAATGCTATCCCTCTCTCCTCCCCCGACCCCACGACAGGCCCCGGTGTGTGATGTTCCCCACCCTGTGTCCAAGTGTTCTCATTGTTCAATTCCCACCTATGAGTGAGAACATGCGGTGTTTGGTTTTCTGTCCTTGAGATAGTTTGCTCAGAATGGTGGTTTCCAGCTTCATCCATGTCCCTAAAACTTTAAATATAAAAGAAAAACTTTATATATAAAGTGCATGATGGAGAAACCCAAATTCAATAACTGATTTAGTAGAGTTATGTAGTTTCTTAATTTGTACGATCAAGGTGGACATTTCCTGGTTAGGTATTCATTGGTTAATTGGCAGTTTATAGTTGGTTAAGGCTGAATTTTGTTTCCCCAAAGAGTAATTTACAAAAAAAATGCATTAGATTGCCGGTCGCGGTGGCTCACGCCTGTAATCCCAGCACAATGGGAGGCCGAGGCGGATGGATCACGGAGACCAGCCTGACCAACATGGAGAAACCCCGTCTCTACTAAAAATACAAAATTAGCTCTCCCTCTCCCTCTCCCTCTCCCCCTCCCCCTCCCCCTCCCCCTCCCCCTCTCTCTCCCTCTCCTCTCCCCACGGTCTCCCTCTCCCCACGGTCTCCCTCTCCCCACGGTCTTCCTCTCCCTCTCTTTCCACGGTCTCCCTCTGATGCCGAGCCGAAGCTGGACTGTACTGCTGCCATCTCGTTTCACTGCAACCTCCCTGCCTGATTCTCCTGCCTCAGCCTGCCGAGTGCCTGCGATTGCAGGCGCGCGCCGCCACGCCTGACTGGCTTTTCGTATTTTTTTGGTGGAGACGGGGTTTCGCTGTGTTGGCCGGGCTGGTCTCCAGCTCCTAACCGCGAGTGATCGCCAGCCTCGGCCTCCCGAGGTGCCGGGATTGCAGACGGAGTCTCGTTCACTCAGTGCTCAATGGCGCCCAGGCTGGAGTGCAGTGGCGTCATCTCGGCTCGCTACAACCTCCACCTCCCAGCCGCCTGCCTTTGCCTCCCAAAGTGCCGAGATTGCAGCCTCTGCCCGGCCGCCACCCCGTCTGGGAAGTGAGGAGCGTCTCTGCCTGGCCGCCCATCGTCTGAGATGTGGGGAGCACCTCTGCCCCGCCTCCCCATCTGGGATGTGAGGAGCGCCTCTGCCCGGCCGCCATCCCATCTAGGAAGTGAGGAGCGTCTCTGCCCCGCCGCCCATCGTCTGAGATGTGGGGAGCACCTCTGCCCCGCCTCCCCATCTGGGATGTGAGGAGCGCCTCTGCCCGGCCGCGACCCCATCTGGGAGGTGAGGAGCGTCTCTGCCCGGCCGCCACGTCTGAGAAGTGAGGAGCCCCTCTGCCCGGCCACCACCCCGTCTGGGAGGTGTACCCAACAGCTCATTGAGAACGGGCCATGATGACAATGGCGGTTTTGTGGAATAGAAAAGGGGGAAAGGTGGGGAAAAGATTGAGAAATCGGATGGTTGCTGTGTATGTGTAGAAGGAAGTAGACATTGGAGACTTTTCATTTTGTTCTGTACTGGGAAAAATTCTTCTGCCTTGGGATCATGTTGATCTGTGACCTTACCCCCAACCCTGTGCTCTCTGAAACATGTGCTGTGTCCACTCAGGGTTAAATGGATTAAGGGCGGTGCAAGATGTGCTTTGTTAAACAGATGCTTGAAGGCAGCATGCTCCTTAAGAGTCATCACCACTCCCTAATCTCAAGTACCCAGGGACACAAACACCGCGGAGGGCCGCAGGGTCCTCTGCCTAGGAAAACCAGAGACCTTTGTTCACTTGCTTATCTGCTGACCTTCCCTCCACTATTGTCCTATGACCCTGCCAAATCCCCCTCTGCGACAAACACCCAAGAATGATCAATAAAAAAAAAAAAAAATACAAAACTAGCTGGCGTGGTGGCACATGCCTGTAATCCCAGCTACTTGGGAGGCTGAGGCGCGAGCCTGAGGCAGGAGAATTACTTGAACCTGGGAGGCGGAGGTTGCGATGAGCAGAGATTGCGCCATTGCACTCCAGCCTGGGCAACAAGAGCAAAACTGTCTCAAAAAAAAAAAAAAAGAAAAGAAAAGAAAAGAAAAGCATTAGATTTAGAATGCATTTAAATTTTTGCCATTCAGTATGCATTTTATATTCCGTATTTTAATCATTTTTTGATAAAGCGTTGGATGGCACTTTGTTTTCTGTTTGAAATTATTTCCCATGAGAAGAAAGCAGAATAATTCCCCTGACGCTTTATTGTAAAAAATCTCTGTGCCTCTTTTCCTTTTATCTTTCCTAGCCACAGAGATTTTATCAGAATGTTTTTGGGTGAAGGTTTCCCTTTGGAAACTTTATGGAGTGATGCGTCCTTAGCCACCCTTCAGTTTTTTTCTGGTCCTGGGTTTCAGTACTGTCTGGGGATAAATCAAGATATCCACTGTGGCTATGTCGGCTAGAGTGTCTAGTGAATATCAGCTCCTGAGTCATTTTCTCCCATAAGACAACCTGAGGTATGGAGTGTAGCCTCTCAAGGGAGCAGGTGGGTGCCCTGGGGCTGAGAGGAATCTCCTGGTGTAGTCTTCCTCGGAAAAGCAAACCTTTTTAGATTTTTTTTTTTTTTTTTTTTGAGACAGAGTCGCGAAAACTGGAGTGGAGTGGCGCGATCTTGGCTCACTGCAACCTCTGCTTCCCAGCTTCAAGCAATTCTTCTGCCTCAGCCTCCCAAGTCGCTGGGATTACAGGCGCCCACCACACCCAGCTAATTTTGTTGTTGTTATTGTTGTTTGTCTCGCTCTGTCGCCCAGGCTGGAGTGTAGTGGCGCGATCTCCGCTCACTGCAAGCTCCGCCTCCCGGATTCATGCCATTCTCTAGCCTCCTGCCTCAGCCTCCCGAGTAGCTGGGACTACTGGCGCCTGCCACCACGCCCGGCTAATTTTTTGTATTTTTCATAGAGATGGGGTTTCACCATGTTAGCCAGGATGGTCTCGATCTCCTGACCTCATGATCTGCCTGCCTCGGCCTCTCAAAGTGCTGGGATTACAGGCGTGAGCCACCGCGCCCGGCCTAATTTTTGTGTTTTTAGTAGAGATGGGGTTTTGTCATGTTGGCCAGGCTGGTTTCGAACTCCTGACCCCAGGTAATCTGCCCATCTCGGTCTCCCAAAGTGCTGGGATTACAGGCGTGAGCTACCGTGTCCAGGCTTTTTTAGATATTAAGATTGTCTTTGCCCAACCCAGCTTATTTCTTGGAGACACATTGCTGGTCAGCCAATCAGATGCTGCCATTGAGGGTGAAGCACAGAAATAATTTCTGCCACCTGTATTCTCTAAGATTTGTGAAAGAAAAAGTAGTATCCCCAAAGACAAAAAACCCAAACATGACCCCAGTGAAATGGTGCAAGAACTTGCAAAGTAAAAAGCATCTGGGGCACTCACTGAGGCATAGGGCAGTGTCTCCTGAGAGGGTGGTCTTTGAGAACTTAAATAAGTAGGATGGGGTGGGAGAATCTTTCAAGTGATTAGATGGCCTGATTTGACACGTGAGTCAGACACATTTGTTTTCTCATCAGTACTGCCACTCTTTAGGTTTGTTACCTTGAAAAAATTTGTTCACTTATTTTGACTTCAGCTTTTAAACTGTAACTTGCATTTTATTAGTGGGACTTAAAAGGTAAGAAAATGTTCACAAAGGGTATCAAAGAGGTGGGTTTCAGAGTAAATTAATACCTAATTTCATACTCCATTTGTTAACGATTCTCATTTACCTTTTTCTTGCCCAGAGTGAGTTCTGGAATTTTCTCAGGTGTGTGTGTCTTTTTTAAATGGCTGGGTGATTACAAACAGAATTCCAAGACTTAGCTTTTAGAATGCTACCAAGGAAAAGAATAGAAAAAAACTCTCTTTCATTTTGGCTGCAGAAAATAAATACATTTCCACAAGAAAATGTGGTAAATAATTGGTGAGTTACATAGATTTATGAAAACATCAGTTCCTCCTTTGGCAGAGTAAATTTGTGACACTATGTTCTATATCCTATCATCTTGATTTCTGAGATTTATGCTAAATTTTATGAGCTGAAACTTGATACTCCTAGAAGTGTTCCCATATGACTAGTTGTCTACTACATAATTTTTTTTTTTTTGAGACAATCTCGCTCTGTCGCCTAGGCTGGAGTGCAGTGGCACAAGCTGGACTCACTGCAACCTCTGCCTCCCACGTTGAAGTGATTCTCCTGCCTCAGCCTCCCGAGTAGCTGGGACTACAGGTGTGTGCCACCATGCCCGGCTAATTTTTTTTTTTTTTTTTTTTTTTTTAGTAGAGATGGGATTTCACCGTGTTACCCAGGATGGTCTCGGTCTCCTGACCTCGTGATCCTGACCTCATGATCCACACGCCTCAGCCTCCCAAAGTGCTGGGATCACAGGTGTGAGCCACCACGCCTGGCCTACTACATAATTTTTAATAGAAATAATAATGGGGCCGGGCGCGGTGGCTCAAGCCTGTAATCCCAGCACTTTGGGAGGCCGAGGCGGGCGGATCACGAGGTCAGGAGATCGAGACCATCCTGGCTAACACCGTGAAACCCCGTCTCTACTAAAAATACAAAAAAATTAGCTGGGCGTGGCGGCGGACGCCTGTAGTCCCAGCTACTTAGGAGGCTGAGGCAGGAGAATGGCGTGAACCCGGGAGGCGGAGCTTGCAATGAGTTGAGATCGCGCCACTGCACTCCAGCCTGGGCGACAGAGCGAGACTCCGTCTCAAATTAAAAAAAAAAAAATAATAACGGGTTTATTTTTTGAAAGGAATAGATACTTTTGCATTTCTTATTGAGGTATAAAATATAACTGTCGGCCGGGTGCGGTGGCTCACTCCTGTAATCCCAGCACTTTGGGAGGCCAAGGCAGGCGGATCACCTGAGGTCAGGAGTTCAAGACCAGCCTGGCCAACATGGTGAAACCCCGTCTCTACTAAATATACAAAAATTAGCTAGGCGTGGTGGCGGGTGCCTGTAATCCCAGCTACTCAGGAGGCTGAGGGAGGAGAATCTCTTGAACGTGGGAGGCAGAGATTGCAGTGAGCCGAGATTGTGCCACTGTGCTCCAGCCTGGGCAAGAGAGCAAGACTGTCTGAAAAGAAAAAAAAAAAAATTCTTCTCTTATATTAACACCATGTTTGAGTAATTTTGCTGGATTTTTCAAACACTTAGTTTCAAAAACCAAATGAATAACTGACATGGAAATTAAGGCTTGAGCCCTGTGACTTCAAGCTAAGGCTAATATTGAGTCTGCAAAAGGAGGTTATTAAAAGTCCCAGTTAGTTCTTTCTGGGGAGCCGCCCCTGCAGATGTCCCAGCTTGCTCACACCAGCCGTGGAAGAAGCCTTTATACTGAGAGAAGCTACAGACCCCTGGAAAGCTGGGGACCCACAGGCAGATGCAGTTAAAGTTAAAATGGAAAAGGAATGGGAGGGTCTTACTGAAAATAAAGTTGTTATTGTTTTGAGGCAGTTTCTAGATTTTGTAAAATAAAACAAAATTAGGTTTCTATTAAAACATTTGAATTTTAAAAGAGTATTGCAACAGAAGGAAGTACCAGCTATAAAATCTTTAAGGATTGCAAAGTTTAGGCAGACAAAGGCTTTCTTTCATAGGGAGGAGAAAACAAGATTAGAAAGAAGGTGGAAGGGGAATGGCAAATGGAGTGAGAAAATATCAAGATTTTGGATTAGGAAGTGTTGTACCCTGAAGTCAGCATGTTCTTAGGAAGGATATAAAATGGAATTGTATGTTGGCTCAGACTGGTGGGAGGGATCTAGGCAGTATGGCTTGCTGCCTGGATGGATGTTGATAAGATGTTCTTGTGGTCAGGCAGTTTGGCCCTTTTTCCAGCAAGATGTAATAAGGAGGTTGCTTGGACTGTTACACAGACGTGTGTGATAAGAAAATCCTGTGGTTGGGCAGGATGTTTGGCACGGCCCGAATCCCCGTGGAATGTTTCATTCTGACCATGGTCTGCGAAATGGTGGTGGTGGGGGGCTTACAAAATGGTGCAGCTTGGACTAACAATCAGAATTCAAGTTTTAGACAGTGCGTTGGTGTTGGAGAATTACTTGATATTCAGCAAACTACAGATTTGGTGCCAGAAGAAAGATATCTCAGAGGCCTGGCCTGGAATGTAACTCTAGGTATCTGGGAAAGGGAGGCTCTGCTCTCCTGTACACAGGCTGTCACACTGCCCATTGTCCTGTGATTCAGGTCACCTCCCAGGGTGAGAGAGGACTGAAAACTTAAAGGAAAGGAGCGCTGATAACAGATCACCTTTTCCCCACAGCTACCACCACAGGATTTTCACCCACTAACAAAGATACCTACTAGAGGCCCCGCCCCGCCCCGCCTCCCCGCGCCGTTGGCTGAGGCTTAGGGCTGCGACCCCCAGCACCCCTGCGAACGTGGCGCTGGAGAGTGGCGCTGCGAGTGGCGCGGAGCATGTGTGCGGGCGCACCCTTCACGCGGCCCTGTCACCCGCCGCGCCCTGCCCGCCGAGGCCCTGGCAGCTGGGGGGTGGGCGCTGTTCGGACGCTGCGCGCGGGACCACCTCTGCTCTCGGTGCGTAAATTCACAGAGAAACATGAATGGATGGCAACAGAAAATGATATTGGAACACTGGGAGTCAGCAGTTTTGCACAGGAAACGTTGGGAGATATTGTTTACTGTAGTCTGCCTGAAGTTGGGACAAAAGAACAAACAAGATGAGTTTGGTGCTTTGGAAAGTGTGAAAGCTGCTAGTGAACTCTATTCTCCTTTATCAGGAGAAGTAACTTAAATTAATGAAGCTCTTGGAGAAAATCCAGGACTTGTAAACAAATCTTGTTATGAAGATGGTTGGCTGATCAAGATGACACTAAGTAACCCTTCAGAACTAGATGAACTTATGAGTGAAGAAGTATATGAGAGATAGAGAAAATCTATTGAGGAGTGAAAATGGAACCCCTAAATAAACTAGTGTGAAATAACCCAGCAGAGCTGTCTTAAATTAGTGGTGGATGGAAGACTTAGAATAGCAACTTTCAGCATTACCGATGGGGGGGGGGAGGAAAAACTACTGTTAACACTGCTAATGAAAGAAAATGCCCTTTAACTTTCTAATGATTATAGATAAAGATAATACACGTCTTTTCCACAATATCCTATGATTTTTAGTCTAGGCTCTGGTATTCAGAATTCATGAGATTATCCATGGTAAAAACTGGTTATAAAAATTACATAATTCAAAGATAATGTTATTCTTAAGCTTTATATAATATTGTAACTTGCATATATCCATACCTGGATTTGGCCTGAAATACTTAATGATCTTTCTATTGGAAATAACTGGGAGTGAAGAGGTTTTTGTTGCTTGTACAGTGTCAGATGAGGAACAATACTATCTTAATTTTGCAATACACTGCATTTGCTGATGCTATTTTTACACAGTGAAGCAACAGCTTTGCAGCAAAATAATAAAATATTTTTTTGTTAATCATGTTTTTTGTTTTGATGTTGATATTTCATTTAGTGACTCTGCTAGTATTTGTGAAAGTGCTAACTTTAACTTATGGAAAGTTACTTTTTTTTTTTTTTTTTTTTTTTTTGAGACGGAGTCTTGCTCTGTAGCCCAGGCTGGAGTGCAGTGGCACTATCTCCGCTCACTGCAACCTCCGCCTCCCGGGTTCACCCCATTCTCCTGCCTCAGCCTCCCAAGTAGCTGGGACTACAGGCGCCCGCCACCACACCCGGCTAATTTTTTGTATTTTTAGTAGAGACAGGGTTTCACTGTGTTAGCCAGGATGGTCTCAATCTCCTGACCTCCTGATCCGCCCACCTCGGCCTCCCAAAGTGCTGGGATTACAGGCGTGAGCCACTGCGCCCGGCCGGAAAGTTACTTTTTAAAAGGAAATTTAAGCCAGAACAATGAAAAGCTCCAAGAAAATGTTTCCTTTAGTCACAAATCTAGTTTTTCTTAAGCCAAGATTTGTCACCTTTAACATAATAAAAAATAAATCACTGACTTTGAGTTTCTGGGAAAAAAAAAAAAAAAGATGCTAGACATTGAGGTGTTCACACCCCTCCCAGGAATAGACACCACCCCCCAGGAATTTCACCACAGCATATTTTATCCTGGTATTTCTTGCCAAAACCCTCAAAAGTGTCCACAAGGCTCCTGACATATTCCTATACCAAGACACTGAATCTGCAGTACGAACCCGTTTTCTCCACCAGCCTGGGATTCTGGACCATCTGTTCATAATCTCATCTGCCTTCATGGACACAAATGAGAGGACAGCGGCACCTGGGCCACTATCTGTAGCATAGACCAGATACATTGTACTGTCCTTCCACCTACATTGTACTGTCCCCCACCCATGGATTTTTTTTCTTTTCTTTTTTTTTTTTTTTTGAGATGGAGTTTTGCTCTTTTTGTCCAGGCTGGAGTGTAATGGTGTGATCTCAGCTCACTGCAACCTCCACCTCCTGGGTTCAGGTGATAAGTGATTCTCCTGCCTCAGCTTCTTGAGTAACTGGGATTACAGGTGTGTGCCACCACACCCAGCTAATTTTGTGTTTTTAGTAGAGATGGGTTTCACCATGTTGGCCACGCTGGTCTCGAACTCCTGACCTCAGGTGATCTGCCCACCTTGGCCTCCCAAAGTGCTGGGATTACAGGTGTGAGCCACCATGGCTGGTTGATTTTTTTTTTTTCTTTTAACTTTCATTTTTGATTCAGGGGTACACGTGCAGGATTGTTTTATAGATAAAACTGTGTTATGGGGCTATGGTGTGCAGATTATTTTGTTGCTGAGGTACAAGCATAGCACTAAACAAGTATTGATTTGATCCTTTTTGTCCTTTCATCCTCCACCCTGAATTAGGCTTTAGTGTCTGTTGTTCCTCTCTTTGTGTCCATGTGTTCTTATTATTTAGCTCTTATAAATGAGAAAATGCATTTGGCTTTGTTTCTGCATTAATTTTCTAAAGATAATGGTCTCCAGCTCTATCCATGTTGCTGCAAAGAAAATAATCTTGGTCTTTTTTATGGCCACACAGTATTCCATGATGTTTATGTACCATATTTTGTTTTTATTAAGCCTTTTATTTTTGGAGGCAGGGTCTAATGCTGTAGTCCAGGCTGCAGTGCAGTGGTGTGATCTTGGCTCGCTGCAGCCTCAACCTCCTGGGCTCAAGAAATCGTCCTACCTCAGCCCCCCAGGTACTTGGGACTACAGGCATGCACCGTTATTCCTGGCTAATTTTTCTTTTTTTTTTTTCTTTCTTTCTTTCTTTTTAGACAGATCCTCCCTCTGTTGCCAGGTTGGAGTGCAGTGGTGCAATCTTGCCTCACTGCAACCTCCGCCTTCTGGGTTCAAGTGATTCTCATGCCTCAGCCTCCTGAGTAGCTGGGATTATAGACACACTACACGACACCCAGCTAATTTTTGTATTTTTAATAGAGACAGGGTTTCACCATGTTGGCCAGGCTGGTCTTGAACTCCTGACCTCATGATCCGCCTGCCTCAGCCCCCCAAAGTGCTGGGATTACAGGCATGAGCCACTGCGCTCAGCCTAATTTTTCATTTTGTATTTTTTGTAGAGATGGGGTTTTTCCACATTTCCCAGGCTGGTCTCGAACTTTTGAGCTCAGGCAATCCACATCACTTGGCCTCCCAAACAGGTGTGTGATCCAGTGTACCCTGCCATATTATATTTTCTTTATCCAGTCTACCATTGATAGGTATACCAGGTGATTCTATGTTTTTGTTATTGTGAATAGGGCTGCAGTGAACATACATGTGCATGTGTCTTTATGATAAAATAATTTATATTACTTTGGTTATATATCCAATTATGAGGTTGCTTAGTTAAATGGTAATTCTCTTTTTAGTTTTGTGATAAACACACTCCTTTTCACAGTGGTTGAAATAATTTATACTCCCACTAATAGTGTATACCATTCCTTTCTCACTTCAACCTTGCCAGCATCTGTGATTTTTTGACTTTAATAATAGCAATTCTGACTGGTGTGAGATGCTATTGTGGTTTTTCTCTGCATTTCTCTAATAACTAGTGATGTGCATTTTTTCATATGCTTGTTAGCCACATGTATGTCTTTTTTGAAAAGCATCTGTTCATGTCTTTTGCCTACTTTATAATGTTGTTTTTATAAATTTATGTATGTTCCTTATGGATGCTGGATGTTAGACGTTTCTCAGAAGCATAGTTTGCAAATATTTTCTTTTAGTTTGTAGGTTGTCTGTTTACTGTGTTGATAGTTTTCTCTGCTGTGAAATACCTCTTTAATTAGGTCCCATTTGTCAATTTTTGCTTTTGTTTCAATTGCTTTTCTTACCTTCATCATAAAATTATTGCCAGTTTCTATGTCCAGAATGGTATTTCCTAGGTTATCTTCCAGGGTATTTTATAATTTTTTTTTTTTTTTGAGATGCAGTCTCGGTCTGTCGCCCAGGCTGGAGTGCAGTGGCACGATCTTGGCTCACTGCAAGCTCTGCCTCCTGGGTTCATGCCATTCTCCTGCCTCAGCCTCCCCAGCAGCTGAGACCACAGGCGCATGCCACCATGCCCAGCTAATTTTTGTATTTTTAGTAGAGATGGGGTTTCACTGTGTTAGCCAGGATGGTCTCGATCTCCTGACCTTGTGATCCACCCGCCTCAGCCTCCCAAAGTGCTGGGATTACAGGCATGAGCCACCGTGTCTGGCCGGATATTTTATAATTTTAAGTTTCACATTTAAGTCCTTAATTTATCTTGAGTTGATTTTGGTACATGGTGTAATAAAGGCATTTGGTTTCAATCTTCTACATAGTGTTAGCTAATTATTACAGCACTATTTATTAATAGGGAATTCTTCCCACATTCCCCTTGTCAGCTTTGTTGAAGATCAGATGGTTGTAGATGTGTGGCATTATTTCTGGGCTCTATTCTGTTGCATTGGTCTATGAATCTGTTTTTGTACTAGTGCCATGCTGCTTTAATTACTGTAGTTCTTTAGTATAGTTTGAAATTGGGTGATGTAATGTCTCCAGCTTTGTTCTTTTTGCTTAGAAGTGCCTTGGCTATTTGGGCTCTTTGTTGGTTCCATGTGAATTTTTAAATAGTTTTGTTGTTGTTGTTGAGCATGTTTTTGGTAGTTTGGTAGGAATAACATTAGATCTGTACATTTCTTTTTTTTTTTTTTTTTTTTGAGACAGAGTCTCGCTCTTTCACCCAGGCCAGATTGCAGTGGCACTATCTTGGCTCACTGCAAGCTCTGCCTCCTGGGTTCACGCCATCCTCCTGCCTCAGCCTCCCAAGTAGCTGGGACTACAGGTGCCCACCACCACGCCTGGCTAATTGTTTGTATTTTTAGTAGAGATGGGGTTTCACTGTGTTAGCCAGGATGGTCACGATCTCCTGACCTCGTGATCTGCCTGCCTCAGCCTCCCAAAGTGCTGGGATTACAGGCGTGAGCCACTGGGCCCGGCCTATGGATTGGCTTTTTGATGTGCTGCGGGATTCAGTTTGCCAGTATTTTGTTGAAGATTTTTGCATCAGTGGTCATCAAGAATATTGGCCTGAAGTTTTCTTTTTCTGTTTTAGCTCTGCTAGGTTTTGGTATCAGAATGATGCTATTCTTATATAATATGTTGGGGAGGAGTGCCTTAATTTTTTGGAATAGTTTTAGAAGAAATGGTAGCAGCTCTTTTTTGTACCTCTGGTAAAATTCAGCTGTGAATCTCTCTGGTCCTGGGGTTTTCTTGGTTGCTAGGTTACTTATTAGTAATTCAGTTTTGAAGCTTGTTATTGGTCTATTCAGGGATTCAATTTTTGTTGTTGTTCAGTTTTGTTAGGATGTATTCAGAAATTTATTCATTTTAGATTTTCTAGTTTGTGTGCGTAGAGGTGTTCATAGTAGATTTCAATAGTTATTTGTATTTTAATGTCTAAATCTCCTTTAGTACAGATCTAATTTTGGTTATTATTTGCCTTCTGCTAGCTTAGGGGTTGGTTTTCTCTTGCTTCTCTCATACTTTTATTATGTTAGGTTGTTGAGAACTTTTTAACTTTTTTTTTTTTGAGACAGAGTCTCACTCTGTCGCCCAGGCTGGAATGCAGTGGCGTGATCTCGGCTCACTGCAAGCTCTGCCTCCCAGGTTCACGCCATTCTCCTGCCTCAGCCTCCTGAGTAGCTGGGACTACAGGCACCCGCCATCACGCCCAGCTAATTTTTTGTATTTTTAATACAGACAGGGTTTCACCGTGTTAGCCAGGATGGTCTTGATCTCCTGACCTCGTGATCCGCCCACCTTAGCCTCCTAAAGTGCTGGGGTTACAGGCGTGAGCCACCACACCCGGGCCCACTTTTTAACTTTTTGATGTGAGCATTTAGTGCTATAAATTTTCCTCTTAACACTGCCTTAGCTGTGTTGCAGAGATTCTGGTATGTTGTACTTTGTTCTCATTTGTTTCAAATAATGTTTTGATTTCTGCCTTAATTTCATTATTTACCCAAGAGTCATTCAGGTGCAGCTTGTTTAATTTCCATGTAATTATATGGTTTCAAGTGGTTATCTTTGTATTGAATTATATTTTTATCAAGCTGTGATCTGAGTGTGTGGTTGGTATGATTTTGGGATGTTTGAATTTGCTAAGAATTGTTTTATTTCTGATTGTGTGGTCAATATTTTAGAGTATGTGCCACATGGTGATGGAGAATAATGTATATTATGTTGTTTTTAAATAAAGTTCTGTAGATGTCTATTTAGGAGAGTTCTGTGGATGTCTATTAGGACCATTTGTTCGAGTGATGAGTTTGGGTCCTAATATCTTCATAAAATTCCTGCCTCAGTGATCTATTAGTGTTTCTGGGGTGTTGTCTCTTGTTATTGTGTGAGAATCCAAGTTTCTTCATAAATCTCTAAGAATTTGCTTTTTAAATAACACCTTTCTCTCTTCTGCTTTTCTCCCCACAAACATTCTTTCAGTGTGCAAAATTCAGATGTCCTGGAGTTCAAGAACATGTCCAGAGACCTGGCTATTGTAGGAGAAAATATAAATTAGAAAGAAGAGGCTTTGGCTGGGCGTGGTGGCTCATGCCTGTAATCCCAGCACTTTGGGAGGTCGAGGCGGGTGGATCACAAGGTCAGGAGTTTGAGACCAGCCTGGCCAATATGGTGAAACCCCGTCTCTACTGAAAATACAAAAATTAGCCAGGTATGGTGGTGCACGCCTGTAGTCCCAGCTACTCGGGAAGCTGAGGCAGGCAAATCGCTTGATCCCGGGAGGCTGAGGTTGCAGTGAGCCAAGATCAGGCCACTGCACTCCTTTCTGGGCTACAGAGCAAGACTATGTCACAAAAAAAAAGAAATGAGTCTTTATTCTCCTTTGTTAAAAATAAGAGAGGATATTTTGCCAATCTCTCTTTTCTTAAAGCATTCAGATTATATGTAGATTTTTTCTTTGTTTTGAAAGATATGTAAATCATAGTAACAGCCATAGAAACCTTTTGTTACTATTTTTGACTCAAGATTGTCTTTATCTAGTACCTCAGATTTATTTGTTTTTGTTTTTTTATTTTTGGTCTTTTAAAGTAGACTGATTTGTTTAGATTAGAGCTCATTTTAAGACACACAAAAGTTGAGCACAAGGATAGGATTAAATTTAGCAGTACAGAATGATAGACTTTACTATACTGAGTAAGTTCTTTTGACAAAAAATACTGATTATCCAAAGTAGTTATGCAATATTTGCAGGCTGAAGTACTTACACTGCAAAAGGTTCAGTGTATGAAAAGTGAAGTCTGGAGTTGTACTTTGATTTCTGTTTATTTCTTCAGAACAGTAAGAATAGTTATGTGTAGTGTTTGTAGAAAAAATTAAACAGTATTTTCTACAATAGTATGAATATAAAGCCACAGTATTTACTTTGAATAGATCCCTTAAATGGTCATTTTAAATCGTTATTCATACTTCTGCAATATAAAGGGTTTTAATTGAATTATGGTTACAGACAACTTAAAAAATTTTTATGTACATTATGGCTAGTACACAAATTATACTTAGATATTTACATCTAATATCCAAAGAAAATTCACTACCAAATTGTTACAGTAGATATTAGTCTCACATGCTTATTAATTTATCCAAAGGCATAATTATAGGTAAGCATGATTTTAGTGTCTTTCATTTCACTAAATTGGAATGCTGCTATTACAGGACAAATAAACAAGGACGATGTGGGCACCCAAAAACCATAATACCTCTTTAGTTAGCCATGTTGCAAACTCAAATATATTCCACTGTATGAACAAAGTCATATTTCAATTCTTCATCCAAAAAGTGCTGATGGAAATTGTCAGATGTATTTCAATATAAATCCCCTATTCAATGGCTAGGAGATGAGAGCCCCAGAGATGGGAGAGAAACCTTACTAAATTCTGCTGAGAATATGCCCCCTTTCTTCATAACACTCATGTTTCTCATGCTGAGAGTAGCTGTGCACTTTGAGTGTTTAGAAAGAAATTTCGTTTAGGGGAATATTTTCTGGTAAACTTGATCAATCTTATATCTAATCTGAGTTTTTTAAAGAATGCTTTTAACTTCTTTTTCTCAATATAATCTTGCTCAGACTGAGAGCTGTTTTTCTTCCAATGCTTTGGGTTTCTGTTTCAGAAGCCCTATTAATATCCCATGGTGTCTATGAATGAGGTGGGCTATCATAGTGAAAACCCTTGGAGCTATCTCTATCCGGACTTGTCTTGGAAATCCAGCAGTATTTTTTCATGTCACCTAGAAAGTGAGGCTGAAACACTGCTCCCGTTTCCATTCTTGCGAAGGTGCAGTCCTACCCAGGAGGCCTGCAGGCTCTCCTGCAGCTCAGGCCTCACTCTCTGACGCGGCACTGGAGTGATGTTGTGGCAATTGGTGTCCATGTAATATGTGAGCTGTATGCTGTGGGCTGTGCCTCAGTAGCAGATGGTAGGGGTCAAAAGATGACACCAGCCACCAGTAGAAGGCAAGTAGGTGTGCTACATACAGCCCAGTGCTCAGGGAGTAGACAGCCATTGCTTTAAAATGTAAATGATCAAAAAGATAGTGCCCTTTTCAATCATTTTTGTAAAAGAGTGAGAGCCTACCTTCAGCATGCACCTGGATTCAAGTTGTAAAATTACCACTTGTCATGAAGATGTGAGTTTATTTTGTCATTGTTTATATCAATTAGCACACATGCATGGCCTCCCCCAATTGACAGGTGAATTCAGGATAAACTATGTATGACATGGTGTGCAAATTCTTCTGCTTGTGGATTAATTATGGTGACCATATTTTTCTCTTTACAATCTCTTAAGGAGATTGACTGATGCATGTCACATTCTGATTTAATTGTGTAGTAAAACAGTTTTTTTTTTGTTTTTTTTTTTTTTTTTTCTATTCTATCATTGTGAAGTTACTCTGGGGCTGGGGAAAATTTTTATTTTAATTACATTTCCCAAACACTGTCTAGAATTACCAGACGTAATATAAACATGTAAGGTGACAACCAAGGTTTACTCTAGAGGGGCCTTTCTCTCTCAGGCTTCCAGTCAACTCACAATTGTGCTGCACAGTGGATTTTGTTTCCTAAATGTGCAGGCAGAATTGTTTCTCTGCCTATTTGGTATCTATAGTCCTCTACAGTCACATCTGGAGAGGTTAGACTAGATTTCTACACACTTCATTAGGCACCAGTCAACCATTTTACCTCTTTCAATGAATCCTATATCTTTTTTTTTTTTTTTTTAAGAGGAGTTTCACTCTTGTTGCCCAGGCTGGAGTACAATGGTGCAATCTCAGCTCACTGCAACCTCCGACTCCTGGATTCAAGCAATTCTCCTGCCTTAGCCTCCCGAGTAGCTGGGATTACAGGCATGCACCACCATGCCTGGCTAATTTTGTATTTTTAGTAGAGACAGGGTTTCTCCATGTTGGTCAGACTGGTCTCAAACTCCCGACCTCAGGTGATCCATCTGCCTCGGCCTCCCAAAGTGCTGGGATTACAGGCGTGAGCCACCGCGCCTAGCCAATGACTCCTATATCTTTTTTTTTTTTTTTTAGATGGAGTTTCACTCTTGTTGCTCAGGCTGGAGTGTAATGGCGCAACCTCCACCTTCCAGGTTCAAGCGATTCTCCTGCCTCAGCCTCCCAAGTAGCTGGGATTACAGGCGCCCAAAAAATAAAGACATATACACACAGAATGTGTTTCATGGGTTTGTTTAGGTAATGCCCATATATGCATGTTTGGTAATAAAGCCTCAGAAGAAAAGTAGATCAGAGGTCATGTCTCTTCCCAACCAAGGCAGAACAGGTGAATTCAATAAGCCAACTTTAGGAAAAATGAAGACAACTGATTTTCATATTTTTTGCTGGCTCTTTAAAGTTTACAGAACAAACAAAAAGCAGCCATGTCTGAATAAATCTGCATTGGGAAAACAACATTTTCATGTGTACTAATGTAATGTTTATTAAGCAGGTGCTATGTGCTGAAGAGATTGTTACAGGACGCCCGCAACCATGCCCAACCAATTTTTGTATTTTAAATAGAGATAGGGTTTCACCATGTTGGTCAGGCTGGTTTTGAACCCCTGACCTCAGGTGATCCACCCGCCTTGGCCTCCCAAAGTGCTGGAATTACAGGCGTGAGCCAGTGCCCAGCCAGTGTGTATATGTTTATCCACAATCTTATATTTAAATGTAAATTTAAAAATCCCCCACAAATAACTAGGTCAGAGGTTCTTTCCATAGCCTTTACCTCCAGGCCAGGTGAATCCAATCAGCCAATTCACTTTGTGAAGATTTATCTAATACAAGCCAAACACCAAACCACATTTTTTAATGTGAAAATGTCCTTGATACTGGCTCCAAGGTGTTTTAAATTTAGTTTTTCATTAAATGAGCCCACTTGTGGTTCTAACCATTCATCTATAAACAGTCAGAGATGCCTAACAACAGTGGGCCTAGACTTCGTCCAAACAAGCTCTGGCCTGCTTAATAAAATCCACCTTTGACACTTCAGCACATGTTCACTATTACCTGGTAGAAATGTGGTCAGGTAGGCTGGGCACTGTGGCTCACGCCTGTAATCCCAGCACTTTGAGAGGTGGAGGCACGTGGGTAAACTGAGGTCAGGAGTTCGAGACCAGCCTGGCCAACATGGTGAAACCCCGTCTCTACTAAAAATATAAAAATTAGCTGAGCATGGTGGTGCACACCTGTGATCCCAGCTACTTGGGAGGCCGAGGCAGGAGAATCGCTTGAACCTGGGAGGCAGAGGTTGCAGTGAGTCGAGGTCATGCCATTGTACTCTAGCCTGGGTGACAGAGTGAGACTCTGTCTCAGAAAAAAAAAAAAAAAAAAGTGGTCAGTTACCATCTACCATAATTTTACTTTTAGTATCACAGTATATCTTCTGAAAACAGACCTAGACTTTCTTTTCTTTACCATGAAGACCCTACTCTAGCCACAAAGATGTAAATACAAAAGTGTACTTTTACATCCCACACTCATAGAAACAAATTAACCCCTATCTTGACAGAAGCTATAAGAAGAAATAAGCATTCTGAAATTTGGGTGAGTGCTTTTATACTGAGGCTGGTTCATATGCGAGCCCATTTTTACCAGAAAAAGAGGAGTCAACCTTGACCTGGCAATGAATGATTCCCATGACCTTTTAATTTCAATTTTAGTCTCACATAATTCCCATTTTAGTATCACAAAATTGAGCAAAACGGACCAATGCTTCCTTTATATATATAAAATGCAACAGGATGTTGTACTATTGTAGATATAATTTTTAGGGTATAGAAGTTTATACCTGCATGAAAGTTTTTTTAATTTCAGTATCAATACTTCTACCACCTATATCTTTATTCTGTATAAATATGGATACAAAATTGCATCAAATACATCTGCATATAAACATATTTTTTCTAGGACCTATTCCTAGAACTATGTGAATAGGATGCTATTCACATCTAGCATTTGGAGCCTGAGTTGAGGAATCTGCAGTTCCTATTTAGATAATTGACTGGATGTACCCACCTAGGCTGAGCTGATTGGCTGATAGAAATCATCTAAGGTGAGCTAATTGGCTAATTAGATACACCTGGGCTGAGGCAACTGGCTAGTTGAAATCACCTAATTTTACTCCCTTTAAACGTCAGGTGCCCACTTGGGTTTCTCCCAAGTGCACTTTCCTTCTTGCCCACTCCTGCTCTGGGAAAAAAAAAAAAACAACACAAAACCTAATTTTGTGTGTGTGTGTGTGTGTGTGATGGAGTCTCATTCTGTCACCCAAGCTGGAGTGCAATGGCGTGGTTTTGGCTCACTGCAGGCTCCGCCTCCTGGGTTCAAGCCATTCTCCTGCCTCAGCCTCCTGAGTACCTGGGATTACAGGTGCCCGCTGCCACACCCAGCTAACTTTTGTATTTTTTTTTTTTTTTTTTTTTTTTAGTAACGGGGTTTCACCACTTTGGCTAGGCTGGTCTTGAACTCCTGACCTCATCATCCTATGGAATGAGACCACCACTTCTCCTGTTGTCCTTCCCAGTTTCTCCCCAACCTCCCCTTTTCCCTAGCTTATAAGACAGGAGAAAAGGGAGAAAGCAAAAAGTTGGAAAGAAACAGAAGTAAGATAAATAGCTAGACACCCTTGGCGTCACCACCTGGCCCTGGTGGTTAAAATAATAATAATAATATTAACCCCTGACCAAAACTACTGGTGTTATCTGTAAATTCCAGACATTGTATGCAAAAGCACTGTAAAACTTTTTGTTCTGTTAGCTGATGTATGTAGCCCCCAGTCACGTTGCTCACCTTACTTGATCTATTATGACTTTCACGTAGACCCCTTAGAGTTGTAACCCCTTAAAAGGGCTAGGAATCTCTTTTTCGGGGAGCTCGGCTCTTAAGACGCGAGTCTGCCGATGCTCCCGGCCACATAAAAAACCTCTTCCTTTAATCCGGTGTCTGAGGAGTTTTGTCTGTGACTCGTCCTGCTACAATCCGCCCACCTCGGCCTCCCAAAGTGCTGGGATTACAGGTGTGAGCCACCTCGCCCCCCTCTGAAAGAACCTAATTTTATAATTTGCTGATTGGAATCATCTGGGCTGAGATAATTTGCTAATTTTAGAAAAACTGTCCTGGCTGGGCGCTGTGGCTCACTCCTGTAATCCTAGAGCTTTGTGAGGCCGAGGTGGGTGGATCACCTGAGGTCGGGAGTTTGAGACCAGCCTGGCCAACATGGTGAAACCCCATCTCTACTAAAAATACAAAAATTAGCCAGGTGTGGTGGCGCACGCCTGTAATCCGAGCTACTCAGGAGGTCGCTTGAACCCAGGAGGTGGAGGTTACAATGAGCTGAGATCACACCACTGCACTCCAGCCTGGGCGACAGAGCCAGACTCCGTTCCCTTCCCCCTGCGTCATCCCCCCACTTCCCCCAAAAAAAACAACCAACTGACCTGAGCTAATTACCTAGTTGGATTTACAAGTACTGAGTGGGTGGGATGAGTAGAGAATTCTCATCTGACTCAGTTTTATTTCAAGGCTTTATTACAAGACATAATACACATATTTATATAACCCTGTGTGTTTGTATTTTTAACCTATCTACATTTTTATACTGTATCTAAATCCATAGAGTAAAGCTTCCAAAATAAACTGAAATGTGCTTTTAATATCATAGTCTATCTTTAAGTAACAACTCTTGGCTTTTCTTTTTTACCCCATAATTCACTTTTCCAGCCAAAGAATCCCACATAAATATGATATGTTATTCCTATGTCACATTTTCAAAAAAACAGATACCCTATACTGATGAAAGCTGTGAAGAAAAATTTCTAGCACTTTCAAATTTGAGGGAGAGCTTTTAAGCTGAAGCTACTTTATCTTTAGTTCTGTGTTCACCAGAATTAGAGTGGTCAGCCTTGACCTTGCAATAAATGTTTCTCGTGGCCTTAGTGCATTTTCTTTTTGTTTTAAATCTTATTTTACTTTAAGTTCCTGGATACACGTGCAGAACGTGCAGGTTTGTTACATAGGTATACATGTGCCATGGTGCTTTGGTGCACTGATCAACCCGTCATCTAGGTTTTAAGCCCCACATGCATTAGGTATTTGTCCTAATGCTCTTCCTCCCATTGCCCCCGACTCCCCCGACAGGCCCTGGTGTGTGTTGTTCTCCTCCCTGTGTCCATGTGTTCTCACTGTTCAACTCCCACTTATGAGTGAGAACATGCGGTGTTTTGTTTGCTGAGGATGATGGCTTCCAGCTTCATCCATGTCCGTGCAAAAAACATGATCTCATTTTTATGGCTACATAGTATTCCATGGTGTATATGTATCACATTTTCTTTATCCAGTCTATCATTGATGGGCATTGGGTTGGTTCCATGTCTTTGCTATTGTAAAGTGCTGCAATAAACATACATGTGCATGTGTCTTTATATTAGAATCATTTATATTCCTTTGAGTATATATCCAGTAATGGGATTGCTGGGTCAAATGGTATTTCTGGTTCTAGATCCTTGAGGAATTACCACACTGTCTTCCACAATGGTTGAACTAATTTACACTCCCACCAACAGTGTAAAAGCATTCCTATTTCTCCACAGCCTTGCCAGCATCTTTTATTTCTTGACTTTTTAATAGTCACCATTCTGACTGAATCCTGACTATTTCTGCTTCAAGCAAACCTCCATGACCGGGGTGAACCCAGGTTCTGCCTGTTCCCAAACCCTAGCCTTGGCCTCTTTGTCTCTGGGCTTAGCATCCTTACGTGGCACAGAAAGCTCAAAGCTCCTGGCTTGCTCACATCATTAAAATGCCACATTATGAAGACTCAGTGAAAGCATGAAGCTGGATAATTGTATGTTCAAATACTTTCTTTTTCTTTTTTTTTTTTTTTTTTTTTGAGACGGAGTCTGGCTCTGTCGCCCAGGCTGGAGTGCAGTGGCGCGATCTCCGCTCACTGCAAGCTCCGCCTCCCGGGTTCACGCCATTCTCCTGCCTCAGCCTCCCGAGTAGCTGGGACTACAGGCGCCCGCACCACGCCCGGCTAATTTTTTGTATTTTTAGTAGGGACCGGGTTTCACCGTGTTAGCCAGGATGGTCTCGATCTCCTGACCTCATGATCCGCCCGCCTCGGCCTCCCAAAGTGCTGGGATTACAGGCGTGAGCCACCGCGCCTGGCCCAGTTCAAATACTTTCAACAAGTGCAAATGTATAGGCTTAAAGAAATAGAACTGGCCAGGTGTGGTGGCTCATGCCTGTAATTCCAGCACTTTGAGAGGCTGAGGTGGGTGGATCACTTGAGGTCAGGAGTTCAAGACCAGCCTGGCCAACATGGTGAAACCCCATTTCTACTAAAAATACAAAATTAGGCTGGGGTCTGTGGCTCATGCCTGTAATCCCAGCACTTTGGGAGGCCGAGGAGGGTGGATCACCTGATGTCAGGAGTTTGAGACCAGCCTGGGCAAACATGGCGAAACCCCGTCTCTACTAAAAATGCAAAAATTAGCTGGGCATGGTGGCGCATGCCTGTAATCCCAGCTACTAGGGAGGCAGAAGTTGCAGTGAGCTGAGATCACGCCACTGGACGCCTGGGTGACAGAGCGAGACTGTCTCAAATAATATATATACGTATATATACACACACATACGTACATATGTATAAATATGTATATGTGTATATATGTATGAATGTGTATATATGAATATATATACACAATGTATGTATATATGTGTATGTGTGTATATATGCATGTATATATGTGTGTGTATGTGTATATGTATGTGTATATGTGTGTGTGTATATTTATATATGTATGTATACATATGGGTTTATATATATATGTGAAAACAATTATGTGCACTTTTTAGACCCAAGAGTTGAATCCCTGGAACTTAACAGCACAAGGATTTTTCAGGCAATACAGAGAGTTGCATGAATACAATAATCTTTTTAAATTCATAATTTGAGTTAACTTTTAGATAACTCTTGAATTAGACAAAATTATTCATTTTTCAATGAGAACCTATCTTTTTGGCACATTTAATATAAACCTATGAAGCAAAAATTTGTGAACTGCCCATCAGATATGAGCATTTCATAGATGAGGACCATTCCACAATTTTGAAACAGATTTTCAAAATACTATTTTTTATCTTATCTATGTACCCAATTTTTTCATTTTTAGCCATTTATTTAGACTACTTCTGAAAACTGAGATATTACACAAAGGTAGTTATTATTTAAAGTTATTTGTTAACCATTTTAAAGCTTGAGAACATTAGGTGTTTATGTAAAAACCTTTAAGTTAAATACACGGACATTTTGTTGATAACTCAGAATGTGTAGCTTTTTAAATACACCGTATTAAATGTCTCATTTATTAAAAATCACAAAAAGATTATTCTGCCTTGAGCTGGGTTTATAGTTTTATAATTTTCATGCTAAATGTTGACACCTAATGAAATATGGCACAGAGGTGATATTGTGACTGTTGCACACCCAGATGACAGTAAAGATTGTCATTCTTTAACAGTAACACAACCCACCACTGAGGCTCTGAATCTCACATTAGGAAGCTGACAAAAGTTGGAAAATTGCCTCTCATAGGTGAATCCTGTCCACAGGTGGGTTGGTGACTCTCAGACCAAGATTCAGCACAGCTGTGAGGCTGTGACTTCACTAAGGGTACACAGTCTGCAGGAGGGACTGAGGCTGTCATGCGTGGATCCAGTCCACTGTTGAAATTGTGAGTCATATACTGAGACCCAACATATAGGAAGTGTTGCCTCATACCTATAACTGGGAAATGTACAGGATTGTTCATTTTATCCCTGGACTTCCCTGCAGGTGTGACTGAGAAATAAACCTCTGCCCAGCCTTTGACTTATTTGACTTTTCTGCCTCAGACCAGCCCACCTATGGGATTGTGATATGTCACTAGACCCCACAACTAGGTATTGTGACTCTATTCTCCTTCCTTGGCACTGTCTAAAGGGGGCATATGATATATTGCTTATCCTTAAAGTCAGGTGATGTCAGTCTCTTCTGCCTTGGCACTGCTTATAGGGGGCATTGTGACATATCACTGGGCTCTACACCCATAACTCACATTATGTAACTCTCCATTCCTGGGCCCTGCTCATAGTGGCCATTGTGACATATTGCTGACTCCGAAACCCAGGTGATGTAACTCTTCTGCCTTGGCCCAGCCTGCAGAGGGCATTGTGACACACCTCTGCAAACATCACCAAGGTGATTTGACTCTTCTGACAATTCCATGTCCCAAAAGGTGATTGTGACATATCACTGAGCTCAGCACCTAGCTGATGTGACCTTTTTCTTCCTAGGTTCTGCCTGCAAAGAAGATTGTGACATATTGCTGGTTGCAACACCACGGTGATGTTACTTTTTGCCTTCTCACTGCCCTCAGAAGGCATTGTGATATGTTGGTGGTCCCAGCTTCAAAGAAATGTAAGTATCCTCTCTGGACCCTTCCCACAAAGGGCATTGTAACATATCTCTGCACCCATCAACTATTTGATATGACTCTCTTCTCTGACCTGGGCTCTGCCCACAGGAGTCATTGTGACATGTTTCTGGGCCCGTCACCTAGTTGATGTGACTCTCCTCTGCCTAGGCCCTGTCCATGATGGGGATTGTGACATACTGCCTGATCAAGCACCTAAATGGTGTGACCCTTTTCTCATGCCTGGACCCTGCCCAATAAAGCAATTTTAACATATAGCTGAACTCATCTTCTAAGTTATGTGACTCTCTGCTTTGATTTGAGCCCTATAAACAGAAGGCATTGTGACATATCTCTGCTTTTCTCACCTGGATGATGTGACCTTCCTACCTGGGACCCCCTTAGGGAGTATTGTGACAATTTGCTTGACCCAAAACCTGTGTGATGTCACTCTCCTCTACCGCTTGGCTTCTTTCCACAGAAGGAATTGTGATCTATCACTGGGCCCAGCACGCAGGTAATACAACTCTCCTGCATAGGCCCTGCCCACAGGGATGATTGTGAAAGATTGCTGATCCCAGCCCCCTACGTGATGTGACTCTTCTCTTCTGCCTGGGTCTTATTTTCTAAGCACATTGTGACATAATGCTGAGCTGACAATCAGGTTAATGTGACTTTTCCTTTTTTTGTGGTTTGTTGAGATTTAGGGCCTAATTTTTATTTATTTTTTCAAAAAGAATTTACAAGATACAAAGGTCTCACAATACATTATCACTGATGATTGCCAACTTTTTTGTTTGTTTGTTTGAGACAGGGTCTCCCTCTGTCACCCAGGCTGGAGTGCCGTGGTGGGATCGTAGCTCACTGCAATCTCCACCTCCCGGGCTCAAGCATTTCTCATGCCTCAGCCTCCTGAGTAGCTGGGATTACAGGCACCCACCGCCACAGCCTGGCTAATTTTTGTATTTAATAGAGATGGGGTTTCACCATGTTGGCCAGGCTGGTCTCAAACTCCTGACCTCAGGTGATCTGCCTGCCTTGGCCTCCCAAAGTGCTGGGATTACAGACGTGAGCCACCGTGCTTGGCTGACCAAAGGGATTTAACTCTTCCCCCTCTTGCCTGGGATGTATCGCTGGGTTCAACATTTAGGTAATGCAACTTTCCTGCAAGGACCCTGCTTACAGAGGCATTGTGACATATTGATAAGTCTATCACCAAGGGGATGTAACTCTCTTCTTTGAGACCTGCCTACAGGGGGCATTGTGACATATCTCTATGCCTATTACTCAGGTGATGTGATTCTCTTTTACTGCTTGTTTTTGGTCACAGAAGCTATTTGGAAATATCATTGGCCCAGCACCCAGCTGATGTGACACTTCCATTTTTCCTATATTCTGCCCACAGAAGAGATGTGACATATGGCTGGACCCAGTACCTACATGATGTAACTCCTCTTCTGCCTGGGCCTTGCCCTCAGGAGATATTACAATATATTACTGGACCCAGCAACTAAGTGATTTGACTGTCCTGTTTTGCCCTGCTTTCTGGGAGGATTGTGACATAATTGCCTGGTCCAGTACCTAGGTGATGTGACTCTTCTCCTGCCTGGGCCTAGTCCACAAGGGACATTGTGACATATTGCTGGACCTAGCATCCAAGTAATTGTGACTTTCCTGCCTGGTTGTGACATATTGCTGAACCCAGCACCCAGCTGATGTGACTCTTCTGCCTGGGCTTTATTCTTAGGGGTTTGTGACATATCTCTGCATTCATCAACTGTTTGATGAGAACTCTCCTCTCTCACCTGGGCTTTGCTCAAAAGAAAGACAGTGAAATATCTCTGGACCCAGCACCTAGGTGATGTGTCTCTCCTCTATTGCTAGTGCTCTGCTCAGAGTGAAATTGTGATGTATTGCTGAGTCTAGCAGCTAGGTAATAAGATTCTTCTATATGGGCCCTGCCCAAAGGGGTGTTATGACATATCCTTTTATTTATCACCTAGGCAAAGTGACTCTCTTTATTTGCCTGGACCCTAACCAAAAAGAGAATTGTGACATAGCACTGGATCCAGCACCTTGGTGCTTTTTTTTTTTTTTTTTTTTTTGCCTGGAGCCTGCATATTTTGGGTATTGTGACATATTGCTGAGCTGAACACCCAAGGGATGAGAGACTTTTCCTGGGCCCTGTCTACAGTAGCCCTTGTGACATATGTCTGCATCCATCACCTTGGGGATGTGATTTCCCTCTTTTTCATGCATGCTGCCCAAATGGAAGATTGCAATATATCGCAGGGCCCAGCAACCAGGTGATGTGTCTCTTCTCATTTGGCCTTGCCCACAGGGAGCATTGGAATATATTGCTGGGCCCAGTATCCAGGGGTTTGACTCTTCTGCTGCCAGTTCCCTGCTCTCAGAAGGGGGTCGTAACATATCTTTGGCCAAGCACCTGGGTGATGGGACTCTCCAGCTGGGTTCATGCTTTCAGGGAAGATTGTGACATATCCCTGGCAGAGAGGCAGTCGATGTGTCTCTCCTTGCTCCATGCTCACAGATGGGATTGTGAAATACATCTTAGCCCCGCTCACATATGCAATGAGGACTCTCATACCTTGAGCCAGCCAATAAGAGTGATACCATTTATGTTAGGTAACCTTAAGGAAATGGGTAAAATTCTGGGTCTTCTCTTTATACTAAGGTCATAGAGGATTACCACTCTTCTGCATATTGTATACAACCTTCATTTGGTGCACAGAATGTTATCACAGAGCCCAGCAAAAATATGAGACTGTGGTTTTAGTATGCACACTCCACCAAGTGTTAGGATTGTCACCCTTTAAACATGGAAAGAAACCACTGGTGAGGTCCTTAATCTCACACGTGGGCACAGTCCATAGTTGGAATAGTGACTGTCATAAGTAATCATCTGGCTAAAGTTGGGATGGTGACTCATTTCTAGATCATAGGCAGGCAAGGACTCTCATATCTAGACCCAGCCAATTGGAGAGATGTTGACTCTCATACTTGGGCTTAGTGCCACAGGTTCAAAAATGGGTCCATACCAGCAAGAAGGTCTCGGTGGATTTCCAACTCTCATGCATACCATATAAAGCCCTCAGATAATACAGAGAGTGTCTTAACAGGGCCCCACACACAGGCAACATTGTGACACTTGTATGCACACCCAGCCAACAGTAAAGATTGTTATCCTCACACATGAATGCAGCCCCCTATTGAGGTTTGGAATCTGACACCCAGAAAGAGTCAGAAGTTGGAAAATTGACTCTTGTACATGGATTTCATCCATAGGTGGATTGGTGTCCCTGAGTCCAACACTCAGCATACCTGTGAGCCTGTGACTCCACTAAAACAGTCTGCACAAAAAAATTAAGGCACTAATTCACAGATCCAGTCCACTACTGAAACTGTGACTCCTGTACTTAGTCTCAATATGCAGGTGGTGTTTACTCTTATATTGAAAACTGGGATGTGTCTGGGAGTGTTAATCTCATCTGTGGACCTTTGTGCAGATGAGACTGTGACATATACCTCTGCCCATCACCTGATTTGACTCTTCTGCCTGGGACCAGACAACAGATGGGACTGTGACATCACTGGACCTAGCATTTAAGTAATGTGACTCCATTTGTCTGCCTTGGTACTGTGTGGCAAGGGGCATTGTGCCATGTTGCTGGGAATTGCACCCAGGTGATGTAAACCTATTCCCCTGCCTTGGGGCTGCCCCCAAAACACATTGTAACATATCACTAATCTCTGCACCCAGGTTCCGTGACTCTCCTGTCTGTGCCCTGCCTACATGGATTATTGTGACATATTGCTGGGTCCAACACCCAGGTGATGTAACTCTCCTGCTTGAGTCCTGCCTTGAGTCCAGGGGGGCATTGTGAAATATCTCTGCACTCATAATTCTGGTGATTTGACTCTCTTCTTGCCAGGTCTCTGCTCACAGGGGGGATTTTGATGTATCGCTAAGCCCAGCACCTAGCTAATGTAAGTTTTCTCTTCTTCTTAGGTTCTGCCTGTAGAAAAGATTGTAACATAATGCTGGGCCCAACTTCAAGGTGGCATTACTTTTTTGACTTGGCCTTGCTCTCAGAAGACATTATAACATACTGCTGGGCCCAGAACCAAGGTGATGTTAAGTCTTCTGACTAAAACCTACCCACAGAAGACATTGTGACATATCTCTGGGCCCATCAACTATTTGATGTGACTCTACTCTTATCTGAGTTTTTTTAATAAAAGAGATTTTGACATATCTTTGGGCCCAGCACCTAGGTGATTTGACTCTCTTCTGCTGTGTGAGCCATGACCAGAGATGGAGAGTGACTTATCGCCTGAACCAGCACACAAATGTAATTATTCTGATTTCTTTCCAAAGAAGTCATCGTGACATATTTTTGAGGCCATCGCCTAAATGATACAATTTTTTTTTCCTTGGGCCTTGCCCACTGAGGTGATTGTGAAATACAGCTGGGCTCAGCCCTTAGGTTATGTGACTCTCCTCTTTTTTTCTGAGCCCTATCCACAATGGGCATTGTGACATATCTCTGGGCCCATCACCTAGGTGATGTGACTCTTTTCTGGGCCTTCACTCAGGGTACATTATGATATATACCTGTATCTAGCACCTAGGTAATGTGACTCTCCTATTCTGCCTGGGCCGTGCATATATTGTGTACTGGGACATATTTCTGGGTCCAGCACCTAGGTGATTTTGCCCTCCAGCACAGCCCCTGCCATCAGGGTTATAATATATCTTTCTATTCATCACCTACATGATGTGACTCTTTTTGTTTGCCTTTGTCCTGCCAAAAAGGGGATTGTGACATTTCACCCAGCACCCAGGTGATGTGACTCTCCTCTTACGATTGGGACTTAGAATTTTTGGTAGTGTGACATACTGCTGAGCTTAACACCTTGGCAGTTGGAGGCTCTTGCCTGGGCCTGGCTCACAGTTGCCCTGTGACATAATTTTGCATCAATCATCTGGGAGATGTGACTCTTCTTTTCTACCTTCACTCTGCCCAAAGGGAAGATTGTCACATATCGCTGGGCTCAGCAACCAGGTATGTGTCTCTCCTGCTTGTGACTTGCCAACAGAGAGCATTGTGACATACTCCTGAGCCAATCACACTGGTGATGGGACTCTGCTTCATGTGACTTGCTTTCAGGAAGAAATTGTAACATATCTCTGGTTGAGCACCCAGGTAATGTGACCCCTCCTGCCTCACCCCTGCCCTCTGGAAAGATTGTGACATAACTCTGGCCTATCACTGAAGTGATGTGACTCTTCTGTTGGCTCTCTGTGGACAGTATCTGGGATTACAGGCACATGCCACCACCCCCAGCTAATTTTTTGTATTTTAGTAGAGACGGGGTTTCACCATGTTGGCCAAGATGGTCTTCATCTCCTGACCTTGTGATCCGCCCATCTCGGCCTCCCAAAGTGCTGGGATTACAGGCGCGAGCCACCACGCCCGGCCCGGGATGGTGACTCATTTCTAAACCCAGCTCATAGGCAGGTGAGGACTCTCCAATCTAGATCCATCCAGTTGGAGACATATTGATTCGCATATCTAGGCTTAGAACCATTGGTATGATTATTTGTCTATATCATCACAAAGGTTGCAAAGAAGACTGCGACTCTTATGCATACTGTATAAAACACTTGAATAGTGCTGAGTGCTGAGCTCAGCATACAGGTGACATTGTGACATTTAGATGTACACCCAACAGACAGCAAAGATTGTCATCATTCTACATTAACAGTCCACTGTTGCGTTTCTGAATCTCACACTCAAAGTCAGTCGAAAGTTGGATAACTGACTGTATACATGGATGACTGTCATACGTGGACTCCATCCACAGGTGGGTTGCTGACTTTCAGACCAAGATTTAGCACACCCATGATGTTGTGAATCCACGGAGGAGACAAAGTCTGCAGGAGAAGTTTAGGCTCCCAAACACATGTCTAGTCCACCAATGAGATTGTGACTTGTGTACTTACGTTGCGGGAAATTAAGGAACCGGAGAGACCAAATGGAGGGCAGGAAGTGTTTATTTAAGGTGTACACTGGCTCAGTGGACATGTGTCCTGAAAGTCTGAGCCCCGAACAAAGAAAACGAGTTCCTTTTAAGTATTTTGAGGCGGGCACTATGTGAAGCAGGAAGCAGGCTTACAGAAGCAAGAACAAAGGCTGCTGTGATATTTTTGCAACATGTCTTACATCTTTGGGAATACTTGGTTTGTAGCTTATGCTTATTTGTTTTGTGACCTTGCAGCTGTGCAGGGAAGAAAGGAACAGGAGCTTATAGAGCCTACAAAATATGTGGAGAGTGGATATGGTTAATGTTTCTTGGGACAGGCAGTTAATTTTTTTTTTAACTTTAACTTCGTGGGGCGCTACTTAAATTTTTTTCAGCCATGGTTAATACAGCAATTCATTCTATGAGCTATTATTATTTGTCTTACTATTACTATAATCTTTACTATTATTACTTATGCTATTATTTTGTTATTTTCTTAATTTCTTACTTCACTTATACCCAACCTACAGTGAGCAGTGACTCTCATAACAAGAGCCAGGAAAGGTGTGAGATTGGTAGTCTCATCCCTGGACCTCCTGCAGGTGTGATTTTGACATACACCTCTCCTCAGCACCTGAGTGATTTGACTCTCCTGCCTGAGTCCAGCTTACAAATGAGATTGTGACATATCACTGGACCCAGCACCTTGGTAATATGACTATCCTCCTGCTTTGGCACTGCCCACAGAAGGTATTGAGACATATTGCTGAGCCTAGCACTTCTATGATTTGACTCTGCTGCCTGTACCCTGCTTTCAGGAAGGGATTGTAGCATATCTGGCTGAGCATCTAGGTGATGTGACTCTCTTGCCTGGTGCCTGCCCTCAGGAAATATTGTGATATATATATATATTGCCCTCAGGAAATATTGTGATATATATAAAAT
This sequence comes from Homo sapiens, assembly GCF_000001405.40. Lineage (NCBI taxonomy): Eukaryota > Metazoa > Chordata > Mammalia > Primates > Hominidae > Homo > Homo sapiens. Next base: position 64,606,771 of record NC_000007.14, read on the forward strand.
ATATGATCCAGATCAAGGTGCAATAGTAACTATTGTAACTTGAGTCAGCAAATAGGAGAGATACTGTCTCTTGTAGCTAGGCTTAGGGTACTAGGTAAGATTCTGGGTCTCCTCTTTGTATGAAGGTCATAAAGAATTACCACTCACTCACATACCTTATAAAGCCCTCAAATGTTACAGACAGTGTAATTACAGGGCCCGGCACACAGGTGAGATTGTGTTTTTTCTATGCATACCCTGCCAACTGTTAGGATTGTCACCCTCACACATTGAAAGAGCCCACTGGTGAGGTTCTAAACTACACACATGTATGAGGTCTACAGTTGAAATTGTGATTGTCAAATATCAACATCCTGCTACAGTTGAGACGGTGACTCATTTATAAACCCAGCTCATAGGTAGGTGAGAACTCTTATATCTGGACCCAGCCAATTGAAGGGATGTTAACTCTTGTACTTGCTCTTAGGTCCACAGGTACAATCATGGGTCCATACCAGCATGAAGGTCTCATACCAAATTTATTTTTTTGTTTTTTTATTATTATTTTCTTGAGACAGAGTCTCTGTTACCCAGGCTGGAGTGTAGTGGCGTAATCTCGGCTCACTGAAACCACCGCCTTCCGGGTTCAAGCAATTCTTCTGCCTCAGCCTCCTGAGTAGCTGGGACTACAGGCGTGCGCCACCACACCTGGCTAATTTTTGTATTTTTAGTAGAGATGGGGTTTAGTAGAGATGGGGTTTCACCATCTTGGCCAGGCTGGTCTTGAACTCTTGACCTCGTGATCTACCCACCTCGGCCTCCCAAAGTGCTGGGATTACAGGTGTGAGTCACCACGCCTGGCCAACAAATTGCCACATTCTAAAGCCCTTGGGTGGTACTGAGTGTGTTTTTAACAGGGCCCAGCACACAGGTCAGATTGTGTTACTTGTATACATACCCAGCCAATTGTAAAGATTGTCATCTTTTATGAACTGTGTTTATAGGTGCTCAGGTTCTGAATGTGCTCAGGTTCTGAATATCACATCTGAAGGTGGTGGAAAGTTGGAAAATTGACTCCCCTACATAAATTCCATTCACAGAATGATGGGTGACTCAGGACCAAGATTTAGCACATTTGTGAGGCTGTGACTCTGCTACAGGTACACAGTCCATGGGGAATTGAGGCTCTCAGGCACAAATCTATCCACAGTTAATATCGTCACTGTGTACTCAGAAAAAAAATACAGGGGATGTTGACTCTCTTACTTAGAACTAGGACATGTGCAAGATTGTTAATCTCATCCCTAGACGTTTTTGCAGGTGTGATTATGACATATGCCTCTTCTTAGCGCCTGAATGATTAGACTCTTGCTTGCGCCCAGCCCACAAGTGGAAATTGTGACATATTGCTGGACCCCAACCTAGGTGATGTGACTCTATTCTTTTTCCTTGGTACTTCCCACAGGAGCATCTTGACAGATCGCTGGGCCTTGCACCCAAGTGATGTGAGTCTCCTCTGCTGCCTTTGTGCTTTCCACAGGGAACATTGTGACACATCGCTGGGCAGCACACCCGGGTTATGTGACTCTCCTGCCTGTGCCCTGCCCAAGTGAGCCATTGTAACATTTTACTTGGTCCAACACCCAGTTGATGTAACTCTCCTGCCTGGGCCCTGCCTACAGGGTCATTGTGTCATATCTCTGTTGCCATTACTGTCGTGATGTGACTCTCTTCTCCTCTTGGGATTTTATGTGTTGGCATACTTCTGGGGTCTTGCATTACTTCTCCTAACCCACCCAACTCCTGAGATCTCACTGGGAAGCTACTGATGACCAGTTTTAGGTGTTTCGTATTTATTAGGAGACTGCCTGTCCCTGGCAACAGCTGTCACCAATTATTACTTTAGAGAGATAGTTCACTGCCTGGCCATTACCTGATTGCTGCCTGACATTTCTGGTGTGTGTGGAGTGGGGTGCCCTTTCTTGCCCTGCCTATGCTGGACTAGCTACCTACTGTCACACTGCATGCATTTGTTTTGTGACATATGGCTGGGTCCAATACCTAGGTGAGGTGACTCTCCTGCATGGGTCCTGCCCACAAGGGTATTATGATATATTTTTACATTCATGATTTAGGTGATGTGGCCTTCTCCTTCTGCCTGGTCTCTGCCAAAATGTAGGATGGTGATGTATCACTGGACCTAGCACCTAGGTGATGTGACTCTCCTCTTTCATGGGCCCCACATATGAGTACTGTGACATATCACTGGGCCAAACATGTAGAATTTGGGAGGTGCCTGCCTATGCCCTGCAAACAGGGCTCTAGCCCTACAACGCTCAAGAGCCTTGTGACATATCTCTGTATTCCTCACCAAGGAGATGTGACTCCTCTGCTGCTGCCTGCACCTGGCCCACAGGGAAGATTGTGACAATAACATTGACTCAGCAACAGGGTGATGTGCTTCCTTTTCCTGGGCCTTGCTCCCAGGGAGCATTGTGACATGTCACTGGGCTCAGCACCCAGGTGCTGTGACTCTGCTGCCCATGCCCTGCTTTCAGAACAGGATTGTAACATATCCCTGGCTGATCACCCAGGTGATGTTACTCTTCTGCCTGGTTCCTGCCATCAGGGAAGATTGTGACATATTCCTGTCCTAGCGACCAGGTGATGTCACTCTCCTGCTCACTCTCTATCGACAGGTGGGATTGTAAAATATATCCTTGTTCAGCTTGTGGGTGAGATGATAACTCTCATGCCTCAAACCAGCCAATAGGAGAGATACTGTTTTTTGAAGCTAGGCTTAGGAAAATGAGTAAGGTCCTGGATCTCCTCTGTATGAATATCATAGTTGATTACCAGCCTCTCACATATATAAATTTTTCAAGTGGTACAGACAGTCTCATCACAGGACCCAGGACCCAGGTGAGATTGTGTTTTTCATATGCACACTATCAGCCATTAGGATTTTGCCCTCACACATGGACAGAGCCTACTGGTAAGGTCTTGAATCTCACATGTGGATGGAGTTGAAATTGTGACTGTTATTTGTGAACATCTGGCTGCAGTTGGGATGGTGACTCATTTCTAATCTAGCTCCTAGGCAGGTGAGGACTCTTATTTTTCATTTTTATTTTATTTATTTTTATTTTTTTGGAGACAGTATCTCACTCTGTCACCCAGGCTGGGGTGCAGTAGTTTAATAATGGCTCACTGCAACCTCCACCTCCTGGCTTTAATCGATTCTCCTGCCTCAGCCTCCTGGGTAGCTGGGATTACAGATGTGCACCACCACACCGGGCTAATTTTTGTATTTTTAGTAGAGATGGGGTTTCACCATGTTGGCCAGGCTGGTCTCGAACTCCCGACCTAAAGTGATCCACCTGCCTCGGCCTCCCAAAGTGCTGGGATTACAGGCATGAGCCACCATGCCTGTCCTCTTTTACGTGGAACCAGCCAGTGATAGAGATGCTGACTCTCATACCTGGGCTTAGAGACACAGGTACAATCATGGGTCTATACCTTCATCATGAAGGTCATAGAGTGGTTTGCAACTCTCGTTAATACTGTAGAAATCTCTCGTGTGGTACTGAGAGAGCCTAGAACACAGACAAAATTGTGACACTCATACACCCACCCAGCCAACAGTAAAAATTGTTATCTTTCCACATGAACACAGCCCACTGTTGAGGTCCTGAGTCTCCCTCATGAAAACAGTCAAAAGTTGGAAAATTGACTTTATTTTTTTTTTTTTTTTTAGAGTCTCACTCACTGTAACACACAGGCTAGACTGCAGTGGTGCAATCTCAGCTCCTGCAACCTCCACTTTCTGGGTTCAAGCAATTCTCGTGCCTCAACCTCCTGCGTAGCTGGAATTACAGGCATGTGCCACCACACCCAGCTAATTTTTGTATATTTTCTACAGACAGGGTTTCACCATGTTTCCCAGACTGCTCTCAAACTCCTGGCCTCAAGTGATCCAGGCCTGCCTCGACCTCCCAAAGTGCTGGGATTACAGACATCAGGCACCACCCCCAGCCTGGAAACTTGACTCTTATATGTGGATGCATTTCACAATATTTAGCACATCTGTGAGTCTGTGACTCCAGTAAGGGTACACAGTCTGCAGGAAGACTTCAGGCTCTCATAAACAAATCGAGTGCACCATTGAGATTGTGAGTCTCTTAATTAGACCCAACATACAGGAGGTGTTGACTCAAATTTAGAACTGGGACATGTGTGAGATTGTTAATCTAACCTCTAAGCCATCCTGCAGGTGTGATTTTGGCATATGTCTCTGCTCAGTACTTGAGTGATTTGACTCTCCTGTCTGGGCCCAGTCTATAGGCACAATTGCGACATATCACTGAACCAGCACATGTGACTCCATACTCCTGCCTTGGTGCTGCCCACAGGGGAGATGGTGGAATATCACTGGGCCTTGCATCCAAGTGATGTAAGTCACCATTTCTTTATTGGCACTGCCTACGGGGGACACTGGCGTATCTCTGGGCTCAAAACCCAGCTTATGTGATTCTCCTATTTTTTCCCTGCCCACATGGGCCATTGTGACATACTGCTTAGTGTAACACCCATGTAATATAACTCTTCAGCCTCAGCCTTGCCTACATGGGCGTTGTGATGTATCTCTGCACTCATCACCCAGGTAATGTGACTCCTGTCTGGTTTCTGTTCAGATGGGATATTTTTGCCTATTGCTGGGTATAGCACCTAGCTGATGGGACTCTTCCCATCTTTCTAAGGCCCACCCGCATGGAAGATGGTGACATTTCACTTTGCCCTACACTAAGGTGACATTAATCTGTTGCCTTTGCCCTACTTTCAGAAGACATTGTGACATATTGCTGGGCCCAGCACCCAGGTGATGTGAGTCTCCTGCCTGAGCCCTGCTCACAGAGGGCATTGTGACATACTTCTGACTTCATCAACTATTTGATGTGACTCTCCTATCTTACCTGGGCTTTGCCCATAAGAAAAAATGTGACATATCTCTGGGACCAAAACCTAGGTGATGTGACTCTCTTCTGACAGGGTCATGCCCACAGAAGAAAGATGGCTTATTGCCAAACCCAGCACACAGGTGAGGTAATCCTGTCTGGTCCCTGCCCACAGGGGTTATTTTGACATATCTCTAAGCCCATCAGCTAGATTACGTGACTGTCTTCTTCCTGTAAACTGTACAGAGAGAATATTGTGACATATCACTTGGTCCAGAACCTATGTGATGTGACTGTCATGACTGGGCCCTGTCATTTGGGGTGATTGTGAAACAGGTGGCATGAGCAGGACCTAGGTTATGTAACACTTTTCTTCTCTCTTAGCCCTACACACAGATGACAATGTAGCATATCTCTGGGTCTTTCACATAAATAATTTTACTTTTTTGCCTGGGCCATGTCCGGTAACATATTGCTGGACCTAGAAACTAGGTGATGTGACTCTCCTCTACTGCTTAGGCTCTGGCAAAAAAAAAAAAAAAAAAAATTGTGGTGTATTGCTGGGCCAGTACCTAGGTAATGTGACATTTTTCTATTGCCTGGGCCCTGTGTATTCTGGGTATTCTGACATATCGCTGGGCCCAACATGTAGGGAATGGGAGTACCACCTGGGCCCTGCTCACATGGGGCCTTGTGACATATCTCTTTATCCATCACCTAGGAAATGTGTCTCTCCTCTTCTGCCTGCACCTTGCCAACAGAGAAAATTGTGACATATTACTGAGCCTAGCAACCAGGTGATGTGTCTCTCCTGCCTGGGCCTGGCTGACAGAAAGCAGTGTGATATATTCCCGGGCCCAGCAAACAGGTAATGTGACTCTCCTGCCTAGTCCCTGGCCTCCAGGAAGATTTTGACATATTCCTGGCTCCAAAAAACAGGTGACGTGACTCTACTTATCATTCCCTATCCACGGGTGTAATTGTCACATTTATCTTGGCCTAGCTCACAGATGGCATAAGTCTCATACCTTGAACCAGCCAATAGCAGAGATCCTGTGTCTCTTAGCAAGGCTTAGGCAAATAGGTGAGTTCATGGGCCTCCGCTTTATAAAGATTGTAAATGCCATTCTCTTGCATATTGTGTAAAGGTCTTGAATGGTACAGAAAGTGTCATTACAGAGCCTAGCACACAGGTAAGGTTGTGTTTCTCATATGCTCACCCTAAAAACCCTTAGTATTGTCAACCTCCCACATGGATGGAACTCACTAATGAGGTTCTTAATCTCACAAACACAGTCCATAGTTGAAATTGTGACTGTCATATGTGAACATTCAGCCAGAGTTGAAATGGTGAAACATTTCTAAACCCAGCTCCTAGGCAGGTAAGGCATCTTCTTTCTGGACTCAGCCAATTGGAGACATGTTGACTCTCATACCTGGGCTTAGGGCCACAAGTACAATCATGGGTCCATACCAGCATGAAGGTCTCAGACAAGATTGCACTCCCATGCATACAGTACAAAGCCCTCAAGTAGGACAGAGAATGTTCTAATAGACCTCAGGACACAGGTGAGATTGTGACACTCATAAGCACACCCAGCCAACAGTAATGATTGTCACCCTCCCACATGAACACAACACATTGTTGAGATTCTGAACCCCACAATAAAAAAAAAGTGCCAAAAGTTGAACAATTGTCTCATCGTTTATTTCAGTCCACAGGTGGGTTATTGACACTCAGACCAAGATTCAGTACACCTGAAAGACTGTGACTCCACTAAGAAAACAGTCTGTGAGAGGAATTGAGGCTCTCGTCCATGGATCTAGTCCACTGTTGAGATTGTGAATCATGTACTTAGGCCCAACATAAAAGAGGTGTTGATTCTCATACCTGGAACCTGGACATGTGCAGGATTGTTAATCTCATTTATGAACATTCCTGCAGCTGTGATTGTGACATATGCCTCTGCCCAGCACCTGAGTGATTGAATTCTTCTGCCTGGGCTCAGCCCACAGATTGGATTGTGAAACATTGCTGAACCCAGGACCTAACTAATGTAAATCTATTCTCCTGCCTTGGCACTGCCCACTGGGAACCCTGTGACATATTGCTGCACCCAACACCCAGGTTATGTGGCTCTCCTGCCAGTGCCTTGCCCACACGGGCTGTTGTGACATATTGCTGGGTCCACACCCAGGTGATATAATTCTCTTGCCTAGGCCCTGCTTACAGAGAGCATTGTGACATATCTTTCTGCTCATCACACAGTTAATAAGACAGTTTCTGCCTGGTTTCTCCTTACAGGGTGTATCAAAACAGATTGCTAGGCCCAGCACCTAGCTGATGTGACTCTTTCTAGGTTTTGCCCACAAGGAACATTGTGACATATCACTGGGCCCAACAGCAAGGTGATGTTGCCCTTTTGCTTTGGCCTTGCTCTCAGAAAGCATTGTGACATATTGCTGAACCCAGCACCAAGGTGATGTGAGTTGGTATGCCTGGACCCTGCTAACAAGAGGCATTGTGACATACTTCTGGGACCATCATCTATTTGATGTGACTCTCCTTTTACCTGGGCTTCTGTTGTAAAAGAGATTGTGACATAACTCTGGGCCTAACAGCTAGGTAATGTGACTTTTCTTTTGCTTGGACCATGCCCAAGGAAAGAGAGTGATGTATTACTAAGCTCATCACATACGTGGTGTAATTTCTTCTGCTCGGTCTTTGCCCACAGGAATCATTTTGCTGTATTTCTGATTCATCACCTAGTTGATGTGACCTTTCTTTTTTCAGACTTGTCTGCAGCGCAGATTGCTACATATTGCTTGGCCCAGCTCCTATGTGATGTGACTCTCCTGTCATACCTGAGTGCTCCCCACTGCGGTAATTGTGACATATAGCTGGGCTCTGGCCCTAGTTTATGTAACTTTTCTTCCTGACTGCTACTCACCTGGGGGCATTGTGACATATCTCTGAACCTCTCACCTAAGTGATGTGAATCTCCTGCTTGAGCCCACTTCTCAGGGAGTATTATTATATATTGTCACACACAGCAACTAGGTGATATGACTCTCTCTACAGCTTGGACTCTGCCCAATAAAAAACTGTGATGTATCACTGGACCCAGCACCAAGGCTATGTGACTCTCCTGCCGGGGCTCTACATTCATTGTTTTTGTGACATACGGCTGGGAATAATGTCTAGGTCATGTGACTGTCCTGCATGGACCCTGCCCACAGGGGTATTATGACACATTTTTTTAGTCATCTAGGTGATGTGACTCACTTCTGCCTGGGCCCTGCCAGAAAGAATGATAGTGACTTATCACTGAACCCAGCACTTAAGTGATGTGACTCTCCTCTTTTGCCTGGACCTTGCATGTTTTTGGTATTGTGACATATTGCTGGGCCCAACACCTAGGAAATGAGACATTTTTGCTTCAGCCCTGACTACAGGCAGCTTTCTGACATTACTCTGTATCCATCACATAGGGCATACGTCTCTCATCTCTTCTGCCTGCACCTGCCCACAGGGAAGATGGTGACATAACACAACAACTAGGTGATGTGTCTCCAGCCTGGGCCTAGCCCACCAGAAGTATTGTGACAGCTGGTTTCTGAGCCCAGTGATATGTTACAATGCTCCCTGTGGAGCCCCCTGTGACACCTGGTCTCAGAAACTAGGTGATGTGACTACTGCCCAAGCCCTGCTTTTAGAAAGGAATTGTGACTTATCACTGGCCAAATGTGACATGAGCCTCCTGCCTGGTCCTTGCTTTCAGAGAAGACCATGACATATCTCTGTTCCAGCACCCAGGTGATGTGATAATACTGCCTGGGCTCTCCCCTCAGGAAGTATCAAGACATATTTCTGGACCCAGCCCATAGGTGGTATGACTGTCCTCCACTACTTAGACTCTGCCCAAGAAGCGACTATGATGTATCAATATTCCCAGCACTTAGATGATGTAACTCTCTTATGCTTGGGCCCTGTTCACATAGTATATGAAACATATGTCTGGGTCCATCACCTAGTTGATGTGACTCTTCTGCATGGGCTCTGTCCATGGAGATATGAAATATTTTTTCATTCATCCCCTGCCATTTCTCTTTTGTGCCTCTTTTGCCTGGGCCTTGCCAAAAAGAGGATTATAATGTATCACTGGACCCAGAACCTAGGTGAGGTGACTCCTATTTTGCCTGGGGCTCACATATTTGGGTATTGTGATATAGGGGATGGATGGGAGGCACATGAGTGGGCTTTGCTCACAGAAGGCCTTGTGACATCTCAGCATTCATTACCTAGGAAATGTGACTATTGTCTTCCATTTGCACCCTGCTTACAGGGAAGATTGTGACATATTGCTGGACCTAGCAACCAGGTGATGTGTCTCTCTTGCCTGAACCCTGCCCACAGGGAGCATTGTAACATATCTCTGGGCTCAGCAGCCAAGGGATGTTACTATCCTTCCCGGTCCCTGCCCTCAAGTAATATTGTACAAATCTTTGGCCCAGCACCCGGGTGATGTGACTCCCCTGCTTATTACCTACCTGCACGTGGATTTGTTACACATAATGTTGTTCCAGCTCATAGGTGTGATGATGACTCTCATATATTGAACCAGCCAATAGTTGATACAGTCTCTCATAGCTAGGCTTAGAAAAATGGATAAGATTCTGGGTCTTCTGTTTTTATAAAGGTCAGAAAGGAGTATCACACTCTCACATATGGTATAAAGTCTTCAGGTTGTACACAGTGTGTCATTGCAGAGCCCAGTGCACAGGTGAGATTTACTTGTGTGTATGCACACCCTACTATCCATTAAAATTGTAATTCTCACAGACGGACAGACCCTACTTGTAATCTCACATATGGATGCAGTCCACATTTGGAATTGTCATATGTGAACATCCAGCCAGATATGGGATAGTAAAACATTTTTAAATGCAGCTCATAGAAAGGTGAGGGCTCTCCTATCTAGACACAGAAAATTAGGGAGATGTTGACTCTTATACCTGGGGTTAAGAACACAGATATGATTATAGGTTCATACCAGCACAAATGTCTTAGAATAGATTGTGACTCTCATGCAAAACATAAAGCCCTAGCATAGTACAGAGAGTGTCCTAACAGGGCCAAGCACACAGGTGAGATTACGACACTTGTATGCACACACTTTCAACAGTAAAGATTGTCCTGCACCCACATAAACAACCCGCTGTTGAGGTTCTGAACCTCACACACAAAGCCAGCTGAAATTTGGAAAATTGAATCATGTGGATCTGGCCCACAGCTGGGTTGGTGACTCTCAGATAAAGATTCAGCACTCTTGTGAGCCTCTGACTCCACTAGGGGAAAATAGTTCACAGGAGGGATTGAGGCTTTCAGACACAGATCTAGCCACCTTTAAGACTATGACTCACGAAATTAGACCCAAAATAGAGAAGGTATTGACTCTCATACCTAGAACCAGGACGTGTGTGGGATGTTTAATATAATCCCTAGACCTTGCAGGTGTGATTGTGACATACACCTTTTCCCAGCACCTAAGTGATTTGACCCTTCTGCCTGGGCCCTACAGATGGGATTGTGGCAAATGACTAAACCTAGCACCTGGATGATGTGAGCCTATAATTTTGTCTAAGCACTTTTCACAGAGAGAATTGTGAAATATTGCTGGCCCTAACACCCAGGTGAAGTGACTTTCCTCTATTGCTTGATCTCTCTGCCCAAGGACAGATTGTGATATATGACTGGGCCCAGCACCTAGGTAATGTGACTTCCTTCTCCTGCCTGGGCCCTGCATACATTGAGTATTGTGACATATGGCTGGGTCTAACACTTTCATGATGCAAATCTGCATGGGCCCGGCCTACAGAGGTATTAGAACATATCTGTTTATTCATCACCCAGGTGACGGAGAAGAGGTGGTGATTGATTTCACTCTCCTCTTCTGCCGGGGCCCTGCCAAAATCAGGGATTGTGACATATCTCTGATTTTGCATCTAGCATCTAGGTGATGAAACCTGGTAGCATCTAGCATGTAGGTGGACCTAGCATCTAGGTGATGAAACTCTTCTGTTTTCCCTGGGCCCCACATATTTTGGAGATTATTACACATATCTGGGACCCATACCTATGGGATGGGGTGCTTCTGCCTGGGCCCTGCCCACAAGGGACCTTGTAAAATATCTTTTTATTTATCACCTAGGAAATGTGACTCTCTCTTACCTGTATTCTGCCCATAGAAAATGTTGTGACATATTGCTGGGCCATGACACCAGGTGATTTGTCTTTCCTGCTAAGGCCATGCCCAGAAGGAGCATTTTGACATCACTGGACTTAGCATACAGGCAATATTAATACAGGAGTTAAATCAAAATTATTTTAGGGAGTTAGTAAGAGTAAGGGTTCTCAATGGAATTTTTCTTTAATAAAACAGGGCCCCAGAGCTATTTGTTTTCCTAAAAGAAAGCAGCCTAAAACGTGAAGCTGTAAGCATAGATCAGCAAGCTGGAAGCTTGCATATGCAAATGCCAGGAGCTATACTAAAAGCCAGGTACACCACACATGACAATTTTCCCTCCTTTTTCTGTCATCACGTGTGCAGGTGTCATGGCATCGGCCAGGTAGAGATTACATTTACATAATAAAAGATTAGGGTAGAAGGGACATTTTCTTTGTGGGCTATGTAAATGGCACACCTGGTCAAACCAATCTCCTGGGCCCTGTGTAAATCAATCACTGCCTCCTCAATCCAATCCTCTATAAAATTGAATCTATTCTGCCCCAAACTCAGAAACCCCCTTGGGTGACCCACTTTTTCTGAAAGAGGAAGCTCTGTCTCTCCCTTTCTTCTATTAAACTTTCTGCTTCTTAAACTCACTCCGTGTGTGCGTGTCCATGTCATTAATCTTCTCTGTATGAGACAAGAAACCTCAGGTATGTCCCCACAGAACAAAGCCACTTCATTTGGGGGCTCCTTCAGAATCAGAAATGGAATGATAGGTATAAACATCAAAGCAATAAGTATGGAAGTGAACCTCAGAATCTGTCCTTTAATTTTGAGGCTATGGGCCTTATTATAAAATCAAATCAAATTAATAATGGGCATCCAAACAGCCATTTAAAAATGTGATTAGCATGGCTACTGTTCTTGAAGACTCAAATGTGAGGGTTACTGGGGAGAGGATGAATCCCCTGCAATACACACATTGGCCATGCTTTAAACCAGTTTTCTTTCATGGAGGACCTAGCCATTACATGGGGCTGGGAGAGGTTTTGGAGCAACTGAAAATTTCGGGCCAGGGCATACCCTGGTGTTATCCAAAGGCTTCTGGACTAAAGCCAACTTCTGACCACTCATCCAGGTGTTAGCAAAGAGAATCTCCATCTATCCTGTTGCAAAATTTCTCCTTTTCTATCTGCAGTCACCATGTCTTTTCTCTGTGTATGAAATGTGCAGGAATTTTTACAATTCGGGGGAACAGTTCTGTTAGGAAAGATCGGCAAATGCCATACTAACCCAATACACGTCCTCCGTGAGTACATGGTATTTCTAAGCCAACAGCACCACCTAGTGGAAATAGAAATTATCTCCATGAGGCACATTGTCAGTCTTTTGCAATACACTGTAGCTTCCCAATTCTCCCTTTTTGCACCGCTAAAAATCAGGCTCTATGCCCTTCTGTGAATGGGAAAATGCTGCCTTTAACAATTAAGAGTAAAATGTCTTCCATAGCTAAATTTTAGTTTGAATACTGTCCTATCAGCAGGAAAAATGCCATTAGGTCCCTTGTGTTCTTTAAGGCACCTATTCTGTCTCTAATTAAAATAGTACTTAATTAGTAAGGGAACTTTACATCCAAAAGTTAACCAGAATCATTTTCTAAGGGTAAATGATTTAGCATGGGGCATAAGAGTAGAATACAGAGTTCCATCTAGCACAATCCCTCCATTAAATGAGCCTTGCCCAAAGGCAACTATTACATATTCTTTCCCAAAATCCATTTTTTGGGGTGGCACACAGATCACACAAGTCTAGAAAGTCAAAGGGAAATCACAAGTGGACAAATAAGGCTATATGGGTAATTGTGGCTAAAATCCATCACCTAGTTCATCTGGTTTCATGGCTTGGAGAGGTCACACCCACAACCATGAGTGACACATTTAACATGGTGACAGGACCCAGGAACCAAGGAGAGAAAAGAGTAGAGGTGACACTCCCACTGTTTTCCCCTTCACCCTTGGTCATACCAAAAAAAAGGGAGACTAAAAGGACCCTTTTATTCTCACTTTTTCTAGATGGGCAACAGACCAACTTCAGCTTGCAACCCTCTGGAGTGCATTCTGTAACACTGGAACTTCTTTAACCTCCGGACTTTGAAGAAGAAAGCAACCATTTTCTTTTGCACAAGGGCATGACATTTATACTACACCTTTGCAGGTAGTGTAAGATCAACCCAGCTTTTTAAAAAGTCATATCAGGCAGGCTTATAGAAAATGATTCACCAGAATTAGAAAAGCAAGTTCCAGGGAAGCCATTTGAGAATCCCCCTTATTTAGAGCCATCTCAAGTTCTCTTATTACAAGACCTTAGCCAAATAAAGGAAGACTTAGGCTGATTTTCTGACAACCCCCAATAGGTATATAGAAGCTTTCCAAAATTTGACTCAGGTGTTTCACCTCACATAGAAGGATGTTGTGCTGCTCCTAAACCAAACCCTAACTGCAGCTGAAAAGCAGGCAGCTCTACAGGCAGCAGAGAATTGCAGAAATGAACAATATGTCGCCTATAATGCACCAAAATTTAAAAAGGAGAAAGTGAAGAAATAACAGAAACACCATTCCCAATAGGAAGGGAAGCAGTTCCTCTTTACAACCCTGGTTGGAACTCCAATAGCTCTGCAGATAAATGGAAAAAAAAAAAAACACTTTAATATGCATATTAGAGGGTTTATGAATAGGGACAAATCTCTTACTCTAAACTGTCCATGAGGACAAATCTCTTACTCTAAACTGTCCATGATAGACCAAATGCCAGAAAAGAGTCTTGCAGCCTTTATGAAAAGGCAGAGAGAGGCACTAATAGAGCATATCTCCTTTTCTTCTGATCCAATCAACAAATAGTGCATTCTAAAGGACAGGTTTATTACGCACGAAGCTCTCGATATTTTTTTTTTTTTTTTTTTTTTTGAGACGGAGTCTCGCTCTGTGGCTCAGGCTGGAGTGCAGTGGTGCGATCTCAGCTCACTGCAAGCTCTGCCTCGGGATTCACGCCATTCTCCTGCCTCAGCCTCCCGAGTAGCTGGGACTACAGGCGCCCGCCACTGCACCCAGCTAATTTTTTGTATTTTTAGTAGAGACAGGGTTTCACCATGGTCTCCATCTCCTGACCTCGTGATCCGCCCGCCTCGGCCTCCCAAAGTGCTGGGATTACAGGCGTGAGCCACCGCGCCAGGCCAAGCTCTTGATATTAAAAAAGAAACTACAAAAGCAGGCTATAGAATCAGATAGCACCTTAGAGAACCTCCTGAAGGTAGCCACTTCAGCCTTTTATAATAGGGACCAGGAGAAAACCCAAGAGAAAGCGAGGAAACTCAGGAGAAGGACAAAGGCTCTAGTAGTTGCTTTGCAAGCCTGCAATGTCCAGGATTTCCAAGGTTCATCTGCTCATTGCTATCAGTCTGGCAAGTCAGGGTACTTTAAGAAGCAGTGCCCAAGCATCAAGAAGAAGCCACCTCAACCCTCTGCAGGCTGTGGCAGAGACACTAGAGAGCAAACTGCCCCCAGAGATGAGGTCACTAGATTCAGAACCAGTCTCACAGATCGTTTGGCAGGAATAATGGGTCCTAGGGACCCAACCCCCAGCTCCAGCAGCTCAAACTGCCATTATAGCCTAGGATCCCAAGGTGATTCTGGAAATTAAAAGAAGGAAGATAATCATCCTTCTAAACAATAGAGCCAGTCTCCCTCTTTTCTGTTCTCTAATTCAGGTCTCCCCTCTTCCTGTAGCCACTGCCATGGTGGCTCTACTACTTAGAAAAGTCTCCAAATTAACCCTGGAAATTATAATCATAATTCTCTTTAATTATACTAGAGAATTTAACTTACACCCCACACAACATGACACAATTACTGTCCTCTAGGGGGACCTCTTAGGTAACAAATAGCCAGTAAAGCAAAAAATACATAAGGCAAGATACTCAGTAGTCACTCTAAACAACGTTATTAAAAGTGTGTCTCTCTCCCCAGCACAAACGCTCAATTAGCTGAACTGATAGCTCTTACAAGAGGACTTGAATTAAACAAAGGAAAGGTAGCTAACATTTACACAGACTAAAAGTATGCTTTCTTGGTTCTTCATGCTCATGCTGCCATTTGGAAGAAAATACATTTTCTTACCGCTAATGGATCTCTTTTAAAGTATCACCAGAAAATTATTCTCCGTTTTTCTTCCATGAAAAATAGCAATGATGCATTGTAAGGGACATCAAAAGGGAACAGATGAAGTAGCCGAAGGAAATACGTTAGCTAATCAGGCAATTAAGTCAGCAGCAAGGAAGCCTTGAGGCATCAACACACTTCAAGCCCCTCTAACCTGGGAAGGCTCCATAAGAGAAATTAAGCCTCAGTACTCCCCTGCAGAAATAGAATGGGCCACTTTTCGAGGGTATATTTTTAGACCTCAGGATGGCTACAATCAGAGGATGGCAAACTCCATTCGCCAGCCTTCAGCCAAAGGAAAATCCTTAGAATCTTTCACCAAGTTTTTCACTTAAGAAAGGATAAAACTTATCACTATGCCCAGAGATTGTTTTCAGAAGAGAACTTACTAAAAACAGTCAAATAGGTTGTTAATTCCTGTGAAGTCTGTCTTAAAAATAATCCACTGAACAGGTGGCTCCTTCCTCCTAAAACCCAAAAAATAAGAAGCTATCCAGGGGGAGGACTGGCTGATAGACTTCACCCGCATGCCAAAGACAAAGGGTATCCAATACCTTCTGTTTTGGGTATATACTTTTACTAACTGGGTGGAAGCATTTCCATGCCATACAGAAAAGACCTCTGAGGTAATAAAAGTGTTAATTAATAAAATAACTCCAGCCAGGCGCGGTGGCTCAGGCCTGTAGTCCCAGCACTTTGGGAGGCCGAGGCGAGCGGATCACGAGTTCAGGAGTTCGAGACCAGCCTGGCCAACATGGTGAAACTTCGTCACTACTAAAAATACAAAAAAATTAGGCATGGTGGTGCACACCTGTAATCCTAGCTATTCAGGAGGCTGAGGCAGGAGAATTGCTTGAACCTGGGAGGCGGAGGTTGCAGTGAGCTGAGATCATGCCACTGCACTCCAGCCTGGGTGACAAAGCGAGACTCTGTTTCAGAAAAAGATAAACAAACAAAAAAAACCCCTGCTTTGGTCTACCTAAATACCTTCAAAGTGACAATGGCCCCTCATTTAAGGCAGCTGTCACATGGGAGTCTCAAATGTGCTAGGCACAGAATATGGTCTCCATTGTGCTTAAAAATCCCAATTCTCAGTAAAGGTATAGAACAAATGATATTATCAAGAGACACCTTAAAAAACTTGTCACTCTTCTTCCCATGGCCTTACTATGGGTAAGAAATATGCCTTCCAAGTTAGGTGTAACCTGGGTGCGGTGGCTCAGGCCTGTAATCCTAGCACTTTGGGAGGCCGAGGCTGGTGGATCACAAGGTCAGGAGATCAAGACCATCCTGGCTAATACGTTGAAACCCCATCTCTACTAAAAATATAAAAACAAAATAAGCTGGGTGTGGTGGCGGGCGCCTGTAGTCCCAGTTACTAGGGAGGCTGAGGTGGGAGAATGGCATGAACCCAGGAGGCAGAACTTACAGTGAACCGAGATCGCGGCACTGCACTCCAGCCTGGGAGACAGAGTGGGACTCTGTCTCAAACAAACAAACAAAAACAAAGTTAGGTCTAAGCTCTATAAATGGCCTTTTCTTACCAACGATTTTTCTATTAAAGCAGAAAACCTAATTTGGTTAAGTATGTAACCTCTCTAGCTCACTTCCAACAAAAATTAACACAACTAGCAGTAGCCCAACCCTAAGAAATAAGACCACCTTCATTTAACCCAGGAGATTTGCTATCAGTAAATCTCATGCCTCTCTCTCTCTTTCCCTAAGCCCAAGCTGGGAAGGGCCCTACACTGTTTTTTTTCAACCCCCTCTTCCCTTGGCAATAAAAGTTACAGGTATTTGCTGGGCGTGGTGGCTTATGACTGTAATCCCAGCACTTTGGGAGGCCAAGGTGGGCGGATCACCTGAGGCCAGGAGTTTGAGACAAGCCTGGCCAACATGGTGAAACCTCATCTCTACTAAAAATACAAAAATTAGCTGGGCTGCATGGTATGGGGCTGTGATTTCAGCTACTCGGGAGGCTGAGGCAGGAGAATCGTTTGAACCCAGGAGGCTGAGGTTGCAGTGAGCCAAGATCGCACCACTGCACTTCAGCCTGGGCGACAGAGCAAGACTCCATCTCAAAAAAAAAAAAAAAAAAAAAAAAAAAAAAATTACAGATATCAACTCTTGGATACACCACACTCAAGTCAAGTCCTGAAGAGCTGAGGGAGCAACCCCTTACAAGCCCAGAGGAATGTCCTGAATATCAGTGTGAAGAAATAGAAAATCTTAAGCTGAAAATCATAAAAGATAAGTAACTTAGGGCTACTCATCTTGCTCACTACTACGTCATTGGACACTTTTTGTCATTTCTATTTTTCCTCTCCAAGTTTGCCGCCAACTATTAAAACTTCTCTTTTAACACATATTTACAAGAAAATTTTAATTATTCATAGGATTGCATTTGTAACTTCATAGAACCCCAAAGGGAAATTCTATACCTTGGCAAATAAAATTTATAAATAAAAATTACTACATCACTCTTGTGGGAGTTGCTAAATTCACTCTACTATTTGTAGTAGAACTATACACTATGGAACTCACAGTGTGGAATTCTAGTTGTAAAATTCTAATTGCCATAATACTTTGCCTAATTATCATCTTTATAAGAGGAATAATAATTGAATAATTGTAGAAAAAATTTAGTCAAGGTTGCTTTGCTTAATTATTATCCCTATAGCAGGGGTAATAGTTACAGACAAGAAGTAAGCATGAAAGTTATACTATCACTGAGCTTGACAGGACTTTTTATTAAAGATTGGCAATATGGTGCACTCCAAGCTATGGAAAGAAGGTTATAAAAGAGATTTTATAAGCAAGGCTTTTATGGTAAATTCTTGTCCTAAAAAGACTGGTTGTTTAAAGGAAGGATATTTAGGACAAGTCAGAAAGTTTAAGAATGTTGTAAGATAATCTGTGGAAGTCATGAAAGAACTTAATAAAGGAAAGAAATGGCCAAGATTAACACTTAAGTTACTTTAGCCACTGAATAATGTATTTCTCTTAATCATATCACAAGTTATAAAAAATTGCCCGAACCTAAAATTATCTCCTGACGGCAAGCCAAGGGGATAAATGTATGTGTTTCTCAAAGAAAAATGTTACTTTTACAGTAACGTTTCTGGTAGTCTACAGCGACATCTAGTGGACATCTACCTGTATTACAACTAATTGAAATAGTAACAGGTATCAAACTCTGCTGTCATAGTTATGGCCTATAGTACTCTCACTAATAATAATAATCTTAATACTCATGTTAAAACCCTATATTCTAAAACTTCTTGTAAAATTTATCTTTTTACCTAGAAAAAAACTCCAAATGGCGCTGCAAACAGAACCACCCATAGACATGCCATTCTTCCGAGAACACTTAAATAAACCTCAGGAGGAGCCCCAGCTGTTGATCCCCCACACGACACCCCTTTTCAGCAGGAAGTAGCCAGAAATATTCGTCGTCCAACACCCCCAACAGCAGTTAGAATACTATCTTCTGAGGGGTGAATAACATAGGAGTTTAAAAAAATATATTTTAGGCAGTTAGCAAGGGTAAAAGAGTTCTCGGTGGAATTTTCCTTCAATGAAAAGCAGCCAAAAAACCATCTCTTTTCTAAAAGAAAGCAGCCTGAAAAGTCAAACTGCAAGCATAGATAAGCAAGCTGGAAGTTTGCATATGTAAATGCCAGCAGCTATACTAAAAGCCAAGTACACTCAAAGTGGCGATTCCCTCTCCCTTTACTTTGTCACCATGCATGTGGGTGTCCACATTTGCATAATAAGATTAGTGTGGGAGGGCCAGTTTCCTCGTGTGCTATGTAAATGCCACACCTGGTCAAACCAATTTCCTGGGACATATATAAATCAATCACTGCCTCCTCAAGCCTCTCTATAAAATTGATCACATTCTGCCCCAAACCTGGAAACCTGCTATGGTGACCCACTTTCTCCGCAGGAGGAAGCTCTCTCTCTCCCTCTCTCTCTTCTGTCTTTTGTCTATTAAACTTTCTGCTCCTGAAACTCATTCCGTGTGTGTGTTCGAGTCATTACTCTTCTCAGTGCAGGACAACAAACTTCGGGTATTTCCCCAGACAATGAAGCCACTTCACTATGACTCTGCTGCGTGTGGTCTGTTTTCAGGAGAGGATTGTAACATATCTGTGGCTGAGCTCCTAGGTGATATGACTCTCCTGCTTGATTTCTGCCCTAAGGGAAGACTGTGACATATCCTTGGCCAAAAACCTACATGGTATGACTTCTCACTCACAACCCACAGGTGGGTTTGTGACATATATTTTATCCAGCTCACAGGTGTATTGATTACTCTCATACTTCAAATCAGCCAATAGAAGAGATACTGTCTTCCATAGCTAGTCTTAGAAAAAAAAGTAAGATGATGAGTCTCCTCTTTGAATGAAGGTCATAAAAAATTACCATTCTTTTACATATCATATAAAGCCCTCAAGTGGTAGAGAGAGTGTCACAGTAAACAAGTGAGATTGTGTTTCTCATATGTGCACCCCACAAACTGTTAATATTGTCACCTCACACATATGGACAGTGCCAACTGGGGAGGTCCTTAGTCTCACATGTTGACACAGCTCACAGTTCGGACTGTGACTGTCATATGTAAACATCCAGCTACAGTTGAAATGGCAACTCGTTTCTAATTCTGGCAGGTTTGAGCTGTTCTATGTAGACATATCAAATTGGAGAGATGTTGACTATCATATTTGAGCTTTGGGCCACAGGTAGAATCATGGGTTCATACAAACACAAAAATCTTAGAGCAGATTGTGACTTTAATGTATATTGTATAAAGCCCTCAGGTGTTACAGAGGGTGTCCTAACAAAGCATGGCACACAGGTGAGATTATGACACTCATATACACACCCAGCCAACAATAAAATTGTCATTCTTCTACATGAACACAGGCCACTGTTGAGGTTCTGAATCTCACATCCAAAAAAAGTAGAAGTTGAAAAATTAACTCATACATTGCTTTGGTTCATAGGTGGGTAGGTGACCTTCAGACCAAGATCGAGCATATCTATGAGGCTTTGACTCCATTAAAGGGACACAGTCTGCAGGAGGGATTGAGGCTCTTGTGGATGGATTCAGTAAAGTGTTGAGACTGGGTCACACACTTAGACCCAACATACAGGAGGTGGCGCCTCTCATACCTGGAACTGGGACATGTGCAGGATTCTTAATTTCATGCCTGGACCTTCCTACGGCTGCAATTGTGACATACACCTCCGCCTAGCACTTGAGCAATTTTACTTTCCTTCTTGGGCTCAGCTGACAGACTGAATGGTTATATATTGCTGCACCCAGCACTTAGTCGATGTGAATTTATTCTTTTGCCTTAGGTTTGCCTACAGGGAGAATTTTGACATATGACTGTTCTTCACACTTAGGTTATATGACTCTCCTCCCTATGCCTTGCCCATGGGGGCCACTGTGGGCCCCTGTGGGGGATTTAATCCCCCAGCCTGTGCTCTGCCTATAGAAGGCATTGTGACATATCTTCCACCCGTGGCCCAGGTGATGAGACTCTCTTTATTTGCCTGGTTTTTCTGTTTACAAGTGGAATTGTAACATATCACTGAACATAGCGCTTCACTGATGTGACTCCTCTTCTTCCTACGTTCTGCCTACAGAGGACATTGTGACATATCATTGGGCCCAACACCAAAGTGACATTACTCATTTGTCTCGGCCTTGACCTCAGAAAGCACTGTGACATATTGCTGGACCCAGTACCAAGGTGATGTGAGCCTTCTCCCTGGATGCTGTTCACAGGAGTTATTGTGACACATACCTAAGGACCCATTGTCTATTT